>NC_000002.12:45644897-45947928 GCF_000001405.40 Homo sapiens
TTCCAAGGAATTAAAATGTAATTGACATGATTATCATTAAATAGTGCTGCCTTGGTTCCGGCATGGCAATGTAGAAAGAACAGTCAATGTATAAGGTATAAGATTTGGGTCTAGACCTCTAGGTAGTGTTTTGGGGTTTTTTTTTCTGTTTTTTTTTTTTTTTTTTTTTTTGGCAAGTCAGTTAACTTCTCTAGGTATCAGTTTCCTCATTTAATAGAGGAATTTAATAACAATAAAGAATATAGTCTGGGCGCAGTGTCTCATGCCTGTAATCCCAGCACTTTGGGAGGCTGAGACAGGTGGATCACTTGAGGTCAGGAGTTTGAGACCAGCCTGGCCAATATGGTGAAACCCTGTCTGTACTAAAAAAAAATACAAAAATTAGCTGGGCATGGTGGTGTGTGCCTATAATCTCAGTTACTTAGGAGGCTGAGGCAGGAGAATTGCTTGAATCTGGGAGGTTGAGGTTGCAGCAGTGAGACGAGATTGTGTGCCACCGCACTGCAGCCTGGGTGACAAAGCAAGACTCCATTTCAAAAACTTAATTAATTAATTAAACAAACCAAGTGATCCCTCAAATCCCACAGAGTTTAACAAGTAAGTCTTCTCAGTTCTGTTGGGCCCAAATGCCTCCTTTGTGCTGCCGTGGTTCTAAAGTGGCTTTAAGGAACTGCACGTCCCATGAGGTGTTAAGCATATAACGGGGAGGGGAAAGGAGCTTGGATGGCTGCTGGTTCTGATATTAGGCAGGATTCTCCATGTCATCTGGAGTCTTCTGTATGCAGTGGCCCAGAGCAAAAGGGAGGGAGGACGGTCAAACAGTCTGACTCTTACTGTGATTATTGCTACCCTAAGTTCCTATAGTGCTTTCTGAGTGGGCTGATTATTTGTTATTTATTGTGTGCCACCTTGAATTACCTTTCTGCACCTGTCATTTGAGAATAGTGTCTATGGCAGTCTTCAGTGCTATTCACCAAACATTCCATGCTCCTTGACAGTACAGATGGTAGAACTTCCCAGACCCTGTGGTTGGGGAAGGCGGGATCTGAGACTGGTTCTAGCTAACAATTAGTGGGCACAAATGATATTTAGCACTTCCAGATGGATTTTTTTGGGTGGGGGGCAGGTGGGGGACAGGGTCTGGCTCTGTTGCCTAGGCTGAAGTGCAGTGTCACAATCTTGGCTCACTGCAGCCTCCTCAAGCAATTCTCCCACCTCAGCCTCCCAGGTAGCAGGGATTACAGGCACCCGTCACCATGCTCAGCTATGTTTTTTTAATTTAATTTAATTTTATTTTATTTTGTAGAGATGAGGTTTTGCTACCCAGGGCCTCCCAAAATGCTGGGATTACAGGCATGAGCCACCAGGTGGACTATTTAATTGCCTGTGTAAGACCCTCCAGACATCCTTTTTCTCTCTGCCCATGACCAGCCATGTTCCAGATGGTAACTTTTTAGCCAGCCTGGATCCAGAAGTGAGAATGACGCTAATGGGAAGCAGAGCTCCCAACCAACCTGCCATAGACTTACAGCATGCATGAGAAGAAAGCTTTGTTCTTTTAAGGTGTTGGGATCTGGGGAGAGCTTATTACAGCAGCATGACCTAGCCAATCCTGACTAATAAAGGGCCATTTTGTGTTGTCATTTTTTGTTTCCCTAGTGCTCCAAATGACATGACATGACACTACTGACTGTTAAATAAAGGACCGACTGAATTGATCTACTCATCTCCCCAGGTAGAGTAGGGATTATCCATATAGCTATTTATCCTCCCTGGAGCACCTGCCCTAGTATCCTATATATAGCAAGTACTTAGTAAAGACCCTTGGATTGACATATGATCTTAAAAGTCCAAGACAGGGGCCAGGCACGGTGGCTCACACTTGTAATCCCAGCACTTTGGGAGGCTGATGCAGGAGGACCACTAGAGTCCAGGAGTTCAAGACCAGCTTGAGCAACATAGTGAGACCCCATCTCTACAAAAACAATCAAAAAACTTTAGCTGGGCATGGTGGCACATGGCTTTAGTCCCAGCCACTCAGGAGGCTGAGGTGGGAGAATTGCTCAAGTCTGGGAGGCCAAGGCTGCAGTGAACTGTGATTGTGTCACTGTACTCCAGCCTGGTCAACAGAGTGAGACTCTGTCCCTTATAAAAAAAAAATCCCAAGACACAACCCAACATCTGACCCACAGAAGATGAAGAATGTTATGCTATTCTCCAAATGGCATCCTAGTGAGTAGGGCTCACAGTCACAGGCCCTGAGGAATAGGGGCACCAGGCCATCTCCTTCTGCATCCATCAGCAAGCTCGATAGGGCTGCCTCTGATCCCTCCACCTCTTTGCAGGTATTAAGTGAAGCTTGGCCTGAGTCACTGCAACAGAATATAGAGCAGAGATGGGGCCAGAATTCGGAGCTGAGATGGGGCCAAAATAAGAAGACATGGCAGGGCAGACAAAAGCCCACCACAGGAGTATAGGTGTGGGGCAAAGTTTGAAGTGGGGCTCAGGGTCGGGTGGGGGCTAGGCTGGGGCAGGACCAGCGGAGCTCTAGAAGGTTTCTGTGTCATTATACTGCTGCGCGTTCCATCCCATGGCCCAGGTGGTTGGATTCTGTTCAGCGGAGCATGTGTGGAATGTATGATAGACCCTGACCAGGCAGACCTTTGCAGAAGCCCATTAACATTCTATAAATGGCAACAACCAGCACAGCAACAGGGACATGAATATTAACGCGCTAGTCTACGGTTCTGGCTCCCCCTTCCCCGCTTCCTCCAGCTGATCTAAACAGTATCCACAGACAGTTTCAATTTTGATTATACAGAGTGTAAATCATCTTCAGACTTGGATCTTCTCTTTGTCTAATACCCTGTTTTGAGGTGAGCCTTCTGGAGGAAAATTACAGAAGAGAAAAATATTTATCCATCACAAAATCGCCTTTGTAAAGTATTAACTCTAGTTATGCTGCTTGCCCGCTGGAATGTTTGGTGTCTCTCCAGGAAAAAGTTGAGACCCATCTGCAGGCCCTCTGAGGTCTTAACTATCAGGTTCCTACTTACTTCATCTCCTGTTACTACCTGCCACAAGTGGGGCACACCTGGCCGCTTACCTGAAGAGTCATGGCTTTCCTACCTGTACACATTATACTTTTTGCAGCCAGTACCCTTCCCTTCCCTCTTTGCTGCTGGAAGAACTCCTGTTGGAAAGCCTAGACTCAGCTCAAAGGATTCTGCTGGTTGATGCCTTCCCAGGCTCCCCAGGCAAAGGGGTGATCCTTCTTCTGTGCCACTCCCATCCATAGACCTATTGCAACACTGATCGCCCTGTCCTGGCCACATCTGTTGTTCTATTCTTTTCTCATAAGCCTTAATTTTGAAAGGAGAAAGGCTCCATTTTGGTCATCTTTGTTAAATTATTGTATCATTTTCTTCCTTCTCACAAAGATTATGAAATAACTAGGCCATAGTTGGAATCCAAAGGTCATTTTACTCAATGTATATGCTAACCACTGTCTTATCCTTTGGGATTGGAGACAGGGGCTGAGGGAAGGATGAAGCTGGCAATAATTTCCTATTGGAATTTTACCGTCTAAGCCCCCTCCTTGGGATTTTCTTTTCACATGAAACCTGGAGCAGGGGGTTATTTTGGACCTGGCATCTCCATGATGTCCCTGGGGAATTCAACTTTTCATTTGGCCAAGTTTGAGAGTAGGAAGGCGAGAGATTTATTTAGAAATAAGGAGGTAATAAGGGCAGGAAACTAGCAGTGTTTGCATGCAGACTACCAGCATTCTCCCTTTTTATGTAAACATTAATCCAATACAAAACATGTATTTTGTTTGACAAAGTCTTTTATTACCCTTGCTCCAAAAGAGTTGCTGTAATGGAAAGGAGACAAGCATTGGTCGCCCTTGAGAATTGCAGTCTGGTGATTTACACGGAGTAACAGTCTGCTGAGCCAGCATGCTAGGAAATGGTGCTGGAAGTTTGTAGGTTGTTTTAAGACAGTCACTGAGATGGTAACAGACCCTATTTAATATATTTGGGGGCTGGGCATGGTGGCTCCTGCCTGTACAAGACTTACCCAAAGCAAGTAATGAGAACATATGAAGCACCAATTAGTCAAGGATCCCTAACTCCATGAAATCCTTGACTTTCCAGACTTCCCAACAGGATCAGGACTAGGGTGAGATGAGTGACGCACTCGGCTCAGGTACAAAATTTAACAGGTGCCAATAAACTCAGTAGTATAAATATTTTAGTGCAATATTTAAAATTATTTAAAATGTGGATATTGTGTCCATTCTGGATTCTCACATTTTTATTTTTAAAAAATTGTATTAAATCTTTATCTTGATTACGTTTATTGGTACCCTTTACATTTTGCCTCTGAAAAGTATCTCACTCATCTCACTTTGGTGCTGGCTCTGCTTCCCAAATGCATTTTCAGAAGATCAAGCCATATTTGCCACTGCCTTCCATCACATGCCCTGGAAAGGGGGAAAGAGGCTTCATGAGAATAGCAGAGTGGAAGGAAGAAGCAAAAGGGAAAAAAGTAATAATCAAAGAAATAAAAATTAAACAGCAATGAGATACCCCTGCTTGTGCTTTGTCAAACGGACATATTTTAAGATATCGTATCTCCAGCTGGGGGAGTGACAGGGTAAGACAACCATTGAAATCCTGGCTTTTTACATCGGAGCTACCTAGATCATACGGAAGACTGAATCTTAGCACCATCTCTACCCAGCTGCCCTGTTCAACAGGGCAGGCTGCGAGAAATTACTGTATTAGGAAGCTCCAGAGCGGTTGCAGGCAAAGGCTTTGCCTGTTCTTAGGAGATGGCCCTAGAACTTTTCGGATCATTTTTGGGACGTGTTTGCTGCACTTGATATCCTGTTTTTCCAGGGGACTGCCTCCTTCCTCGCCTTTAAGCCTTTTTAGGCTTTTAAGCCGCAGGCAATGATAACCTTTACCCACTGAGGAAAAAGTGATCGGGAGGCGCGTTTTAAATTTTGGTTTACACTAACCAGACCCGCCAGATGAACACTCAGCTTACCACAATACCTACAAATTCCCAGACTTGACTTGGCAGAAGGGCGAGGGCGGAGGTTTTCTTTCCCCATTTGCATAATCCCCAGCTCCCCGGCAGCGGAGCCGACCTCTTCACCGCCGCCGTCTTCGCGGGTGTCCCAGCTGGGCCGCGCCCCGGGGCCCAGCGCTCCGGCCCTGCCCTCCCAGGTTCCCAGTCTCGGGCGCGGGGCAGTCCCTCGCCGGCCGCCGGCCCGGTCCCGGCTCCCAGCCGAGGAAATTTTTCCCCAGCAGCCCAGGGCTCTCCTCACGTGACCAGCCGCGGCGGTAGCTTCCAGCGAGAGTTTAAAGGTTACGGAGGAAATTAGCAAGGACACAGCCACTCGCCCCCCGGAGGGCGCGCCCCATTTTCCCGCAGCCCGGACGGCGGCTGTCAGCGCGCTGATCAGTGCCGAAGTCCCCCAAAGGGGCACCGATAAGGACCAGCGCAAACAGGAACAGTCACTTTGCAAAAAATAAGCAGACCACAAACCAAGCCGGGGCTCTACCGAGCTTTCACTTGTCAACAAGTTCTCGCAGCCTGCGAAGTCCAGGACAGATCCCAAAGGGGAGAATGTCCCCAAAGAAAGGCAAGAGAGAAGAACAGAGTTTAAAACTTCACCCGAGCCATGCTTGTCCCTCCCCCTTCCCCCTCCCCCACCGCCGTGGATCACAGCGTCCCGGGACAGAGTGACAGATGGGCCAGAACTCCGCAGACTGCTCCTGCCCGCCGCGGCCCGAGTGGGGGTGGGCAAGGGAAGGGTCCCGAGGCCTCTAGGGCAACAGGGCCCCCTCCACTCCCCCATCCCCGGCTCTAAAAGACAGTGTTGGCCGCAGGGTCCCCGAGAGATACGCGGCCCGGCGGGGCCCATCCATGGCCATCCACGGCCCCCGGCACGCGCATCCAGCCCAGCGCCGCCGCACCCCGGGGTCCCGCGCGGGGTCCCCGCCCCCCGGCTGACCCGCCCGCCGCTGCGACCCCGGGCAGCCTCGCCAGCTCTCCACCGTTGTCTCCTCGGCTCACTTTTTCCGTATTGCTCCCCCAACCGGCAAAACTTTCTATTTCCCCAAACACTGCCGTGCGCGCGCGCGCGTGCACACACACACACTCACACACACACACTCACACACACTGACGTCTTTTGCGCATTTCCTGCATTAGAGGGAGGGAGACTCGCTCGCACACCGACAGAGGGAGAGGAGACCGCGGGGGAGCGCGGGCTGGCGGGCGGCGAGCGAGCGGCAGCCGAGAGCGGGGACGCGGGGAGCGCGGAGGGCGGGCGCCGGCGCCCAGGAGGTGGGGCCGCGCTGAGTCGCAGTCCCTGCCCCGCCGCCGCGCTGCGCACCGCCCGGTGCTGGCCTGCGCCCCCGAGCCGGATCGGCGGCCGCCCGGACTCCGAGCCCGCGCGGATGTGAGATTCCGGGCTCCTGGCGCCTCCCGATCGCCGGCTCCGGCGCGGCGCTGCTTCGCCCAGGAGGCGGCGGCCCCGGCTGG
This sequence comes from Homo sapiens, assembly GCF_000001405.40. NCBI lineage: Eukaryota > Metazoa > Chordata > Mammalia > Primates > Hominidae > Homo > Homo sapiens. The sequence continues at coordinate 45,651,459 of NC_000002.12, forward strand.
CCGTGGGGCTTGTGGATTTTTAAAAATTTGGCTCCGAGGAGGACCATTTCCTCTCGACATGCATCCCTCCGGATAGACTGAACATCCCTCCGTTCACCCCCCCGCCCCGCGCGGTCAGAGGCAGGCGCTGAGTGTGCGAAGAGGATCCGGGTTGAAATCTGCGCCCCCGGTTCTCGTCCCCGCCCCGTCCCACCGCCCCATCCCCCTCCCGGAGTCGAAATTTCCCGGGATTATGTTTCGGAAAGGTAGGTAAGCGCCGGGCGCGGCGCCCGCTTTCCCGCAGTCCGGAGCCGGAGAGCCAGCGAGGCGGCGAGGCAGCCCCCGCGGCTTGCAGCGGAGCCGACAGCTCGTCTTCTCTTCTGGAGGTGCAGCTGGTGGTCGGGGGGAGAGACTTGCTCCAAACACGGACATCCCCCAGCTCTCCCCCCTCCCTGTTTTCCGTTAGGAACCCGGCGAGGAAATACATGCACTGGCTGAGAATCGCCCGCGCCAGGGCGCAACGCCACAAGGTGTAGGGAGTGTGCGGGGTGGGGCGAAAGGGGACCCAAGAGTCCCTGTGGCTCGGAGTGCCGGGCCGTCGGTTCTTCATTCCTGCCCTCGGGGCAGACGGAGTGACCCCGGCCCCCACTCCCCGCCCCGACCATGGTAGTGTTCAATGGCCTTCTTAAGATCAAAATCTGCGAGGCCGTGAGCTTGAAGCCCACAGCCTGGTCGCTGCGCCATGCGGTGGGACCCCGGCCGCAGACTTTCCTTCTCGACCCCTACATTGCCCTCAATGTGGACGACTCGCGCATCGGCCAAACGGCCACCAAGCAGAAGACCAACAGCCCGGCCTGGCACGACGAGTTCGTCACCGATGTGTGCAACGGACGCAAGATCGAGCTGGCTGTCTTTCACGATGCCCCCATAGGCTACGACGACTTCGTGGCCAACTGCACCATCCAGTTTGAGGAGCTGCTGCAGAACGGGAGCCGCCACTTCGAGGACTGGGTGAGTGCGGCGCCTCCCCGTCATTCCGGGAACCCGGTTGTGGGGTCCCGGGGAAAGACTCGCTGGTCTTGATCGTAGGGCTCCGGGACTTATTGACGACTGGGGTGTGTGTGCCTGTAAGTCTCAGTTTCCTTGGGGAGGTACACTTCACTTCATAGTTGGGGAGAAACAGGCATTGGCGAGGAAGATGAGACTTGGAAAGAGGATGTGGCCCTCTGCTCCCTCTGTGCCCTCCAGTTGGTGGGTGCTGCGGGAGGTTTGCAAACTGGGAGAGCCTGGGCCACTGGTGCTGAAGGTTGGCCGAGGACCCGGCTTTCTTCCGCAGGCGCGTGGTGGGCTGGCTGTGTGTGATTGTGTGTGGGTGGGTCCCTCCGTCCTTGGAAAGGCACGTGGAGCCTTTGACTGAAGGCTTCTTGCACGTCCTGGCTTTGTCCTGCTTAGCCGAGCGAGGAGTTGCTTTATTTTTCCCTCCGAGAGGAAGCTGGCTTGTTTCTATTCTCTTGCATGGTGGTTAGCTCATCTTCTGACATACAAGTAGAAAAAATGTGTTCTCCTCCAGGATGTCTCCTCTATGGTCCCAGAAACATCAGTCGAGCTTGTTTTGTCCAATTCATTGCCCATCCATGCAGAATGAATGTTGCATTTTAAGAAGGGTTCTGCTTGTGGGTAATTGGAAGTCAGTGCTTTGAATCTTATTTAAAGTTATATTGTTTCTCTGTTTTGATTGTCAAGATACTGTGCAATAAAAGACGATTTCTAAGTATGAGATTGAGTTGTTAATTGATTCCATTATTAAACTATTAAGGATTTGGAAAGAGGTCTTGTCTCAATCTACTATAAACCAAATGCATCCAGTCTTGGCACTTGGACAAGCAGAGAGAAGCAAACCTTCATTTTGCTTTTTGTGTTTGTTTTTGGGTTGTTTTTTTTTTTTTTTTTTTTTTTTTCTCTCTTCTTGGAAGGAAGGTATTAATTTAGGATGTGGATTTTTGTGTTTTCAGGTTTGTTACATGTTTCCAGCAAGTACAAGCGTTCCTCTGGAGGTATATGTTTTCAGGGTTCTTTGGTCTACACAAAAAGTGAGAGAGCTATCTAAGCCTCAAAAGTGGTGTAGAGCAATTGCTTTCTATTGAAAACCAGCTAACTTCATGAATGTCCTAGAGGTCAGAGGTTGCACATGGATCACTTTGGCATATCACCTTACATATTTTTTTCAAGGACACGGAGTTTTAGGGAAAAATAAGAGAGAGCCTGTTGTTTTTGTGCTCATGGCTGTGATGTAGTCTGCCTGAAACCATGGTTACGGTTTCACAGGGAAGCTCCAACAAGCCACATGCGTAGAACTCTAGATTTGTGGTTTGCACTTTGGAAAGCAGGCAAACCTTTATGGAATCCCAGAGAACTCCATGCCATTCTATTCTACTTCACAGATGTCCCTCATCTCTGCTTCCTTCAGCCCCCACAACAGAGCTCCCACTCATTCCCCATTTCTTTTCCATGCATGGCCTTTGGGCCCTTTCCTCATGAATGCAGTGCATATGAGAGGGGGAGTGGAAGGGATAACTAATTTCAGAGGTAGACCTTGACTCTGAAAACCTGTGATTTTGGAGTTGTTGTTTTTGGACAGGAAGGGGGTGGAAAAAACTTGACGCTGGTAGCTAGGAGATGGGAGCCTTTTGCAGTGTATGCAGATGAGGGGCTTGGACAGTGGGGCAGAGAGCAGGGATGAGGAGCAGCAGGTCTGCATTTATCCATAGAACAGATGTTGGTTGGAGGGAGAGTGTCTTTGTATCTCTGGTGATGCTTCACTGGGGCACACCCCAAACTCTGGGAGCTTCAGGACACTGTCCCCACCTTCATCCCTCCTAGTGAAGCATGCAGTGGGAACTTGTTTGGTTATCATCCTCTAAGGTTCTCAAATTCATGTTGGATTTGGCCCTAGGCCAGATCATCTAGTGCACAGGCAAGTTTTACAGATGAGGACATTGAGTTCCAGAGAAGCTAGTTGGGGACCGAGGGTCACATGACAAGCAAAGGTGGGTTGGAAGTAGGGCCCTCACCGCCTGTTGCCCATGGCTTGTCTGATGGGGAGCCGAGCCTGCCCATCTGGCCTCCCAGCCTATTCTCCCTGCAGATCCATGTGCTGTGTCCCTGACATTTTTATTGTACTTGATAACTTCATCTCTTTTGCCTTATAGCAACTGTGAATTAGGTATGGCAGGTATTGGACAAACTAAAAAACTTGAGATAGAGAAGCCCAAAGTCTGAAGGATGAGTCAAGCAGTGGAGCAGGTTCAGAATGCCCATCTGTTTTCACCAGAGGATGCTGTAGCCACTCTGGTTCCTCCAGGCTGAAGGTGGGGACTCATTGGCAGGGGTGACTGGCCCCTGGAAATGGAGACAAGTTGCAGCTGGGCTAAGTTCACCTTTCCCAGTCTTAACATTCAGGGTAAACCCATGGTTTCATAGCTTTGGGTAGAATTCCCTGGGCTCAGGTCTCTTCACTCCTTACCTGGCAGGAATGAAGAAACACACCCTTCTCAGGTGTGGCTGAGAGATCTGGCCTGAAGTAAGGGGATGTGGATAGCATAAAGCAGCCGTTTCTCTCATTTTTGCGGAACACCGAATTCTGCCGCACTTTGAATTCACTTGTATTCCTGGAGTTCCTGTTTTGTGCTCATGTCTAACCAGGGAAGCTTCTCACTGTGGGCCATCCAGAGGAAAATGAGGCCCTGGGTTACTCTCAAGGGGCTTCCATTTCACCAAGGAATTGACACCAAGTACCCACATATACATCAAGCTTGTCTAACCCATGGCCTGTTAGCCACATGTGGCCCGGGATGGCTTTGAATGCAGCCCAACACAAATTTGTACACTTTCCTAAAACGTTATAAGTTTTTTTGCATTTTTTTTTTTTTTAGCTTATCAGCTATCATTGGTGTTAGTGTATTTTATGTGTGGCCCAAGACAATTCTTCTTCCGATGTGGCCCAGGGAAGCCTAAAAGTTGGACACCCTGATGTAGACACTTAACTAGCAATTAGGTTCCACACAGGTGGTACCATTAGTGTGTTAAGAGTTTAAAAAGGGAGTGTGGGCTAGGCACTGTGGCTCATGCCTGCAATCCCAACTACTTGGGAGGCTGAGCTGGGAGGACCGTTTGAGTCCAGAAGTTCAAGATCAGCCTAGGCAACGTAGTAAGACTCCATAACTACAAGAAACTTAAAAATTAGCCAAATCTGGACCTGCGGTGTGGTGTGTGCCTGTAGTCCCAGCTACTCAGGAGGCCAAAGTGGGAGGATTACTTGAGTCCAGGAGTTCAAGGCTGCAGTGTGCTATGATCTGACCATCAGGCCACGGCATTCCAGCCTGGGTGACAGAGTGATACCCTGTCTCTTGAAAAAAAAAAAAAAAAAAAAAAAAAGGTAGGGAGAACTGGAAGAATCCAGGAGGGTTTTTGGAAGGAGGCATGAGCTGAGTGTGAAACAGTAGGTTATATTTAAAGAGGTATCTACAAGAAGGAGCAGTGTTCCTGGCATGGCCACCGCAGGAATAAAGGCAGACAATCCTGTAGTCAGGGTTGGAGAATGGATGAGCAGGACAGAAACTGAGTGTACCTGTCAGAAAGGAGTGGGCAGGACAAGGTTTCCCAAATTTAAGACTTTTTTCTGAGTACTGCCTGTGCTTTCATTTACTTAATATTTAAAAAATTGATTCTTTTATTTTCCACGTAGTCTTTTCTTAAGCCCCACTATTCATGAAATCACAGGTTTGGAGCATGTAGTTATAACTTTTCTTTGTTCACATTAAAATAAACAGGGCTCTACAATACAGAAACAAAGTTCATTCCAAGTGCCTCTGAACATCATTAGTGATGTGGGGCCCACACTTCGGAAACATTGGAGTAGGAAAAAGTTTAGAAAACTGAGGTGAATTCTAGAATGCGTAAAAGCCAAGCTGAGATAATTATTCTCCAGATAATGAGAGATGTTTCAGTTGTGATGACAAAGGAGGTTGCTTTAGAGAAAGCTCATTACAAAGAGAAGGAAAGATTTTGCTGATGCTTTGAAGTAAAATCTATTATAACACTATTGCTATAGCTGGGTTTTCCAAGAACCAGTTAATAACGCTACTCAGACTTTCATGTACATAAGAATCAGTAAGGGAGGGCATATAAAAGATAGATCTATATAGATTTATATAGATCCATATAGATAAAAATATAGATCCTCTGGCCCAACCTTGAGAGCTTTTGATGCTACAATTTGGAATAAGCTGGGAATCTACATTTTTAACCAGCTGTCCCAGAGATTCTGACCAGACCAGGCTTGCTTTGAGAAACATTGGGCTAGAATAGAAATTGCAGGCCAGAGAGGGCTCCAGATAATTAATGGATCAAGCATTTTTACATAGATATGTCCTGAAATGTGACTGTATAACTTTATAATTTTTAAAGAAAGATTTAGAATAATAATTGTGTGAACTAGAAGTATTGGGATTCATGTTAGAAGCAGAGGCTGAATGAATGCTGGATGGATTGGCATTGCATTTAGCACAGGGGTGGGAGGCAGGCGGAGCAAGGATTAGGGCTTGAAGGGCTGCATGCAGGTGACAGCTAGCTGGCTCGTTCACATTTTGGATTTTTCTCTATCATTGCTTCAGTAGTCTACACACTGAGCTCAGTTTCCTCTTTGTTCTACTGCCCTGCCTCTGAAGACATCTTTGGCGAATGTCACTCCCTTGCTGTATTCTGTAGAAGAGGCAGGCACTCAGAATCCAGAGGTACAGAAAGCCATCATTTGAGAGGTGATTCCCCGGAGCAGCGAAGTCTGGAGTCACACTGCTTGGACTTGAATCCCACTTCTACCATCTACCACTTTCATGACCTTTAGCGAGTGACTTAACCTTCCGTATTTCCATTCCTTCCCCTGTACAAAGTGGGTGATAATAAATATACCTCCCTATAATGAAATGGGTTTACTGTGGGGATTAAAATGAGTTAATACATGTACAATGCATACACCAATGCTTGGTCCCTAGTAACTGCTCAATGCATATCTACTATAATTATTATTATTATAGCCCCCAAAATGAGCATGGGGCTGGCCTAGAGAGAGTTTTTGACTGAATTGATTATTATATAGGCCACGAGAAAGCTAGGTTTTCATATTCTCCAAAGTAGCTCTCTTCAGTCTGGCCATCTCATTTGGCAAAGAATGGGACACTAGAAGTGTCATTTCTGGTTTGTATTTCCCAAGTAGCCCATCGGCAAAGCTTTTCAAAATGATGGCACCCCTGCTGACTCTGGGAGATAGGCCTATACCCTGTTTGGACTCTGGGAGATAGGCCTGTACATCATTCGGAGAGGTTAGGCTCTGAGGCCGTTCTCCCTTGGCCCACCAGAATCACTTGGGGGAGATTCATGCAACACAGATGCCAGGGCACAGCCTCTAGCAGTGCTGATTCTGATGCCCCGAATGGAGCCTGAGTTAAGCAGGACCCCTGCTGCATCTCCTACAATGGCAGCCTGACCGCACTTTGATATATGTTACTCTAGAGCACATCTCTATCTTCAGGACATTTGTAGGAAAAAATTTTTTAAAAGGATTTCTGAAACCTCCATTGTCATTTAAACACAGTGGGGTGGGAAGGGACTACTAAGGGGGTAAGGAGGTAGGGAAGGGCTGGCAATTGTCCATACCTCCTTCGTGTGCGCCTATACCCTGAATTATTTCCCCAGCAGCCAAGGGTCCCTGGATCTCCCTTTCCCCTACTCCCATAATACCATGTAATCCAATATTGCTCTCATTGGTCCATAGCTGGTTGTTTAACAACTACCCAAAGGATTCATTCTTGGCCCAGTGCTATCACAGACAACCTCTTGGCATTGGGTCCCTAGAGTTAAGGACCTGAGTTAGCCTTCAACTTCATGGACAGTCAAGCGTTGTTTGAACTGTTTCTTCTTCTTAGTGTCTTTGACCAGCAGCAGATTTAGTGAATATTTGAGACCCTGAATTCCCTGGCTCCTCAATGGACCGCTCTCCCTGGATTCAGTGAGTTCTAACTGGAAGGCATCTCCACCACTCACTAGTTGTGTGACTTTGAGCATGTGACTTAGGCTTTTTAAGCCCGTTTCTTCATCTGTAAAATGGAAATGTCGTAGGTCTTGACTTTCAGAGTTGCTATGAGAATTAAATAAGGAACTATAAAGCTTGTAGCAAGTGGTCTGGCTATAATACATTTCAGCAATTTTATTAATATTTGAAGAGTCATTTGTGTGTTCATAGTTTTAGAATCTTAAATCAGAACATATGGTCCAGTGAAATATATTTTTCTCCTTGATTTGTGAATGTATTTATATGAAAAGTCTTACATACTCTAAAAATAAATTTGACTTAGTTATACTTAACAAATTGCCCTTTGGAAGATAATAGAATTACTTGAAATGAGATTGTTCTGGAAAGTCTAGAAGCTGCGGTCATTGTAGACAAAGGTTAATTATTTATTGAAGAGGTATGGGTAATTGGAAATGAGGATATTTGGGAGCTGGTGTTTTGGTTTTACTGTGCCAATGTCATCTAGTTTCATGGATTTAAATACACTTTCAGTGCTGTTGACACTAAATTCCTAATTCCAGCTCATGCCTGACCCTGAACTCTAGACTTTATATATGGGATTGCCTTCAGGTCCTCAGCTTTCATTGTGTAAAGGGCATCTTAAACTCCATATGCCTAATATTGTATACCTATTTTCCCCTCTCCTCAATCTAAGCCCTTCTTCCTCAGCTTAAGAAATGGCAACTCCATCCTTCCAATTACCCAGCCAAAAACCTTGAGGGGCCATCCTTGACGCCTGTAATTCTCAGGTGCCCCATATCTTATCCATCAGCAACATCTGCTCTTTCTGCCTTCAAAATATATCTCAGATCACATCCTTTCCATACCTTTGCTGACCTCACTTGGGTCCAAGTCACTATTATCTCACACCTGGATTATTTCAACAGCCTCTGAATTGCTTCCACCTGTCCTGGCTTCTCAGCTCCTGTCTCTGCTCACAGATCTCTCAGGTGAGATTATCCCTTACCATAATTTACAAGACCAACAAAGTCAGGCCTTCTGCTGTGACCTCTCTGACCCTATCACTTGCCACTCTTCTCCCTGTTCATTCCTCTCTAGCTATCCTGACCCACTTGACACCCCTTAAATGCACTTACCATGCTCCTGCCTCAGTCTTTACCCTTGCCATCCCATTTTTTTAGAATGCCCTTTTCCCAGATATCCACATGGCTCAAGTCTTCGCTCAGATGTTATGTTCTCAGTAAGGCCTTTTCTGGCAATCCTATCTAAAAGTTCACCCTCTTATTTTATGCTTCATATGCGCCTTTCCTGCCTTTTTTTTTTTTTACTCTTTACTCTTACCTCTATCTGATACGCTATTTAGTTTTCTTATTTATCTTTGTTGTTTATTTCTAATACCAGAACACCAGACGCTCTATAAATGTAGAGCTTTTTGTTCACCGCTTTATCTCAGCACCCAAAACAGTGCCTGGCACTTTGTTGAATGAATGAATAAATTGTTGAATGAATGAATAAATTTCTTGGCACATTGTTGAATGAATGAATGAATGAATGAACACAAAACAAGTGTGTATTTCTATAGTACCTACTATGGTCTAGCACTGTTGGTAGATATGGGGTTTGGTAACACAAAAGTTGTGTATGTGTAGTTCCTGCCTCTGAGGAGCATGGCATCTCGATAGAAACCAGTTGAATGAATTTCTTAAACAATCCTTCTGTACAGTTGAAAGAAGTGAGGAGGAGGAGGAAGGAGAAAAGGATATTTTATTTTATAAAAATCTATGAGATCCCTGAAGATGTTCTTATGAGAGAATGCTATATTATTTCCACATAGCAATTTGCATCAAGCTGAAGAATCTCCGTCAAGTCTGAATTTCCCAAAAGTAGGAATTTTCTACCCTCTGAGTGCCCAGGGCCCATTCCAGGTGCCATGGTGAGGGAAGAAGAAAAAGGCCCACTTGTCCTCCATTTGCAGAGTTTAAATGAAGTTCAAATTCTCATCAGGGCTTTAGATACAAAACCCTTTGTAGTTGGCAGCAACAAGAAACGAAATTTCAAATTCCGGCGCCTGAACTCATAGAGCTATTGAAGCATGTTCAGACAAAGCTTCCAGGGGTTTCACTTAGGCTAAAATAACTCCAGAGCAGGCCTGCAATATTTTACATAAATAAAAGCTACACTTGGCAAAACATTATATTTCTCTCCAAGTTCCTCTGGGTATATATGGGCTTGTTAGTAATTACAATCTATTATAATGCTAATCAGCATGGTTGCACCTGTTTGAGATTTAGTTTTCTGTCAGAAACCATGTGAAGTGGCCAAAAGTCTGTACTGTGCTGGGAGAACCAGGAGGACAGGAACATACAATTCATCGTAACTCACTGACATCTAAACAAAATTGAAACTCCAGAGGAAATATAACTGAAATCTGTAATACTGTGCTGGGGAAGAGGAGGAAAAACAGAAGCCTATCATGAAACCCAGATGCTGAAATGAGGATCTCCTCTCTCCTCATCCCTGACCTCTACCCCACCTTGAAGTCTCAAAGAGGTAGTTTTATGTTAGTGAAAAGTCACCTGTATTTGCCAGCAAGGAGTAGACTCACTGAGCTCCTGACCCCAAGAGATAGATAAGACTAAAAATGTAATCAAGCTTAAGAAGAGTTTTTTAAAATTTGAGATGGAGTCTTGCTCTGTTGCCCAGGCTGGAGTGCAGTGGCATGATATCGGATCACTGCAACCTCTGCCTCCCGGGTTCAAGCGATTCTCCTGTCTCAGCCTCCCAAGTAGCTGGGATTACAAGCATGAGCCACCACACCCGACTAATTTCTGTATTTTTAGTAGAAACAGGGTTTCACCATGTTGGCCAGGGTGGTCTTAAACTCCTGACCTTAAGTGATCCACCCGCCTCAGCCTCCCAAAATTCTGGGATTATATAAGAGAAGTGAGCCACTGCGCCTGGCTTCAAGAAGAGTTTTTTTTGTTTTGTTTTGTTTTTTGTTTTTTGTTTTTTTTTTTTTTTTTAGAAGGAGTCTCGCTCTGTCGCCCAGGCTGGAGTGCAATGGTGCCATCTTTACTCACTGCAAGCTCCGCCTCCCGGGTTCACACCATTCTTCTGCCTCAGCCTCCCGAGTAGCTGGGACTACAGGTGCCCGCCACCACGCCCAGCTAATTTTTTTTTTTTTTTTTGTATTTTTAGTAAGGAAGGGGTTTCACCATGTTAGCCATGATGGTCTCAATCTCCTCACCTCATGATCCACCCGCCTTGGCCTCCCAAAGTGCTGGAATTACAGGCGTGAGCTACTGTCCCCAGCCTAGAAGAGTTTTAAAAAATCATGATGAGTGAATCTAGAACTAATTATTGAGGAGAAAAATAGTCTTTGATTTTGCTTATGTCCTTTTTGAATAGATTTGTTTTTTCAGACTATGGCATCTTTTGTTGCCAGTCTTCTTTCCCCAGGCAGATATAAGCATCTCGTGAACAGGAAGTGTCCCCCTCTACCCCCCTTTAGCTCTCTGGGATCTGTCTTGTAGAAGCTCAAATAGTCAGTATTCTTTAATCAGACTGACTGAGTCTGTGCTCTTAGAAGTTCATCATTTGGTACAGTGCTGAAAAAGAAAGAATTCACAAAAGATTCAAAGCAGTGGACAGAGTAGTATATTCATTCATTGTTCTGGCCGTCCTTTCATTCACTGAGCAAATATTTATTGAATATGCCAGGTGCTATGCCCACTATGTCAAGAACTGGTCGTTGCTCTCAGAGAGCATACACTCTACTAGGAGACACGACATTAATCAAAGAATAACATAAATATATGATCTGTAAAATTACAACCGAGAAGCACAGCTTACTACAATCCTTTCAGAGCCTGGGGAAACCTAGATCTCACTTCTTCAGGACTGGATTGGCTAATTTTTTTTCTCTCTCTATGAAATGTATTGAATAGGGGAGTCAGGTGACTCCTATTAATTTCCCAGCTGTGAAATCAGGAGTTAGGATAGTCTAGATGCTCTGTAAAGGCACCTGTTAACAATGATCCTGACTCAGCTCCTGGACCCTACATTCTGGGCCTTGGCTACGGTTAACCTTCGCACCTGATAATAGTTTGTCTTTATTATTCTCCATGAAGTTTAGCCTTGTCTCCCCTGCAAAAGGGCCAGCTCCTGCTTTTTTTTTTCCCTCTTTGCCTTTCTTCTTTGTTGTGATCGAAATCACAAAGCTATTTTTGATAGCTTGCTTCTTTACCTACCTTTGTTCAAGGCCCACAAAAAATAAATTTAATTCTTAAATGGAGCCCTCTCTCTGTATCATTAAGCCACTCAAAGAGTACTCTGAAAACAAGCAAGCAAGCAAGCAAGCAAGCAAGCAGAATTCCTAGAATGTAAGGTGTATGAACCTATCTCCCTGCCTTCTGCACTGATGATTATCTCAACCAGTTTAGGTAGCTGAGAGAATCATCAATCAGCCATTAAAGATGGAGCATATAATTGACCAGCGTTTGCCAGATTGACTTTCAAGGAGTGGGAGCCTTATTTATTTTCAGGTCTCTGTGATCAAAGAGGTTGGGAAATGTTACAGAGTCAAATGCACATTAGTGTATTAAAGACTCAAGATGGTCTATCGCAAAGCGAGTTGTACACGTCTGTTTAACCAGATATGTCCCCAAAATATTTCATCATAGAATGCTTTTATTTGGGAAACATTAAGAACTCATGTTTTGTGGACATATTTTGAAAAACATTATAATTAGAAAAAAGAAATGGATATTCTCAAGTGGGCCATTCGGAAAATCAAGATTAACACCCTTTTATAAAACAGTGAATTTGAAGAACTGTGGGAATTCAAAGGAGAGGGGAATTAATGTGGGTTCTGCTAGTTGGCAGAGGCTTCTTGGTAATATTTTGAGCCAGGCCTTGAGGAAAATGGGATCTAAATAGACAGGGAAAGGAGCCCCTCTAAACTGGAAGAAGAATATAGAAAATGTTGGACAGCTCACGCCTGTAATCCCAGCACTTTGGGAGGCCGAGGCAGGCGGATCACAAGGTCAAGAGATCGAGACCATCCTGGCTAACACAGTGAAACCCCATCTCTACTAAAAATACAAAAAATTAGCCAGGCGTGGTGGCAGGCACCTGTAGTTCCAGCTACTTGGGAGGCTGAGGCAGGAGAATGGCATGAACCCAGGAGGCGGAAGTTGCAGTGAGCCGATGTTACGCCACTGCGCTCTAGCCTGGGTGACAGAGCGAGACTCCGTCTCAAAAAAAAAAAAGAAAATGTTGGACAGGCAGTTTTTAGCATTTTGTGTTATGAGGGCAGTCAGGAGACCAGTTAAGATTAAAGTAGGAATGCACTCCAGAAAAATTGCCCGATTAAAAAAACAAAAACCAAAACAAACTATCCAAAGAACGGGAACAGTAGCTAGAATGGATGTTCATTCATTAATCTATCCATTCATCTAGCCAACCAGCCATTCAACAAACATATATTGAGTACTTTCTATGTTCTAGGAACTTTGCTTGGAGCAAAGTGTTGAACAAAATCACTAGTGATATATTGAAGTTTTAATTATCCAGGAAATCTATGCTGACAATCTCACATGCTGCATTTCCAATTAATTTTCTTTTGTTTGTTTATTGATAGGTCTGATAGGGATGGAGAATAACTTTGTAGCATCCTTCATGTCATTGGATAGTGGTTTGTCCAAGTTCACAGATCTAAAACTAGTAGAATGGGCTTTGGAGTTAGTCCTCGGTTTGAAATCTAGTTTTATCAGTTTTGGCTGCATATTGGACAAATAATTTAGCCTATATGTACCAGTCTCCTCATCCATAAAATGGGAATAATAGCTACCTTATAGCAAGTTTGCGATCAATGGTTAACTACTTATTATTGGTAATTATCTGTGATTAATGTTTATTATTAGATGCAGGTAAAATTGTGCTTCTGTTTGGGGATTTTATTAGTAATAACCAACTGAAGGGTTGCCAGTAAAACCTTTCCAGTCCTTATGTCCCTCCCTCTTGGAAATGAATGAGCAACAGGAGTTGGGTTTGCTATATTCCAAGTGTACAGAACTACAATTTCACACTTGGTTCTTTTTAAACAGCTCCTAGGGTGGGAGGTGAGGGGAACATGGATTACCTTCCCTTGGACTGGCTTCTGTCTTAGTCACTGGGGACATCTGTCTCATTGCTCCCTTTTGTGTATTTGAAAAGCTGAGACATTGTTGCATTTTGACCTGAACATCCTCTGCATTAGCTTGTGGGCCTAGTGTGGTAACTGAGGCTTAAGGCTTTTTTTCACATCCCATTTTGTGTGGTCCAGGTGTATATCCCATTTCTCTGGGCCAAAGCATCTGACTTCATTTTCCTACCATGTGAGTCTTATATATGCCCAACCTCTAATGCAGTGCACACTGATTGTTCAGTTGTCCTGGGCCAAATTTGGGCAGTGCACAAAGGTGCTGCCTTTAGAGAGCAAAGCTTTGCTTTCCACCACGATGTTGGAATTGCTAAAGAGTAACAAGAGTTGAAGCATAGCCAGCCTTCTGAAAAGATTACTGTACTCTCAGTGAGGAAATATGCATTTACTTGTAATTGTTAAGAGCCTTGATCTTTAAGCTCGGATTTCATTTTACATAATTTACATTTAAGTAACAAAAATATATGTGGCAAGTAGAAGAGGATCACTTCTCAGAAATTGCTTTTTCTTCTTCTTTGCAACCATAGAAATCCTTTTCTTCCTTTAAAACATTCAGAATTCACCCAAGAGCAGGAGGTCTTGTTCTTCTGCTTTGTAGCTTTGTGACTTTGAGAAAATTCACTTAACCTCCTCAAACTTCTGTTTGCTAATTTAAAAAAAGGGTTAATAACAGTCATCTTTTGCAGTTTGTTGAGTTGCTGTGAGGATTAAATAAGATAGATGTAGGTGAAATGTTTGGGCATTTAAGTAAGCATCAACTCTCTGCCCCAGTTGATGAGCAACTGTGAGCTTCTGCAGAGTCACCACGTCTTGAAGTAGAAAAAAAAGTTTCTCTTTGGTACCCATGCTCCTTTGTCTTCTTTGCTTCTTCATGACACCATCCTATTTCTCTTGCAGGTGCACTGAGCCCAGAGTTGCCAGAGGAAATACAGGATGCTCAGTTAAATTTGAATTGCAGGTAAACAATGAATACTTTTTTTTCTATAGATATGTCCTAGGTATTGCATGGGACATTCTTATACTACAAAAGTATTTGTTGTTCATATGCAATTCAAATTTAGCTTGGCCTTCGATTTTTCTTTGCTAAAGCTGGCAACCTAGGCTTCTGCTTCCCACTACCCCAATAATGAAACATGCCCAGGAATGGATCTGCTTGTCCTCTTGTCCCTGTGAGGGCAGAGGAGGGAAACGTAGCCTCTTGTTAAAATAATTCCAGCCTTGGTGTAAGTAGGTAACATATTTTTGATGAGGGACCCCTTTCTAGGGCTTCTAGAGTCATGGAGAAGGCCTCCTACCTTAACGTTTGAAGTTTATTCCCTGCCATTAGCCTGCTACAGGACCGCTTCCTTCTCCTCCCCTGATGGTGAATATCAGGGCTCTGTTCATAGAAGGTGCACAATTCCTGGCCATGACTACCTAGCTGGTTTTAAAAAATATTTCCTTCGTTTTAGAAAAGAATATCCCATTTAAGCTCCAGGTGCCTGAGTACTAATTCATGGAGACAGCTATAGGAGGGGTTTTTATATCTTTATTAGTCTGGTTCCCTGGAATCCAGGGGATTTGTGTATGAGTTGTGTGGGGATCATGGCACTAAATACCCTTCCGGTTGCTCAGAACCCACCATTGTCTCCTGCCAGCCCCAGTTGCCTACATAGTGAAGTCTGCTCATCCCTCCAGACATCCAGGGCCCTGTGTGGTTTGCACCTCCCCGGCTTCCATTTTCTGCCAGGTGGATCTCTTATCCTCTGGGGTAGGAACCTTCTGCTTGAGGGCTTGTTTCTAACTTTCATACCCAAACTCTTTCTATCCCTTCTTTGTGCTCTGCTCTCCCATATCCCCATCCCTGGGATACTCTAACCAGCCATCCAAATCCCCTTCTCTTTGGGCGATCATTCCCAGAATTCTCCAGGCTACAGCTCTTTTGGCTCTTGGAATTGCGGTAACATTTACTGTTTGTGCCCTCCGTTTAAAATTACTGATGCCCAGTGTTGATGCTTTCTCTCTTTTCTTTAGCAGACACAGAAGAGGTCTGTTCCTGAGGGTAAAACTCCTGCCTTTTTGTGCTAATGCTTGGCATATTGCCCCACACATAACAGATGCTTGATTGGTTAAATTTAAAAACAAATTTATTTAAGTGGGGGTCTTCCTCTGTCACCCAGGCTAGAATGCAGTGGTGTGATCATAACTCACTGCAACCTTGAACTCATGGGGTCAAGGGATCCTCTTGCCTCAGCCTCCCAAGTAGCTGGGATTATAGGCACACACTACCATGCCTAGCTAATTTTTAAAAGTTTTTTGTAGAGGCTGGGTACAGTGGCTCATGCCTGTAATCCCAGCACTTTGGGAGGCCGGGGCGGGCGAATCACCTGAGGTCAGGAGTTCGAGACCAGCCTGGCCAACATGGTGAAACCCCATCTCTACTAAAAATACAAAAAGTAGCCGGATGTGGTGGCACACACCTGTAATCCCAGCTACTTGGGAGGCTGAGGCACGAGAATAGCTTGAACCCTGGAGGGGGAGGTTGCGGTGAGCCGAGATCACACCACTGCACTCCAGCCTGGGTAACAGGTTGAGACTCTGTCTCAAAAAAAAATTTTTTTTTATCGAGATGGAGTCTCACTGTGTTCCCCAGGCTGATCTCAAACTCCTGGCATCAAGTGATCCTCTCACTTCGGCCTCCCAAAGTGCTGGGATTATAGGCGTGAGCCACCATGCCCAGCCTGGTTAAGTAAAATTTTAACATGAATTTATAATATTGATCTAAATAATAGACTTCCTTTGGGTATTTGCACTAGGGTATTCTCCTTTCTTCCATAACTGAAGAGAGTGTAGTATTGTAAAAAAAATTGCATGCACGCACACACCTGTATGAACTTTAAAAAAGGAAAAGGCCAACACATGAGGAGGATTTTTATCTTTTACTTCAGCATTATTGTTAAAAATTAGTTATGTTTATTTTTTAGAGCAGTTTTAGGTTTATAAAAAAATAGGGCAGAAAGTACTGAGTTCCCATATACCCCCTCACCTCCACACCTAGTTTTCCTTGTTATTATATATGTTTTAACTTCAAAAAAAAAAAAGTGAAAAAGGATGCAGCACAACCACCAGATATGGAACCAAGTGGCACTGTGGTTAAGTGGAAGGGCTTTATATGACAGGGAGATGGATTCTAATCCTGGTCCCACCACTGAACCAGTCGTGTGACCTTTTGACAAGTTGTGTAACCTCTCTGAGGTTTCTTCATCTGTAAAACTAAGTCAGTACTATCTATCTAATTGTGTTTGAAATAAATAATATAATGCATAGAAAGTGCATAGAAAAGTTCTTGTCACGGCTGGGCACGGTGGCTTATGTCTGGAATCCCAGCACTTTGAGAGGCCGAGGCGGTTGTATCACTTGAGGTCAGGAGTTCGAGACCAGCCTGGCCAACATGGAGAAACCCCGTCTGTACTAAAAATACAAAAATTAGCCGGGGATGGTGGTGAGCGCCTGTACTCTCAGCTACTCAGGAGGCTGAGGCAGGAGAATCGCTTGAACCTGGGAGGTGGAAGCTGCAGTGACTGAGATGGCGCCAATGCACTCCAGCCTGGGTGAGAAAAGTGCTTGTCATGTGATAGAACACACAAAAATGTTTGCTATTGCTATTATAATACTATTGTAAAATATAAATTGTGGATGATGTGGTTTGGGACTGAAGATATTGTCGAAGAATCCATTTGGTTTATAATTCTTTATGTCCGACAGTTACTTGGGGCTAGGGGTTGCTTGTCATCTCAGTGGTGTGTCCTAGACGGATGGTCTTTCTCCTTATAATGAGTTACATAGGAAATGGCTGTGGTTTGCCAAATGTCTATTTGCTGCCCACTGTCAAGCATTTATAGGCTAGCATATATTCATAAAGTACTACATTCACAGTTTGCTAGTTCACTTTTCACCCTCTCGGTGCTAATGAGCTGTGTGACCTTGATGAAGCTGAAACCTCTCTGAGCTCCAGCTTCCTCAGCTGTAAAATGGGAATAGTCACATTGGCCCTGCTTATCTCACGGAGTTGTGAGACTCATTTAATATGCATCCGAAAAGAAAAACATGTCACACACATGTAAGTAATAGTGATGAACCACTTTGGGATTCAGGGAGGGGGACGGCCCTTTCGTATACAGTTTACAAATGGAGAAACCGAGGATAAAGGGTGCCTCTTGGTAGGGACTAGAATGGGACTCAGACCTTATTTCCCCAAGTCCCTGATCACACTAAGCAACATTTGGGTTTCTTAGCCAAATAGTCTGCCTCATTCTTTCACATTGTTGGGACTGAAGATTTAAAATTAATCTGTGGGTTTTGTTTCTAGGAAACTTGTGTCTTAGAAGCCCACCCCCTCACACAAGAGAACGTGTCTCTTTCTCATTGCTTCCTTATCCCTACTTGGCTCTTTAAAAATTTTTCTTTATCACTGCTTATCATATGACTGTGCACAGACAACCGTAAAGCCAACTATTTTAAGGGGAAAAGGGGAGGAAGACAGATAAGACAGTGATTCAGAAACAAGCAGGAAAATGGAGTCATGTGGCTGTCCCCTTGTGGGTGGGATTTACAGCAGTGTTTTAGACTAAGAAAGCCTCCTTTTCGCCTGGAGAATGAATTAGGCCCATCAGGAATGTGTTTTAGAACCCGGAGGGAGCACTCCTTCACAAGTCTCTCATGTGGCCAGCCTCAGTGCTGGGCTGTGTTCTCTTACCGCGCAGCGTGGCTGAAGCCTCTGCTCTGTGCCTGGGACTGGACTGAGCTTGATACAGTGGGGGCTCCAATAGAGAGGTCCTGGTGCTTGTCCCCAAGGTATAAAAAAGGGAGAAATGGCTACTTGAAAAGACTGATCTGATCACATCAGTTTCAGGGAGGGCAGGAAGAAACTAGGCCTTGTCCTACTCTGTTCGTAGAAATATAAATTAGCGGCACCTTTTTGGAAAGCAAAAAGGTAGTATCTGTGAAAATTAAAATGTATATCGGCCGGGCATGGTGGCTCATGCCTGTAATTCCAGAACTTGGGGAGGCCAAGGTGGGCGTATCACTTGATGTCAGGAGTTCAAGACCAGCCTGGCCAACATGGCGAAACCCCGTCTCTACTAAAAATACAAAAATTAGCCAGGCATGGAGGCAGGTGCCAGTAATCCCAGCTATTTTGGGGGCTGAGGCACGAGAATCACTTGAACCCAGGAGGCAGAGGTTGCAGTGAGCTGAGATTGCACCACTGCACTCCAGCCTGGGCAACAGAGTGAGACTCAGTCTCAAAATAAAATAAAATAAAATTTATATAATCAAGACGATCAAGTCTGTTATTAGTTATCAGTCATACATAGATGTGTGACGCACTAATATTATTTAAGTAATTTGCCTCTGCTAGCTGAAGAGGTGGCTCTATGGACACCCCCACCCAGTAAGTCGGCCGCGTGCCTTCTCTAATGGGATTTGAATTTTAGGAAAGTGAGGCATCATCTGACTCTTTCCAAATTTAAATCTGTTAAGAACCTTTAGGGTTTAATATGCTTTTTGTATAGGCTCCATTTTTCTTTCTGAAGGAGAAAGACGTGAGAAAAAGAGAATAAAGGCATATCCTGTCTAGGCTATTGGTTTTCAAACTCTGGGTCAGGACCCTCAATGAAGTTGATGAAATCAATTGCGTGGATCTCTACAACAATTTTAAATATGAAAATTGAACAATATACACATTATCAGAATGCTTTGTATGCAATATGAATAAATATTGCCTTATAAAACTCCTATTTCAGTTTTATTTATGTGAGTACGTATGATCTTAATTCTTACTGTGAGTCCCAGTTTAAAAAAACATTGAGAAATATTGCCCCAGAACACAGTTTCTCATTCAATCTAATTTTAATGAGTACCAGTAACATGGAGAAAAGAAAGTAAAGAGGATAGGGTTCCCTGCACTCAATAAACTTACATTTTACTAACCCAAACAATTCCATAAAAGCAAATATGTTATCATTCCCCAGGGAAAGACTGACGAAGGATTTGTAGAGGAGGTGGCTTTTGACCTAGGCCTTGAAGGATGGATCGGATAGACTGGTTCTGAGAAACCTGCCTGACTACTCCTTAGTAAACAAGTCTCTGACGACAAATAATGCTGCAGTGCCCTGATGAACAGAAATACCTTCTGTGGCCTGAAAGCCCCCATCTCTTGAAACCCCTGCAAGTGGCATTCAACATCAGATAGTGGTGCTTCAGGGTTCCTGGGTTGAATTGTTGGAAATTCAAGGTCAGAGAGCTTAGTTCATGCCCTGTAATACAAGGCGGGTTTCCTCAGCTCTAGCCATACTTCAACTGGCACTGGAGAGTTTTGTACCTTCTGATCAGGAATGCAGCATCTTTGGAAGATAAGGTGTTTGCGGCCTTACCCCTCAGGAGACTGCACAATGGGGATACATTTATTCAACAATTTGTACTGTTTTCTTTTGATTCTCCCATCAAACTTGTATGGTAGTGAATATATTCAAAGCGGGAATTAAGATATTCCTCTTAATTTGACATTTCAGGACAAGACCCAGGGAAGTTAAATGATGAATTGGGGGCCAAGGCAGATGAATGAGCACCTGGATGTCTTGCTTTTTAGGACAAAGGTTTTTTACTGCACATGCACGGGTATATAGTCTCCCAAACACACTAGGTACAGGAGGCCTAGGGCCTGGCCTAGAAGGTATTGATATCAGTACCATTACACATTTAATACCATTATCCATTTATGCATTTAAGCTCTATTTAAAAAGGCAATCAAATGAATCAAAATTTCTTCTTTTGTTCTTTCCTTCCTACCTTATTCTTTGCCTTCCATTCCCCTCTGCCTCCCCCCACCAGCCTTCTCTCACTTTCTTTCTCTTAGAGAAGATTAGGTAGGGGAAAGGTTCGTAGACCATTTTACCTCCAATTGAAAAAATGTAAATCTGCTATATAATAAGAGATATTCATTAAATCTTCATTTCTACATAAAAATATAAGAGTTCAGAAGTTTAGTGACTTGATCAAAGTAAAAAAAAAATCCAGTAGAGGACAGGTATGGTGGTTCACACCTGTAATCCAAGCACTTTGCGAGGCCGAGGCAGGGGGATTGCTTGAGGTCAAGACCAGCCTGGCCAACATGGCAAGACACTGTCTCTACAAAAACATTTTACAAATTATCTAGGCATGACGGCATGCACCTGTGGCCCCGGCTACTTGGGAGGCTGAGGCAGGAGGATCACTTGAGCCTAAAAGGTCAAAGGTACAATGAGCCATGATTATGCCACTGTACTCTAGCTTGGGTGGCAGAGTGAGACCCCCTGTCTCAAAAAAAAAAAAAAAAAAAAGAGGAAAGGAAAAAATCCAGTAGAGACAGAAAAAGTATGAGTAAACAGGTTTCCTGATTCCTAGTAAGGTACTTACATTGCTATATCATGCTGCATCCAGTCACCATTCATCCATCATGCTTCCATCATTCATCCATCTCTACATCCATCCATCTGTCTATGCATCCATCCATCCATCCATCCATCCATCCATCCACCCACCCATCCATTCATCCATCTCTATATCCATCCATCCATCCACCCATCAATTCGTCCATCCATCTCTTCATTCATCCATTCATTCATCCATCTCTACATCCATCCATCCATCCATCTATGTATCCATCCATCCATCTATTCATCTATCTCTCCATCCATCCATCCAGCCAGCCAGCCAGCCAGCTGGACAGCCAGGCAGCCAGACAGCCTGTCAGTTTATTGGTCATATAGTTGATGCTAATGCCATGTGTCTAAAATTTTTAGTAAGGGAGTCTGATTTATTATTATCATTATTATTTTCAATTTGCTTTTCAGCTATTGACTGAGGTTGCGGCAATTGACCAGACTACCCTGTGGGCTGATAAAACCTGAAACTTGTCTATTTGGTTGAGATTACCATTTGTCTGTCCCTCAGTGGCTGGTCTTTACATGTCAAGAGGATGGTAAAAACTGCCATAAGGGACTGAACACAGTGCCTCACGCCTGTAATCCCAGCACTGTGAGAGGCTGAGGTGGGAGGATAGCTTGAGCCAGGAGTTTGAGACCAGCCTGGGCAACGTAGTAAGAGCCAGTCTCTAAAAAAATTTTTAAAAATTAGCTGGGTGTGGTGGCATGCATTTGTAGTCTCAGCTGCTCCAGGAGGCTGAGGCAGGAAGACTGCATGAGCCCAGGAGTTTGAGGCTGTGGTGAGCTATGATGGCACCACTCTACTCCAGCCTGGGCAGCAGAGCAACAGAGCAAGTCCCTGTCTCTAATAAAAACAAACAAACAAACCAAAAACCACAGTGAGAGATTTTTTTTTAAAGACTCCTCCACTCCTTTTTTTGGGTTACATTGTTTTTGTTCCCCCTACTTTCTGAACTCTCTGGAGTGTCAGGATACTTTGACTTTTGTGATTCAATCAGCCTACTGCAATGGTAGATTCTTCCTTTCAAGTTGTAACTCTTCCCTTGGAGCAGGGTTTCCCAAAATGTGTTCCAAACAATATAAGAAGTGAATAGGTCATTCACACTCAAAAACGAATGCCATAATCAAGTGAATTTGGAAAACCATAGAGTAAATGAAGCTAAACATTTATTGCAGGACTTTTTTTTACAGCCTTCGATAGGCTATTTTCCATCAGTTTTCTGGATGGCAATTGAGCGAGCAGTGTTTCCAACTGTATTTGATTGTTCAACACACATTTAGGGACAGTACTTACATCTCTTGATGTCATTTGGGAAACACTGTCTTAGAATCTGGACCCTACTATTTAAAGTTAATACGACATATTTAGGGCTGCTGGCCAAGAGAAACTAACATGGTGAGGAGGAAATAATCATTATCCATTTATGTTAATATTTTTATCATAAAGACTAAAACTTTGTTTTTTAAACTAGGATCCCAAGTGTTGTTTATAGACACTTGACTACAGAAGAGAGAAAAGCTTAGGTTGAACAAGTGTTTGTAGAGTATATGAAAATAGAAGTGCAAACAAGGCCCCTATTAGCCAGATTTTCTGAATAATATTCTAGGAGTTCATCCTTGTTCTGTCTTTAGTGAGTGACATTTATAAAGCAGTAGCAAAGCCAATATCATGGTTCCAGGGATCGTTCCTATGGAATTACATTGGCTGAGGACAGAGACCCACTCTTCCTCCTCTTTCCTGAATCAGGTCAGGGTGAATATTATCCAAGTGCAATTGAACTCTTGCTCCTTCTGTTCACAAATCAATTGTTGCTTGATTGGACCCAGAATGTTTGCTGCTCATCAACTCTCTTTTGAAGGTGTATCTCAATATTTCATTTCCTTGTGTTTATTGGAAAATATTTTTTAAAAGCTACTTGCAAAGATGTAAGCGTGATCATTGGGGTTGACTTGCGGCGAAAATGTGAAGGAGTCAAAGACTGATTTCAGGTTTTGTGCACGCTCCTTCCACTTCTGAGCCCCTCCAAGCCTGGGGCCCAGCCAGGATTCCTCACTTCCTCTTGGCTGAGTATAAACTCATTTACACTGAGGTAGATGGCCGTAATGAGATATATAAGACTGGTGCTTTAGAAGAGTGCTGTGGAGGAGGCCTTCCTTTATCTGGAGGGTGACATGGCAATGTCTGGAATTTTCAGATATCAGTGACAGGAAAAGATGGACTTTTGGGTCAAGAGGACTCTGTCAAACCAGGTACTAACTGGAGACCAGGCTATTTCTGAGATCATACTCTGTGTCAAGGGCTAGGGATCTTTACATGAGCCTTCAATTGTAAGTCAGGGCCCAACTCACTGTGGTCAGTGCATATATTTCTAGATTACCTCACTTTGGAAATGCTTGTCTCCCCACTCTGTGAGGGATTAGTGCTTCTCCACTTTAAAGGAAAAACAGGTCATAAATTACTGAGGAATTTTATGGCACAGCCCAAAGCACAGATTGGAGGCCAAGGAAAAATAAAACTCCAGCTTCTTTATGAAAGTCAAATGGAAAAGAGAAGATGCTTCCTGAAAAGAGGTGGGCACTGCTTGAGGGAGAGGAGGGAAAGGACTCTGAGTGAGTCTACAGGAACTCCTTTTGGTGTCCTTGAGGAGTTTATGAGAATTCTCGGCCTCATCTTGATAAACTTGAAGGCAAAGTGAAGCAGGCAGTTGAACTGTTTGTCTGGGAAATGGATGAGAGACATGATTATTTTTGGTAGCAAGATTTTCTGTGTTTGGATTATGCATGTTATAAATCCAGTATCTTAATTTCCATTTGCCTTGGGTGATCCATATGCCTAATTTTAATTCAATGCTGATTAAATGTCAGAGAAGGAAAGGAAGGGATGAGGTGAGAGTTTCCAAGCCTGGCTGACCAGGAAGACAGCAGGCAGATCTTGGAGACTGGACCTCATCAATTATAAAGAGAAAAATCCCCTGTAAGTTACAAAACAAAATAGCACAAGAAAACACTCTGTAGATGTACATTAAGCCGTCTCCTTTCCAGAAAACGTTTCCCCAGACCAGGAAGACCCAGCGTGCCCCTTAGCACCTTAGCCCAGGCCTTCAGCTCTTCTCAGCTCACCTTTTTCTCCAGTGAATAAACATGATGCTGTTTTTAAGTCTTTGCTTCCTTGTTTCTAGCCCATGTTTTACTCCAGAGCAGTGAGGGCACTTGTGACCAGCTTTGGGGAGATGAATACACTGTCATTTATACATAAATGCACTGTCATTTATCATTTCAGAATTGGAGTGAATTCTAAATGAATCATAACAGTTGCATTTAATGAATTATTCTCCTGGGTATTGGCTAATTTTAAACCGGTCTGACGAGTTTTAAGGTCCATGTGGTTTGAGGAAATTCAGTGGTGCATTTCCCGGTTTGGTCCTCCTCATTTCCCTCCAGCCCTGCTCCTTTTCAACATGCCAGGCTGCTTGGCTGGGTTATCTTTAATCACTGTAGGTGGGAGGAGGGGAGGCGGGGAGGTACTGGGCCCAAGGTCATGCCAGAAGAGTTCAGGCCTCTGCTTGTCATCTGGCACTGCTCAGAATTCCCAGGGGTCTCCGGGGAGCTGGCCCTCAGCTCACAGATGGGCCTGACTTTGGTGAGAGGTGGCCTTCCACCAGGAAGCCTCCAGCTGGCAGGATAGGTGGGTGGGGAGGGGTGAACTTTGGCTGTGGAAGCGTCTCAGCATTTTACTCCCCTTTTTCAATAGTTGCTGCCTCCACTCCACGCTTTTATTCAAGCAGCACCGGTACCTGGCAGTAGCTCCTACAATGTTTTCTACATTGGCTCTAAAATCATGGCCTAGTAGACACCAATGCTTGACTTGTTTTTTTGTTTGTTTGTTTTGAGAAGTTGTTTACCATTGGCGTGACGGGATTTTCTTGGCCTTGTGAAGTACAGGGAGCCTCAGGATAGCTTCACTGGGGGTGTCATTACATGGTCATTATCAGTGGTAAGTTTCCCAGTCTCAAGATGGAACCCTCTGTTGCTTCTCTGCCGCGTGTTTGGCTCTGTTGACCTTCCATTGCTCACCTGTGCTTGTTCCCCCAGCAGCCTGTTTCTTGTAACTATTTGCCTCATAATGCAAGTATTCTAGTGATTGAAGTGTTGCTGTGCAAAAGAGATCTTTTAAACTGAAACCAGTGCAACAAAACAATTTAAAACATTTTAATAATTTCTTAAAGGATACAGAGCCTTTTCCTCTCTTAATACATGCAGGTCAGAATGACGTCAATAAGGATTATATTTTTGCATTAACAGGAAAACTAAGTTTATAAGACTAGAGTATGGATAGAGAGGAAGATGGTTCTATTGGGATATAAACTCTGATCCATACATGGAAGTAGCCCAGTCCGTACAAACACCATTGCCTGTTTCATTCTTGACTGGACATACATATTGCCCCATTGTGATGAAAGGTTGTGATAATGAAGAGAGTAATAGAAGGCTCAGCTCAGGTTCTAAGGAGGGAGCGAGTAAAGGCCATGCAGGCCCATCCTTCTGTGGTCAGTCACTGCTGGTTGGGGAAGGAAGGAGGTATCAAGTGTCTCCATTCTTTCCTCTTTTCTTCATAGTTTCTAGATCATTCATTTAATAAATCATTAGGGAGCCCCTGCCATCAAGCTAGGTCTTGGGATATAACCAGGAACATGCCTAGATAGGTACCCTAATCTCAGAGGGCTCATGCTCCAATTGGGGGACAGATACTCAAACAGGCAATTATGACATAGTTCATAAAGCCCTGTGATGTATGCCACCAGAGTACCCAAAAGGGCCCCAAACTAGACATGGGGAGTTGGGGAAGGCTTTTGGGAGAAGGCGACATTTCAGCAGAGACCTGAAAGGAGAAACTGGAGACAGTTTAATGTGACTACTGCGAAGTACTGTGGGGGGTGGGAGTAGGTTGGGGGCATGGGGACAAGTAAGCTGTTTTTTGTCAGCTGCCATTGATCTTCCTCCCTCTCCTCCTCCCTCCCTGCTTCCTTCCTTCTTTCCGATTTAACCCTGGAATCACGAGAGGCCACTTTAGGTGGATAGCAACTCTTGAATTTGGGCTTTATTCTGAGGGTTATGGAGGAGCCAGTGAAGGTTTTTTTTTTGTTTTTTTTTTTGTTGTTGTTGTTTTTTTTTTTTTTTGAGACGGAGTCTCGCTCTGTCGCCCAGGCCGGACTGCGGACTGCAGTGGCGCAATCTCAGCTCACTGCAAGCTCCGCTTCCCGGGTTCCCGCCATTCTCCTGCCTCAGCCTCCCGAGTAGCTGGGACTACAGGCGCCCGCCACCGCGCCCGGCTAATTTTTTGTATTTTTAGTAGAGACGGGGTTTCACCTTGTTAGCCAGGATGGTCTCGATCTCCTGACCTCATGATCCACCCGCCTCGGCCTCCCAAAGCAGTGAAGGTTTTTTAAGCAGAGAAATAACCTGATCAGATTCAAATTGTATCACCCTGTGGGATGGACTAGACATGGATTAGAACATTAGGAAACTGCTTTAGGTATTTAGCCTGGTAAAGATACTCTGGCTTGTGGTCGGGTGTTATTTGCTGGGTGGGCTCTGGCTTAAAAGGCAATTGCTTTAGATCGTTGTGGAAAATTCTGTTTCAGAGACACAACCGCTTCAGATGGGCAGTGAAAAAGACGATGGAAAGGCCAGGACACCACGGAAGTTCTGAAGGGGTAGTGGGAACCGGTAGGAGCATATCAGTAGCTTTCCCTGCCCTTTTGTCTGCCACTGTGATGTAAATATCAACTTGATTTTACATGGAGCTGAGGAACCTTTTAGAACCCAATCGAAGAAGTTGGTGGTTCTACACCGAGCCAGGGGGAAAACTTTGTGGTCACATGGGAATTTATACTTACTTGGTTTCTCTGCCTTTCTCACCAATTTCTTTTTGGTTTCTTGAGAGCTGGTTGTGTGCATATGTGAATACATATTGCATGTTGAAATTTTGGGTTTTCTTTTTTAAACCTTTAATGTTCTACCCATTTCAAATGCATTCAGGATGTATGATGCTGTTTTTATATAATGTAAACTATTCTTACAATGTCTTTTATTTAATTAAAAGAATCAAAGAAACCAAAGTTAAGAATTTAAATTTTATTTTGGCATTTGTTACTGGTTGTGATATATAATTTTGGTAACATTAGTGAGGGATCAGGTTTAAAAAATTTCTCCAATGTTGTCTTCTGCAGATTGCAATTGTCTTGCAACTGCTGTTGGCAAACTAAAAATGCTTTTGCTGGTTAAGGTAACCAGTCATTTCCGAACTTTTTTTCAGTTGTAAGGGCATAGAATGAACGTGCACGCCTGATTTAGTGTATTAAAACTAATATCATGTGAGGACATTTTATAGATAAGAGGTTAGAAGGCAAACGACTCTATTTTGAGAAAAATTTGGAGGGAACCTTTCTTTCAAGATAAATAAATTATTTACTGTCCAGAAGTTTATCATGTAATTATCTGGATTTTTTTTTTTCATTTCTCTGAGCTTTAGCTCAGCCTCGATGGACTCTGATTTCATAAATACATTACATTTTTCAATTTTAGAAGTCATGGGAAGAGGCACACAACTTTGGGAATTTGTGAAACTTAAAGCAAGTATAATGAAGAGATACATACTCATTTTGTTTGTGTTCTGTTTCCATTCCATTAACTTCTACTATCACTCAGGTTCATCCTTGTTGAGGCCTAGACGAGTGGAAGGTTTCTCATTTTGAAGTTAGTTGTTTTTTAATTGGTCACGCAAAAGAAAGGCTTACATTGATTTTGAAAGACAAAACATGTCATTGTTTTTTTCACTAATGCCCAACTTCTACATGGCTGACTGGATATTGTTCAAATTTTCCAAAAGAATAGAAAAGAGAGAGAAACACCCTTCTTTTGGATCCGAAGCCAGTCATGGAAAATTTCATCCTGAAAGGATAATTTTTCATAAATATGCAAGCAGCAGAATGGCAGTGTGGCTGCAATAGAATCTGCCCCAGGACTTCCATGCATAGTACTTTGCTGTAAACACGAAACTACAGGCACACATATACTCAAAAGAATACACAGTATTGGAAGCCTAATTATTTCCACTAAGATTGAGATTATTCCCTCTAAGAGCTATACTGGAGAAAGCAATGTGTCTTACTTCACTTTATTCCACATCAATTCACAAATTTTTATAGCATATATACTCTGTGAAAGGTGATACTGGGCTAAAGAAAATAATTCTGCCCTCAGTTTGCAATCTAACAGGGAAAATAAAGTCCATATATATTAAAATCTAAGTCTGTTTATAATAAGTGCCAAGTAGACAATATGGACAGGAAGTACTGTGGATCTAAGGAGGTCAAGCTCATGGGTGTACAGGTTGTAATAGTTATGAAGCCTTTTCAGTAGCAGTAGAACTTGAATGATGGGGTGGATCGGGATAATGCACAGAGTGGGTGCATGTGGAACACTTACAAGAAGAGGGGATATGGGGAGCTGATGTCCACCAAGAACAGGGAGCCTGTAGTCTGCGGGTGTATGTGGGGCCCTGCTGTAGTGGTGTTGATTGACCTCTGTAGGCACTTTGCCTTCCTTCTTCTGTGTTCCCTCCAGCTAGGGTAGAGAGGACTGGTTCAGCTTGGCTCTTCCGGGCCTGCCCAAAGGACCATGCAACATGAAGGTGAAGTCCTTGTAGAGCAAAGGGCATGAGAAGTCTCTCTTCTAAACCTAGGCTCTGCCCTGTCTCCATAATTTTATTTCATGATGTTAGATCTGGGAAGAGATTTAGCACATTTCTGTATTAGTAGAGCATTTGAGGGAGATGATAACTATTAAACAAGAGAGGTAAAGAGAAACATTCAGAGATGAACAGGTTTATTGGGATAAAGAGTGAGGGTACAGATTTGAGGCTACCATTCACAGACCAGGGCTAGCTATTCTAGAAACAATAGATGTCATTAGACAAATAATGACATGATGGTTTGATATTGGTGTTCTAAACCTCCAGAGGTTAATAACTTTGTTGGATTTCAGTGGTGGACACCAGCAATCTTAGGAGGTCTAGCAGCAAGACTGGTTCTTGCCAAGTTAGGAGATGTTAGTTTGTTAGTGCTGATTGGATGGAATAAGCATACAACCGCTCTGTGTGCCCCCTTCTTTCCCCTCTGCAGGGTGTGAGAATGGAAAAAGAGAATTACACTTCTGATAACCTAAATATTCGCTAACCTGTGGTGGGGATGCTTATTTTGGCCTTTTAGGCGCAAACTTGTTTCTTTAACTGTTAGTTTTATGGTGCCCAGGGTTAAACTTTAAAGTTGGACTGTTTACATGCTTGCGACATGGTGAACCAAACGGGGAAAGTAAGATAAAAACAGGCTTGATAAAGGCCAGCCGACTTCTGCCAGTAGGCTAAAACTCACAGACTCTCAGATATATACATACATATATGGCCAAGATGTCTTGCTGTTAAATGGTCTTTAAGAGAGCAGAAAAGCCTTTTTAACAAATGCACCTATTGTAGAGTCTTTCCAATAGCCTATACCTTTCAACTTGTGAAGATAAATAAGAACATATGGTTTGTCTCAACATGCTTTTAACAAAAACCAGATGAACACATGTAAAACAATTAGAGAGTTGTCTTAGGTACCCTGAAGTTCTTATACAGGATATTTGCTCTTCATTCAACGTTTATTGACTACCTACTGTGTTCCAGGCCACCAGACCCTGTGTTAGAGGTTAGAGATTTAAAACTCTAGTAACTTATGTATTATAATCTATACATGTCATTTAAAGACATAGCATTTTTGGGCTGAGTGCGGTGGCGCACGCCTGTAATCCCAGCACTTTGGGAGGCCGAGGTGGGTGGATCATGAGATAAGGAGTTCAAGACCAGCCTGGCCAAGATGCTAAAACCCCGTCTCTACTAAAAATACAAAAATTAGCTGGGTGTGGTAGCATGCACCTGTAATCCCAGTCACTCGGGAGGCTGAGGCAGGAGAAGCGCTTGAACCCAGGAGGCAGAGGTTGCAGTGAGCCGAGATCACCCCACTGCACTCCAGCCTGGGAGACAGAGCAAGACTCTGTCTCAAAAAAAAAAAAAAAAAAAAAAAAAAAAAAGGCATAGCATTTTCTTAATATAATAAGCCTCCTGGTGGGAAGTAATTGTGATTGAGTGTCTAGGGCAATGTAGTTATCCTAAATTTTAACCAGGTGATTTTAAAATCACCATTTGGAAAATGGTCCCATTATATCTATTTGTAAACTGAGTCATGAAAAAGTTGTCAGAGTACCCAGGTAGGCGTTTATGATGCACCTAAGTACAGGCCAGCCAAAATTGTTTTGGTTTTGGTGCTTCCACCTGTGATTAATGTCCCACTTGACTCCTTGAGCTGTTTCATCTGAAATTATATTCCTGAAATTCATCTGGCTCTGCTGATTATCTCTACCTGGGCCTGTGGATGAGATCAGAGAGACCAGAGCTGGGGCTATTTCTTGGTAATGCAACTGCCATTCCCCATGCGTGGACACAAATAGACAATGCCTGTGGGAATCCAAACCCCAAGGACTGTGAGAGGCATGCATGCCCTGTATTAAAGCAGCAGCCTGGCTTGGTGCTCACTAAGTGCATGGTCAGCAGTCACTACTCCTGTGACATGTATTGTCTGAGTCACTCATTTGGCACTTATTACATCCTGTCTTGGGTTATTAGTAACCTTTGCATGCATTTGTTTCTCCTCCCCAGCCACACCGCCCCAGTGGTGCAGACTCAGGGTTCTCCTCGCCATTCAAATTCTTCACCAGTGCTCTTTATGGGCAGTAAACTTGGTTTTTATTTTAATTATGAAATGGTAGTGTTTAAGCTTATTAAAATATAAGTGTTGTTTATCCAAACAATCATAAATGAACTTATTAAATTTTTTACAAACAGCTTTACTGAGACATCTCTGACATACAAACTGCCCATATTTAAAGTGTAGAATTTGATAAGTTTGAACTTCATAATATGATTTCTTATTCTTTTTTTCAGATAACATGATTTCTAACTCATTTTTTACAGATAACATGATTTCTTACTCATTTTCTTTTTCAAAATGATGTTTGATGAGCACCGATTTTACAGAGGGTGCCTGTCTGAGAGTACGAGGTAGGAACTTTTGAAATAACACACTGGTGGTAAGGGGGTAGTTTGGTTCCCAGATAACTTTGAGATTCTAGTTTTATTTTTTATTTATTTATTTTTTTTGAGACAGAATCTTGCTCTGTTGACCAGGCTGGAGTGCAGTGGCACGATCTTGGCTGACTCCAACCTCTGCCTCCTGGGTTCAAGTGACTCTTGGGCCTCAGCCTCCCAAGTAACTGGGATTACAGGCACACATCACCTTGCCTGGCTAATTTTCTTTTTGAGATGGAGTTTCACTCTTGTTGCCCAGGCTGGAGTGCAATGGCGCGATCTCCACTCACTGTAACCTCCACCTCCTGGATTCAAGCAATTCTCCTGCCTCAGCCTCACAAGTAGCTGGGATTACAGGCATGTGCCACCATGCCTGGCTATTTTTGGTATTTTTAGTAGAAACGGGGTTTCATCATGTTTCAACTCCTGACCTCAGGTGATTCACCCACCTCAGCCTCCCAAGGTGTTGAGATTATAGGTGTGAGCCGCCACGCCCAGCCAAGATTCTAGTTTTCTGCCACGGTAAATTGAGGTGTTCCTGGCATATAGTAGGCAAGAAATAAAGCCTGTTTATTGAAGGCTATGTGTATGTAGTTGTAAAGTCACCTCAGTTCTCTTTACGAAAAAAGAATATTGTACGTCTTTTATTTATTTTTAATGGGGGAATAGTTTGTAATGGCCTTAGTAACTTTGAGCATTTTATCCTCTTGACAAATCCAGCAGAGATTTTACTTCCTGAATGAAAGGATACTGGCTAGCCAAGCGTTGGTTGAAATGTTCAGTGGGGAAAGTAAGTTGATATTCCTATCACCGCAGAATCTCTTTGTCTCTGGATTTCCCTTTGATTTTCACAAGGACTGAGCAAGTCCTGCAGGTAATTCAGTGCCAGGGCAGGCTAGCTGAGTTTTAATTGATGCTAATTAGCACCCCCATAGACTGTGACAATTTTTTCCCCTCAAGCAGTCAGCCAAGTGGCATTAGGAAATGTGAGACATCTTTCTTTGGAATCGTCATAGGAGCAGAACTATTTTCAGGCCCAGTCTCCTTGGCAGGTCTTGCCCTTCTCAGAAATAGTGAGGAAATGAGATAAGAAAAGTAATACCCCGAGGAGTAAGGTGCCAAGTAGTTCTAGACCCAACTGTGGGCTTAGGACAGCAGGGAGAGGATGCTGAAGGATTTTGCTCTCAAGTACCTTTGCTTCTAGTTGGAAAGAATGAGAGATAGGATGGAATGAAGTCTGACTGCTGCATGGGAGCTGGGGGGAAATGCTTTGCGGGAGCAGTATTTATGGCAAGTTCAGAAGACATCTTCTTACCTTGAACAAGTCATTAGAGCTGGAACTGTATACTGATGACAAAAGATAAAATATAACAAGATAAACGGTCCCAGGCAGTCTTGTGTGCTCCGTCCTCCCAGCTATACTCCACTGGAATCCAGTGTCTGCCTTTGGTGGTAGATGTTCCTGTTTCTCCATCCCTTGGCTAGATATATATTATCCATTGATAGGCAGCTAAGTTTGCAGCCAATTCTCAATCATTTCTTGTGGTGGGGGACAGAAATAATGTGGGAAGCTAAGTTCACCATCAACCCAGGGACTTATTAGCTGGAAGTTTCAAACTGCCTTGCCACTGAACACCATAAACAACTTCAGACCACAGCTGACTTGGTGTTTGCTGGTAGGAGGGAGTGAGAAATTATGCCAGAGGTGGGAAAACTTGTCAAGTCAAGGGGGAGGTCTCTTTATTCTTCCCCTGTGCATTCAGAGAGGTGATGGTGTCTCTCTACCTCATTGAAACCTGCTCCCAGGAGCTTCTGAAGTTGGCCATTTAGAACCCAGTGTGAATATAAGGCAGTGGATTCCCTTTTTCAGGAAATTTGTATTTTGAATCTAGACCTCTTTGATTAACCAGAAGGTCTTGGCTCCTGGTGAAGAAACCATGAGGAGATGGGGGGATAGGCAAGCATGATTCTGAAATGACGCTGGGGAGGATCAGGGCTATTTCATCTGTGCTCACATGAACACCACAGTCAAGCCTAAGGCTGGGCTTTCAGATATCTGACCTAGACTCTCTATAGGAAATATATTCTGCCTTGCGGCATAGCATGCACCATAAGGAGCAGTGGAATAGCACTTACCCTCACTACATTGAGAGGCATTTGATCTATGTTAATAACCTATTATTTTACTTAAAAAATGTTGGTTGGACCTACAATATTGATTTTACAACCCCCTAGTGGCATGTGACCTACAGGGCTAAGCTGAGTTGCTCTTTCTGGTTTCCTGCATCTGGGCGCCTAGTCAGGGGGCAAGTTGGGACTGCACCTCGATTTTCATTTCTTTTGCCAAATGGGCACCCAGACTTGGGGCTGGGTCTGCCAGAGGTGGCAGTGCTTTCTGTGACGTGTGTAAGGGGTAGTGTGCGCATCCAAGGAGGGAATGCATGGGACTTGTGTGTCCCCAGTCAACCCCATTTGTAATTTGCAAATAGGATCTGTGTGGCTGGCAGGGGGCTGGCAGTGTGCACCAGAAAGAGGAAACAGAAGGTAGACTCCCAGGTGAGGAAGAGCTAGATCCAGAGGGAGAAACGACACCCGCCCTGGCTTTGGCACTGGTTAGAAAGTCTGTTCCTGGCTTTTTCCTCATGGCCCTTCTTTCACTTTGTGGTCTGAAAATTGGCCAAAAGATCAGGAAGGTGCTGAATCAAGACGAGAATAAAAGGGCACTTGAAACCTAAACACGGGCCAATGACTCCTGGATAACCAAAACCTGGCTGAAGGGAAGAGCTAACATTCTATCTGCATGGAAAAGTAAAGGAAGATCAGTTCTCTGATGAAAATGAGAAATATTATTATTAAGTTGATCAATACTTTGTTGAAAACTTTCTCTGTACCTGGTACTAAGATACTCTGTTGTTTAAATAGCTTCTTATAGTCACTGTGGATTACAGTAATTTCTTTTTACAAGATGTAAGATTTGCCCATCTGCATAAATACCCATATTTTAATTCTATGATTTGTCTTTACTTCTAGCTACTCACTAAACATACATTTCCTGAAAGCAGAAGAGATTCAATTGCTGTTATTCACATGATTACTATCGTGCCAGGAGGGAGTGTCAGGGAAGTTAACAAAACAGGCCAGGTGTGGTGGCTCACAACTGTAATCCCGGCACTTTGGGAGGCCGAGGTGGGCTGATTGCTTGAGGTCAGCAGTTTGAGACAAGCCTGAGCAACATGGTGAGACCCCAGCTCCAAAAAAAAAAAATACAAAAATTAGCCAGCCATTGTGGTATGTGCCCGTAGTCTCTTGACTGTAGGCAACTAGAAGTCTTTCCCCAGGTACGGGGGGCAGTGGTATAGGACAGCTTTTAAGGGGGTAGAATGTGACTCAGGCTTTCGTGGACTGGGTAGTATTTGGATAAGCCTGGTGACAGTCTGCACACTATAGACTAGAGCACTCTGCTGTGACAGGTATGCCTGAATAGAACTCACGAAGATCCTGCTCTGGCAATTTAGTCACTGCCTATCCACGGATAGAACCCTGACTATTCAGTAGTCACAATAGACAAATGATAGCTTAGCAGATTTTGGTTATTATTACTATTTTAAAATTTAAGTATAGGAGATTTTGCATCAATCATATAGAATCACATATGGAATTTCTTAGAATGGGATCTTAGTGCCTTATCTTGTATATGTCCTGTATAAAACGCACAGCTGATCCTATGAAGCCTGGCAAGTTTTAAAGGGAAGGAGTATGCAAGCAGAAACCCAGAGGGCTTTAGCAGGGTAAATGTAGATGGAGAGGCCTAGAGAAAAACTTTTCCTTCTTTATAATTTTCCTGCTTCTATTCTGTTTCACCTAAATCCCAGAGCTGAAATCAGCAATTTAATTGTCTTCCTTTCTCTTCTTCCGTAAGGGTTTGCAGAATACAGAGCTAACAAGATTACATGGGGCTTAGGGGGTCATGCTGCCAACAACATAAGGAGGTCTACTACTACTGCCTTTATTCACCATTTTTCTGTGGGCACTAGCTGATGCACTTGGACAAAAGAGAAAAAGGTATACATGCAGAAAGAGAGAAATTGGCTTATCATGTGCATATGATATGCTTATATGCTATACAATATGCTATTTATTACAAATGATAAGGTAATACAGTGAGGTGGCTTGACATAGAATTAATATACAAAAATAACCGTAGAGAAAAACAACAAGGTAGAA
Source organism: Homo sapiens (assembly GCF_000001405.40). NCBI lineage: Eukaryota > Metazoa > Chordata > Mammalia > Primates > Hominidae > Homo > Homo sapiens. The sequence goes on from NC_000002.12 coordinate 45,686,597, forward strand.
AATAGAATGGAAGCAAATGCTTCATTCATAGTCAGGATAAGTGAGAATAATAAAGATGAACTACCTCTGCCAGATATTGCATATTTTAAACCATATTATGGTTTAAATATACTGAATATAGTTTAATATATTTAAACTATATTTAAGTAGTATAGAATTGATACTGTGTAGACTGAGAAATCAGTAGTACAGAATAGAAATGGAAAATTGGCGTCCAGAGCTAGACACCAATATAGAATGAAAATTTGTCTTTGGTGGCATTTTATATCAGTGAAGAATGGTAGATTATTCAATAGTTTGGGACAACTGGGTGGCCTTCTGGAAAAACAAAAATTGGATCTATACCTAGTTTCTTCTGCCAACATAAATGCCAGATGAATCAAATATTTAAATATTAAAAGCAATAGAAGGAAAAGGAGAAATTTTAAAAATCTTGTGGTGGTACAGTCTTCCTAGGTATAACACAAACCATGGAAATCAAAAAGAGAGAGATTGATATATTAAATTTCCAAAAACAAAACAAAACAAGCAGGTTTCATGGAGCCCGAGTCCATGAAAGCTTCATGGACCAACATAAACAAAGTCAAAAGACAAACAATGAATTGAAAATCACACATAAAAACCAAACGACTAATATCCTTAATTTATAAAGTATTCTAATAAATTAGTAAGAAAAGATCAATAACATAATGAAAAAATGGAATAAAGGTATAAACAGACAATTGACAGAAAAAAGAAATATACATGACTCTTAAATATACAGAAAGATATCCAACTTACAATAGGTTACCATTTTTATTAACTGTTAGAATGATAAACATAAAAACATTTATTGTTGAAGGTGGAGGGAACAAGACATCCATGCATAATGGGAACATAAATTGGAACAGCTTCTACAGTGGGTGTTTTGATAATCTTTATCCAAAAATGCACATACCCATGAACTCAGTAATTCCACTTCCAGAAATGTTGTCCCACAGAAATATTTATGTGTGAAGATATATTTGAGAATATTTCTTGTAACATCTAAATGTCTTTCATTACTCTATGTTTCATTTTGCTTATCTGTAAGGTGGCAATAGGGATTCTAGTTTCCTGACACTTGAAATGGCTGGTATAGGAGCACCTCAGAAACAAGCTAGGCTGCTAGAAAGAAGAAAGGTATTCTCTAAATTTAGAACATTATTCCAATATTTCAGAAAAAGGGAGAGTCCTAATTATAAGGTAGTTGCGCTGTGCTTTGTAATGCCAGGGCAGAGACAGCCCAGGTATTAGGTTCTCGCTTGCTTTTGTGCTCTGTTTGGAAGCACGTTGGAGACCAGTGTGATGGGAGTGGCTGGTGGCCTTTATTGTATGGGGTCCTCAGAGTTGGAGCGTTAGCACCCAGAAGATGTGCTCCTCCCCACTAGGAATCTAGCTCTGGCCCTCTGGCAGTGTCTCAAGGGAGAAGTTTCTCTAGGGCCATTTTCTTGACACCCAGCAAATAAGAATCCCTTATATTTGACAACATTATGTTCACACCAACATTAATTTGACTCAGATAATGATGCCACCTGTTACACAGTCCATCAGCATAATTATAGGTGAGGAAATTGCTAAGAGAGGTCCCTGAGCAGTTGGAGGCCAGAAGGAAATATTTTCAATTAATTAATGGCTGGGCAGGTAAATTTTTTTAGTATTAAAAAAATTAAGAATTCCCTAGTGTAAGATGTCATGGCTGCTAACTGTCTAGAAAGGGGTACATATCAGAAGAGGGTAAGCTGAGATTCATGGATGTTCAAACTTTGGTTGTAAGCACTTTTCTTCTTTAAAATATTATTTTAAAGATACTGTGTTAGGTTTTTCTTCTTTTTTTCCCCCTTAACCCCAAAACAAACTCTAATAAAATAACCATTCTGTGAGTTTATAAGTTGCACTGGCTAGAATTTAGCAAAATGAAAAGAATTTAACTTGGATGAATATATTATGCCTAAGGAATTGAGCATCAGTCTGGGCTTTGTTAATGGTGAATGCCTAAACCACCAAATGATTCTGTTGTTTTTGTGGGTTTCTTGAAAGAGACCAAGTATTTAGACTCTCCCTGACTTATGTAACACTTCAGCTATTGCATTGGTAAGTCAAGAAAAATAAGGAACAGAGAACAGGTTTGAAATAAAGCTTCCTATCTGGGTTGCAAGGATACACTTTCTAATTATTTGTTATGATAATTTTATCAATTGCACCTACTGCAAGTGCTCCTTGTCCTTGGATCAATGTGCATTAGCCAGAGACTCTCTTATCAGTAAGCTTCTGAATTGCCTGTATGAGGCACAAATCGTTGGTTGCTCATCCACAACATAAGAGACTTGATGTTGGCCTTTTGGGAGCTCATGTTTCAAATCAGATTAGAGCTAATGTGGCCAGAACATAAGAACACAAGGAAAAATGAACAAAATGTTGTAGGTATGAATGTGCTGTGGGGCGTGCTTTGTTTAAAGCAAACCTCATAAAAGAAGAGCAGGGTTAAAGAAGCCTATTAAGTTAGGGATCACTTATTTGCTTTACAAGAAGGGAGGGACTTAAGCACAGCTCTTGTGGCACATTCGGAATAGAATTTGACTTACAAAAAAGTCTAGATCACAGATTCCGAGTTGAAAGCATGTCATATAAGTGAGATAAAGAACAGTGATGCCTTATTTAACTGGGGAACAGATTTCAGGTAACCTTGGGTAACCAGAACGTGATCATGAATCAGAAAGTGCTGTGGAAGAATAGAAAGAACTGAACTGAACTGAATGGCCAGGGGTCCGGCCTCCCACGACCCCCAATCCCATTCTCTATACCTTGTTTCCTATTGGCGAAAAGAAGGTATTAGACAGTTTCAAAGTCTCTCCCCTTGTTAAAAATTGATAATGTAATCTATCCTTTATTTGTTTTTATATATTTTATATATTTATATATTTGTAATATTTAAGAAAAGATTTAATTTAATAAATATACATAGCAAAGCATTCAAACAGTGAAAAAGTAAATGCTTAAAAGTTTGTTTTCCAGCCAGGTGTGGTGGCTCACTTCTGTAATTCCAATGCTTTGGGAGGCCGAGGGAGGTCAGGCATTTGAGACCAGCCTGGGCAACATGGTAAAACCCTGTCTCTACTTAAAATACAAAGATTAGCCAGGCATGGTGGTGTGTGACTGTAGTCCCAGCTACTTGGGAGGTGGAGGCAGGAGAATCACTTGAACCTGGGAGGCAGAGGTTGCAGTGAGCAGAAGTCACACCACTGCACTGGTGTGACAGGCTGGGTGACAGAGCAAGACTCCATCTCAAAAAAAAAAAAAAAAAAATGCTTGTCTTCCCCTTATCACAGACTCCCACTTCCCTCTCTAGAGACTAGTTCCTTGGATATCCTTCCAGAAATACTCTGTGCATTCTATAAACTTATGCATATGTCTTTTGGAAACAAACAGGAAAATCATGCACACTATCCTGCTTCTTGCTTTTGTTACTTACCAATTTTGGAAATTGTTATGATAGTCTCATATTGATCTGCTTTCTTCTTCTGAAAGACTCTTCAGTGTAGTAATCCATAGTTCAATACTTAGTTGAACTAGAATCTTGGTAAATACTTCATTTATTTCATAAATCTTCTCTTCAGTTCCCTGCAGCTCTAAATTTCTATGACTGTAACATCTAAGTTAAAAAGATGTCTGAGATGTCTGAGTAAGAAAAAAAATAGTTGTTGCAAATCACATGTGCTGCTTCTCTTGGGGGATAAAGGCCCATTTGTTCTTGGTCCCTGACCACTGACATGTATGGTGCAAAGCAGGGGCTGAAAACACTGGTCCATATGTCAGCAGAGGCAGGGGGCGAAGGAAGCACATTTATTCACAGTGGAGACAGGCCTCTTGCATTGTCAATTTTACCCGTGTGAGAATTGTTGTTCCTGTTGGTGACTGGGTCACTGATAAAAGATTAAATCAGATTGGAGACAAAAACTGCACTGCCTTTTAAAGCAATATATACATGTAAGAGGTTTTTCATGTTTAAATGTTAAAAAGTCATTTGGGGTTACAGATGAACCTCTTAAAGAGAAGGCTGTGTATATCGTGTGGGAGCTGGAAGAAAGGGAGTTGTAGAATTTGAGAGGTAGAAGGTTTGAGTGATTTTCCCTCTCTGTATAATGATCTGAAGTGAAGAGACCAATGTACTTTTTTAGGGCTGGACTGGGGCACCAGTGGAAAGGCAATCATAGACCATCCAGGTGCTCCCAGAGTTCCCAGAGTTTAGGGACAACTTGGCATGGGCCATGCTGGCTTACTCTGAAGCAGATACAGCACATACCTTAGGGTGCCAGCAAAGTCAGGGCACTGCAAATTTATTTTGGAAATAGTTTTATGTTTAATATTTACCAAAAAGCTTCAAAATAGCCATCATGGGAAAAGCCTGAACTTCGCTGGATTTCTTTCTCTTATGGCTTAGGATTAGATTTATTTAAAATTACATACATGGGGAGCATTAAGTTTCAGGACTAAGGTTCTAAAAGCTGTAACCAGGCCAGAATGGGGCCTTTGGAAACCAGCGAGCTGTGTCCGTCAGTGGGCTGGGCGGTTCTCCATTACAATCTGTGCAAGGAAGAATGAGCCGTTTGCATTTCCGTGGCAGGAATAGTCATTTTGCCACCCTCAGATTTGATTTCCTCAGAGGAACAGGCTGGGTGCACCTGTTGCTGGTCTGCAGTGTCTCCAGAGAGACTGTGGATTTTCACTGTGACTCATGAGAATTATTTATGGCCACCAAGCTGGTGGACACCAGCAGACTGAGTGACGCAGGCTCAGGGAGTGTTTCCCCTCTGTCCATCAAAGGTTTTTCTGGAATGCCTTCAATATATTGGTTTTTAGCATTTGTGCAAGAAAGAGAAAAGAGAATAACTAACTGTCTGGCACATTCAGTAGTGTTCTTCCCAGTCCATTCATTCCTAAAAGGCTTTCAGTTCAGGCATCCGCTTCGTTGACTTGAAAGTGCATCAGTATCAATATTGGCATCTTATCATTATACTCCACTTCGTGTGTGAAGAGAGACAGTTTTTATCAGCCTTCCCTCCCCACGCCCCCTTTAATGAATCTAATTTCTGCTGCTGGTATTTGGTATTTGAGGTCATTAGCTCAGTGGAACAGAGCCCTGTGCTAATGAGTACAAGGTCACAGCTTTGCATGGAGGCGGCACTCTTTCCTGTAGCGGACACCTGCAGGCCCAGCCAACTGCTTTGCCAGCATTTCCATGAGGCATGGGAAGCCAGGTGAAGAGGGTACAGGTGGCTTAGAACTCAGCCCATCTTTGTCCTTCTCTGGACACAACACACCGCTCTGAGGTTCTACTGACTATGTGTCCGTTGTTCTATCTTAGGAAAATGATAGTTTCAGTGTTAATAATAACAGTCAAGCTTCAGAGGTTATTTTTTTAAAAAACCTTCACTCATGGAAAAAGTTTCTTGGTGTGGATGGTTCATTTTTGTTCATGAATTCACCAAGAAGTTAATGAGTTTTAAGGGCTCTATGGACAGTGAGGAGTCTACAAAGGTAAATAAGATGCAGCTCCCACCTGTCTTAGTTTCCCAGGACTGCCATAACAAAGCACCACAAACTGGGTGGATTACAAGCACAGAAATTTATGACTCTTACTTCTGGAAACTAGAAGTCCTAAATCAAGGTGTTGGCAGGGCCATGTTCCCTCTGAAACATGTCGGGGAGTTTTTTCTTGTCATTTCCACCTTCTGGTAGCCCCAGGTACTCCTGGGCTTGTGTTAGCACCGCTCTGCTCCCTGCTCTGCCTTTACAGGGCCCTTTTCCTCTCCCTGTCTTCTCCTCTTCTTATAAGGACAGTCATTGAATTAGGGCCCACCCTAATGACCTCATCTGAACTTGATTACTCTGCAAAGGCCATATTTCCAAATCAGGTCACATTCATCAGTACCGAGGGCTAGGACTTCTACATACATTTTTAGGGGACACAATTCAACCCATAAAACCATTTGTCCTCAAGATGCTTCCAATTCAGTGAGGGAGACTGATGGAAAAGATGATGGAATCAGTGCTACAAGGGGCCGGAGCACTGTGCTGAAGAGTCCAAGGGAGGACACACACACACACACACACACCCATGCACACACACCCCCACACACACCCCACTCCACCCCACACTAAACACACATCTATCACATGATGTAGAATCGGTCCATTCTAAATGCTCTGTGGGTGAGTTTGCCCTGGCATGTGGGCTCGAGGGATGAGTGGAATTTTAGTTGTAGAGAAGTGAGCCGTGCAGGGTGTTTCAAGCTGAACCTGAGCAATGTCATGGATGCACTTTTGGTCTGGCCTGGGAAGGAAGATGCTTCTGGTAACAATGTGTAAGGGAAGGATTGGACGCTGGAGACTTGAGGCTGACTGAGAGATTCTGCAGGGGGCCAAGGTGGCTCAGGAGGCCTGAACTTGGAAGTGGTGGTGGGATGAGAAGTCAGGAACAGATCCTGAGGAGTGCGGGGTAGGGGAGTGAAGTAGGTGGGAGGTGGCAATGGATGGGTGGGTGGGAGAAGGTCAGAGGCGACCCTCAGACTTCCTGAAAGGGCCGATTGGGAGAAAGGTGAAGACTTTATTTAGGCAAGATAGGGGGTTCAGGCAGAGAGTAAACTTGAAAGGAAGATAAGTTTGCTTGTAAAGATGTTGAATCTGAGATCATTAAAGCTCCAGTGTAGATGCCCAGCACCAAGTGAGAAACTCGAGATTAGCATTCTGGAAGAGAGGCCAGGGCTGGAGGTGAGAATGGCAGTGTGATGGTTGGAACCATGGGGGTGGCTGAGGTGACCTGGAGAGAAAGTGGACAGAAGAGAAGCAGGGCAAGGCCCAGGTTTAGGGAATGCCCCGAGGCATGGGTAGGAGATGGTGCAGGCCGGAAGGGCAGGGAGGAAGGTCGAGAGGAGATGGTCACCCAGCAGGGCTGGGTCCTGTCTTGAGCTAGCTGAAAATAATGGAAAATGAGGAGGCTGTCGGATCTGACAGCTGATGTTCTCTCTGAGAGGCTGGTCTCAAGAAAACTCTCCACAAAGTGACTGGGGCAGAATCCAAATTGCAAGAGGTTAAGGAGAGGTAGAATAAGGCAGTCGGGGTGGACCGTCACCCCTGAGAGGTTTGGCAAGGAGAAGTGAGAAGGCATGGACATCTGAAGAAGCAGGTTAAAGAGAAGGAATTTTTAGTTAGGGAGGAAGATAGAGAGGACAGTACATTGATAAGGCGAATTCTGGAAAAGATGGCAGGTCCTAGGATCCATAGCAGGGAGAGAAGTTTGACTGAGACTTAAGGGAAGTTAGGGAACAGATAGGGAGTCGTGGTGTGAAAGAAGTCCGACTCGTGTGGAAATGTTTAATCCGTGAGGGTCACTCTTCCAGCCACCTTAATCCTGGGGGATGGAATTTTTGACCCGTGGACACAGATTTTGTGGTTATTTATTTCTGCTGTATCCTAACGATATGAGGATGAGAGGCTTACACCTCAGCTCCAAGAGCTTCCCATAGCTTCTTGTGGCCATTTCCAGAACTAAGGGGAGCTCTGGCATTCTAGATAGGCTTTCTCTAGCGTCAAGTATTAAAGCCAGGTAAAATGTCTCATCTAGGAAACGACAGTAGGAGCCTGAGCTGGAAATAGCAATTATTTTCCCTTCATCACCATCCAGGGGAAGAACTATGCTTTGCCCTCGCCCCTGCCTCTCTCTAGATCTGAATTTTTGGATCTGGATATGGATGATGGGCAGAAAAGTGAGGATGGGTTCAGGGAACATGGAGTATATGACTTCAACCCCATGCCACGTTTATTGGGTGCCAAAGGTTTCACTCCAGGCCTTCCCCATCTAAGTGCTAACAGACACAAGAGGAACAGGTTTCCTGTCTTCATGGAACTTATGTGGGACTAACAGCCTGTCCTATGCTAGTGGGCAAGACAAGAATTCCCTGGGAAATGCATATGAATGAGTTGTGTGGTTGAGGAAGGAGAGGCAAAGTCAATGTTGGTTAGAGTGGCTGAGAAAGGTTCAGGGAGGACATGAGTGAGACTTCGAATGGTGGGTGGATTGGATAGATGGGTAAGACATGGAATAGCATCTTGGGTGGATGGCCAATATGCTGGAAGCAATGTGGTGTGTCCATGAGACAGTAAGACTGGCAGACTACAGGAGAGTGTATCTGGGGGTGGATGGTAATCAGGTAGGACAAACCTGAAATGTGGAGGGTTTTAAATATCAGGCTGAGTAGTGTGGGCTTTTTCCTGAGAGTGGCTGAGAGCTACTAGAAGTTAAAGAGAAGGGATCACATGAGGAGATCGGTGTTTTGGAAAGAGACCTGCCTCTCCCTTCTCCTTCAGTTTGGCTATAAAGAGCCAACTGCCTCATGTAAGATGCATTGGTCCTGCCCTCTGCCCCTGTGAGACACATACAAGGTGGCAGTTCCTTCTCCCTGTTTTTCCTGAGTCAGGAAACTTTCTCCCAGCAGCTTGGATGTATTCCTTCAAACTGTACAGAAGGAAGGTTATTGTAAAGTTTGAGGAGGAAAATCTGTTATTCAGTGTTTCTCCTTTTTTCTCTTCTTCTTGACTTTGGTCTCTTCCCCTTAGCCTCTAAGGATCTTGGTGACATTCCTTTTTGGATTTTCTCTGTTCCCGCGATGATTTTAATGAAACCATCACCACCCACAGAAAAGAACCCAGAGTCAGGCTGGAGGTAGAGAGGTCAACTTCATTACAGTCTTTCTTTCCTTTTCTGCAGGGAGATGGTGTATGTGTTAGATAAATGTACCACCACTTCACCAAATAACTACCCATCACAGAAATCCTTGAAGAAATCCTAAAATAACAATAATAGAATATGTATAATAGGCTGGGCATGGTCGCTCATGCCTATAATCCCAACACTTTGGGAGGCTGAGGTGGGTGGATCATTTGAGGTCAGGAGTTCAAAACCAGCCTGGCCAACATGGTGAAACCTTATTGCAGCTAAAAATACAAAAATTAGCCGGGTGTGATGGTATGTGCTTGTAATCCCAGCTAATCAGGAGGCTGAGGCAGGAGAATTCTTGAACCCGGAGGCGGAGGTTGCAGTGAGCTGAGATCACGCCACTGAACTCCAGCCTGGGCAATGGAGTGAGACTCCGTCTCAAAAACAAAACAGAAACCACTAGTAGAATATGTACCATGCTTGTAGGATGCAAGGTCTCATGGGGAAGAGGGTGGAGAGCAGAAAAAAGAAACAGATTTTAACGTCAGGCTGACAAGAGTTTATTGTACACATCAGTGGTTAGAATAATTACTTAAAATTTTTCTTTTTTTATTTTATTATTATTATACTTTAAGTTTTAGGGTACATGTGCACAATGTGCAGGTTAGTTACATATGTATACATGTGCCATGCTGGTGTACTGCACCCATTAACTCGTCATTTAGCATTAGGTATATCTCCTAATGCTATCCCTCCCCTCCCCCCACCCCACAACAGTCCCCAGAGTGTGAGAAATTTTTTTTTTTGTAGAACAGGGGTCTCTCTGTGTTGCACAGGCTGGTCTTGAACTCCTGGCCTCAAGTGATCCTTTCACCTAAGCCTCCCAAAGCAATGGGCCTATAGGTGTGAGCCACCACACCTGGCCGAAATAACTTTTTTAAATTATAAAAAAAGGCTTTATTTCTATTGAATACATATTTACAGTCTTTACATATTTACATATTTAACAGGAATAAAGCCTTTTTTTATAATTAAATAAATTATATTGCCAGGGCCCCAAAAGAGCCACCTTGTTTTACAGGTCCCTGGGGCATTTGGCAGGAGGCAGTGGAAGTGCACCCATCTCCTGGCCTGCTCACTTCGAGTTTCCCTTGAGGAGTTTTGTGTGTCTTTGCCCTGATCTCTCCATTTTACATTTTGGGTTTGGTGTTGGCCTCCCCACAGGGCTGTGTGGTGGGTGAAGCTGCTACTCAGCTTCATCTTTTCACTGGGTTCGAAACAGGCTTTTCTGAATAAGCAAAATGCATGACGAGTAGCTTTGGAGTCTGTGGCGGTAAGCGGAGGCCCAGAAACCTGATTCTCAGTTTTCCTACCCAGCTAGAATCTTCTCATGGGAAGTTGAGAATGCTGATTGTCACATTGTTCCACAGAGTGAAATCTGGCCACCATGCGGCCTCTCATCCTGATAACAAGCTTTTCATTAGACTTTTAGACTCACTGCAGAGCTCAGAGGCTTTGAAGCCCTGGTGAGGACCTAGAAGTGACTGCTGGGGACTGTGTTGATCATGTGACTGGTCTCATGACCAGAGCCCCCAGTCACAGACCTGCTTTCCTCCCAGGGCCCCACACCCCACTTCCTTTTTATTCCAGGTCTTCTTTCCCCCTTGGCTTTTGTACTTGCCACCAAGGCCCATGTTTGGTGCAGAGCTGAAAGCAAACCTTTTTGTGACTACATTAATGTCCATGGTAATATTAAAGATTATCCCCTGATTGGAAAAGGTGGATGTTGTTCTAATACTTAGGAACATGCCTCCAAATAAGATGAAATGCTCTAGTGTAGCTGACAGTGACTGCATCGTCCTTTCAAAGAGTCCATGCTCTACCTGGGAGGGCCTGTGTAGGTGAAGAGGGGGCGCACCCCACTGGCTGGCCTGGCCCTCCTGGCTGCCCACATTCTGCTTGGCTCTGGTCCGGAGGTTTTATGGGGGATCTGGAGAGCTCTGGTCTGGCTGACGCTGTTGCCCTCTCTGCCTCTTAATGGCGCTCTGACCTTCTATTGTTTTTGGCCAAAATATGAGTGAAAATCCATTTTATTTATTTAGCCAGGACAGATAAGGACTAACAAACAAAACCAAACCAGAGTGGAAATGGCAACCCGAGGCTCCCCAGCAAAAGCAAAGAATTGGAGGGACAGAGAACAGGCTCTGCTCTTCACTCAGGGTGGACTGGTTGGCATCTCTATGTGGGTGGCATCTCTAGCTCTTTCTTTTGTTCCGGCTCTGATTACCTCCCTCCCTAGGTGACATCCCTGCAGGTGCCATCTTCACCTGAAGGCCCTTGGCTCCAACCTGCCTCTGTTCCCAGGAGCTTTCTGGAAGTTACTTCCTGTTTCACAGCCCCTCTCTTACTTTGAGGTTCCCATTTCCAGACTGAAAGGACAGACTACCTCTGCTGACCACCCCAATTTCCAGCAAGCTTTTTAAAATGGATTAGCACCTAGGGATTCTTGCAGGCAGGTGGAATTTATCCCCAGATTCTTTAATTGGATGTAGTTTTTTTTTACATTGGAAGAAATTGAGAATATTAACACTCTTGCACACATCTTCCTAGACAGGGTGAATGGAAAGCAGCCCTTTGACAGAAGAAAGACAGAGACCAGTTTCCAGTGAGCTCCTGAGGGTATGTCAACTCCATGTAGATTTATTTTCAATTTCCAAGCAGCTAAGATTCTAGTGGACGTCAGTTTGTGCTGGCTTTATTTTCACAAATGCTCCATTGGGTGCCACATGCGAATGTGGCTGTTGGCCGCAGGTTAGGTGGCACACGCTCATTTTGTGGGCAAGTTCTGGAAAAGTGGTTAGCATAGGGTTTTGCAACGTAGTGATCTACTTTATAGATTTATATGTAAGTACCCAGATTGGTGGTAGGTGAATTTGGTGGAATCATTTTCTACCAGCATCCTAAAATCATATTTAGAATTGTATTTTAGCAAAATGAATGTAGTCTGGCTGGATATAAAACAAAAATTTCCAGTTGGGGGTGAAAGTGAAGGGAAGGGCTATTTAGAGGGAGTGTCCCCAGCCGGTGGGGACCTGGCTCCCTGGGGGTTGTGGATGGGGGTATAAGAGGCTCGATTTTGCCCATCTCTGCTAATGATGTGGAGCTCCAGTAAACAGCAAGTTAATGGACTTCCCAGATATGTGAATTTCAACAGCTGTTGCAAACAACAGTGAGCACAGAAAAAAAAATATATGAAGGAAGAGAGAAAGGAAGAGGAAAGAGAGGAAGAGAGGGGGAGGGGTGTCAGCAATGGAAGTAGGAAACAACAAGGATGAGGTCCAGTTTTTAAAATCCAGATTCTTGTATCTGGGCCTGATTGCAAATGCCATGTATCCTAGGAAGCCATCTGGAAAAACAGCCAATCTGAGAATGCCCTGAGGGTGGCCAAGGACAGACTTGTGGAGGGAGTTGTCTGGATTTCCTAGGGCTTGGTGTGCCTTTAGAGGGGAGTAGAACAGACTTTTGATATAGAAAGTACATGTGGTTACCCTCCCTTTTGGGAGAATTAACATCCATGGACTTAGAAATTCACCATCAGTAGTAGGTTAAAATTTATGTATTGCCAAGGAGTGGTAAGAGATTACATCTTGTCATCTTGTTTTAAGACTCTTTATAAACTAGCCCCTAGTTTTTATTTTTTCTAGCTTCGTCTATTTCTATTTTTAATAGACGCCTTATACCTCAGGCAGGTGGGGTGGTTTGCTGTTCCCATAATATATTTTTTTCCTTCTGCTTGGAAGCTCTGCCTTGTGCCCCCAACTCCCTCCTGTCCTCCTCCCTGTCTGCTGTTCGTCCTTAGCAGGCAAAGGAGGGGCTCCCCCTAATCCCCAGAGGTGTCACTCCCTGCAGGGCCCAGCAGCCTTTTGCACGGACCTCTGCTGGGACACTGACCCCACTGCCTTCTTGTTATGTGTGTCTTTGTCTGTAGCTTCTCAGAGTTAAGATGCTGAAATATTGCAGTGAAGTAGGCCTTTTTCTTTCTCTGTCTCTCAAGTGACTCAAATTGTTTCGCTGACTTGATCAGAGCTCAGTAAAGGTTGGCTGAGTCAGAGTGAATGAGTTAACCATGAGTTACAAAGTGAAGGAATAGCCAGATTGCTTCCTCTGTGACACCACACAGAGCCCGTCTGTGTGGTTGAGGGGCCGCTGGTGAAGGATGAGGGGCACCAGCCCCCATGCTGTGTGGGTCACTGTAGACATGGCTCTGCTGTCATCTGTACAGAGGCCAAACTTGTTTTAGCCTTAATAACTGTTTAAAGCTGACTCCCAAGGAAACCAGTCTTGTTTTTTTATGGTCCTGGAGGATTTCAGAAGCAGATCTGGAGATGTGTGTGCACAGGGTAAGGTGGTAAAGGTATACAGTTGGGTCCTTAGAGAGCAGTGGCTTAGAGGAGACTGTGCTGTTGCTGTGGGCTGATGCGGGAGGTGTGATTCTCTTGGAATCCCGGAAGGCACCAGTGTGGATGCCGCCGCTTGTGTCTGATGAGTGGAGAAATGGGTGCTCGTTTTGCACACTGATGAGATCAAGGAAGTGTGGGGAGCTGAGGGGTGCAGGGGGTAGCAGGTGGGGTGATAGCTCTCTGGTTTTCCTGTGATTTCTAGGTGTAAATTGGGCTGTTGAGGGGAGGCAGTGGCCAGGCCCAGCCCACCAGTGGAAGGCAGAAGGCACGAGCCACAAGATGAACGGGGGCAGTTAACTAACCAGGCCGCCTGGGGTTGAGGATGAAATGGGTACCTGAGTTTTCCTTTTAAGTAGCAGAGGGCTAACATCTGAGGCCCTGCCGGGAGCCAGGGTCTCGGTGGAGAGGTGAGAACACACCTGGGAGCAATATAGAGAGGTCTTTTTTCTTTGCAGCACTCGAAGTCTGATGGCAAAGAGAGACATCTATGAAGTAACCCCCAAAGAAATGGAAAACTAAGGGTGGTGAGGAGGGCAGTGAGGGAGACATAGATGGTAAGCAGAGGTCCTGGGTAGGGGTTTTTGAGCTGGTCTAGGAGGTCAGAGAGGGCTCCTTGGTCGGTATGCTTGAGCTGAGAGGCCAAGGAGGACAGGATTGGTTCGGTGAGGAAGGGAGAGAAGTCTGAAGCAGAAGGAACAGTAGAAGCAGCCCGGCACTGTCATTCTTTGATGTAATAAATTTCCTCCAGATATTCAAGTCTGTGCTTCTGCTTGACTGAGGATCATCTAGGAAATGAAACTAAACTTGGCTTCGACCTAGACCTTGTGTGACCTTGAGGTCATCACCCTCTCACAGGTGGGTGCTATGAGTTGAAGTGTGTCCCAGCAGAAAAAGACATTGAAATCTTAATCCCCCCGTACTTCAGAATGTGACCTTATTTGGAAGCAGGGTCTTTGCAGATGTAATCAAGTTAAGATGAAGTCACTGGGGTAGGCTCGGATCCAATATGACTGGTGTCCTTATAAGAAGGGGAAATTCAGATGCAGAGGCAGATGCAGGGAGAGGGCGGCCCCGTGAGGACAGACACAGAGATAGGAGCTGTGCTCCCGTAAACCAAGGAATGCCTGGGGCTCCCAGAAGCTGGCGGAAGCAAGGAAGGACCCTCCTTTAGATGCCTTGGAGGGAGTGTGGCCTTGCTAACACCTTGATTTTGGACTTCTGACCTTAACAACTTGGAAGGAAGGCATTTCCATTGTTTTAAGCCACCTGGTTAGTGGTTCCTTTTTGTGGCAGCCCTAGGAAACTAAGACAGTAGAGGAAGGAAGGACAAAGAAGGATTGTGTTGAAGATGAAGTAGAATATATTTATACCTAGAACAAGGCCAGGAACATAATAGGTGCTCAATGAACAGTATCTACTCTTGTCTCATTGGGTAGAAAACGGGCACATTTTATTTTTCTATGTGTGTGATGGGGTAGGGTTTGTTTTTTGTGTGTTTTTGGAAAAATTGGAAGTACTCAAAGGTTAAATTGGGATGCTACCTATCTATCTATTGATTGATCCACCTATCTATCTGTCTATCAAATTTGCAGTCACCCTAGAGAATCCTTTACTTACCTGTGCTGAAAAAAATGCTCCCATCAGTTACCCTATGATGAGGTCTCCAGCCCTTTCATCAGAAGACAGAGCTTTAAAATGCAGGTGGGTAACAGTGACCTGAAGACATACTAACAGGTAAATGATAGATCTCCAGATTCTTCTTTGAGGGCAGTTTTGATTTTGATACCAAGGTGGGAGAGCACAGAGCTTACCAAGGCAATAAAGGCCTGAAGTACAGAGGAGGGCACCCCACATGAGATAATGCAGTGAAGAAAACTTGTTTTGCCCACCTCCTAGGTTCACCCAGGCATGGCCCCAGATGGAAACAGAATTTTTCCTGGTGCTCCAGGCTGCTTCCCATTCCCATGTAAATTCTAGTCTGATAAAGCCTCACCTATTACACAGGTGTTTTAGAAAACATCTGGATTCTTAGAGACACCGACGAGTCTAGATTATTTTTTTCCTTCTTCTCTTAGTATCTGAAATTTAGGACTCACCGTCACAACACAAATACAAAGATGGGCCAGGCGCGGTGGCTCACACCTGTAATCTGAGAATTTTGGGAGGCTGAGGCGGATCACCTGACGTCAGGAGTTTGAGACCAGCCTGACCAACATGGTGAAACCTCTTCTCTACTCAAAATACAAAAATTAGCCGGACTTGGTGGCACGTGTCTGTAATCCTAGCTACTCAGGGGGCTGAGGCAGGAGAATCACTTGAACCTGGGAGGCAGAGGTTGCAGTGAGCTGAGATCGCACCACTGCACTCCAGCCTGGGTGACAGAGCGAGACTGTCTCAAAAAACAACGACAACAACAAAAAACAATACAAAGATGACTTATGCACTTGAAAATGGGAGTCCTCCGCTCAGATACAGATGTGGAAATCTACCTGGTTTTAGTAGCTGGTAAGGAGGCTTTAGTGTTGGGCAGCCCGGAATACTAGTCCCAGCTCTTGGGCAAGCTATTAGCCTTTCTGCACCTGTGAAATGGGGATGATCATGCCTACCCACTACAATCAGTTTTCATAGTGATGATCAGCTGAGAGAGCATCTGTAAACTGCCTAGTCTATTGTGTGTGTTATAGAAGGCGCTCGGTCAGCATGGTCAGTTTTACTTGCATGTGTTTATCCTGAGCGGTGGACTTTATGCCTCCTGAAGGCTGATTGTTGGGATTACTTCAAGCATCCAGTTCTGTACCTGGTTCCATAAACATTTGTTGAATAACTATTGATTGAGATTTAGTCACTGTTTTACCATAGTGATATCTAAATCACTATTATATAGTAGAACCCTTCTTTTTTTTCCCCCAAAATAAAGCTCTAGGGGTACCCCAGCATATAAAGTGAATCTAAGAAGAGCTTCTGCTATTGCAAGCAGGACACGAACCACCTCTCTTTTCCATTTCTTTCCTTCACTGTTCCTCAGACATACCCTACAAGGAGCCATTTGAACACCTTACTCTGGGAGTAGAAGGGCTAAAAGCTCTGCTAGAACTGAAGTTTGAAAAGAGTCATTCCACAGAAAGACTTCTGGGCTTAGTGTTCCGGAGATCAGCTGCTAAGGCCATAGCTAACAGCCTCGGCAGATAACAGCCTTTCCTATTATCAAGTTTTCTTGAGAAAGCCTTTTTTCCCCCCCCGTCAGGAAGTCAGTCCTTATTCCTAACTAAAAGTTGTAAAATTTAGCTGTCCTTAGTAAAGGTGGAACACATGGTCCTCAGCTTCTGTTTTATTTATTTTTTTTTTTTGTATTTCTGATGGCTGTTGTTATGTCACTCCTACCTGAGTTAGAGGCCACAGTGCTGTTTGCTTTCCTCCTATATTTTATTCTCTAGCCCTTAAAGGAATAATCAAAACTCCTTGGGCTGGGTGTGGTGGCTCACATCTGTATTCCTAGCACTTTGGGAGCCTGAGGCAGGAGGATCACTTGAGGCCAGGAGTTCAAGATCAGACTGGTCAACATAGTAAGACCCCCATCTCTAAAAATAATTTGAAAAATGTAGCCAGACATGGTGGCATGTACTTGTAGTCCCAGCTACTCGGGAGGCCAAAGTGGGAGGATTGTTTGAACCCCTAAGTTTGAGGCTGCAGTGAGCTGTGATCACAACACTGCACTCTAGCCTGGGTGACAGAGTGAGACCTTGTCTCTAAAAAAAAAAGAATAAAGAAAAGAAAAGAAAAAAAAAGGAAGCTCATTGACGGTAGAGGCACCTTTTTTTTGGAGTCTCCAGAGAACCTTGCACTTGAAGGACAAACATGGGCTCTCTGCATGGAACTGATTCTTCTTTGGATTTTCCTTTATTGTCCTAAATAGACATCATCATTTGTTCTTGTGAAGGTTCTTTCCTAGAACATTTCTTTTGTTTTGGTTTTTAAAAGACAATAATTGGGCTTCTGTCACATTCTTTGGAAAACTATCTTTAACTATGCAGCCTGTTCACTCATAACAAAAAAATTCCTATTCTCTCATCCATATGCTCACAGAAGATAAAGCTAAAATAGCTTGTTTTATATTACTGGTATTGAAATGACAAATATGTCTCCAAATAGCAAATGGGTAGAGTAATGCAGATTTAAATTTCACCTGGGTTAGGAGGCATTATTTCTGACAACACTGTTATTTCACCCATTCATCTATCCATTAACCAAACATTCATTGAGCATTTACTTAGTGCCAGGCCCAGAGACACATGGGCGATGCATAGCTGAATAGAAAAGGGTCAAGGAAGGCATGGCAGGGAGCAGCATATAGTGGAATTATTAGCATTTTACCTCCATTTACTCCTTTCATTGTTTTTAGGATTAAACACAGGAAAAAGAATCTATATGTGCTTCTTCAAGGTAGTATATCTCAAGGAAACTATTGGCTTAGTATGTTGGGGTTGGTTTTTCTGGTTTGTAGATTGTTCATTTTTCATTTCTTCTCTTGTCCCCTGAATATTCTGTACCTTCTGTGTCCCTCCCTCTATGTCCCTGTCCAGGGACTGGGCAATCAGAGAGGGACAGAGAAAGGGGTGAACCTGTAGCTTTGCTTTTTGTTAGCTACTCCAGGTAAAGACTAGTTCAGAACTCAAATCCTAAAGTGATTTTCCTGTATGAAATGTGACTTGGGAGTGTTGGGGGTTTCCTTAGCCCAGTGTTAAAGTGTCATGACATGGCCTTTGTTAGAAGAGTCACTGGATTCCTAATATTAACTCTGCCAGTTACTCTCTGGGTCCCTCCTCTACCTCATCTGAAAAGTGAGCATCGCCACGCCAGTCTTTTAGAAGTATTGTGAGGATGAAATGCCTGTATGCTGCTGGCACATGCAGGTGCCCAGCAAATGTCCATCTCTTCCTTCCCCCTCTAGTATTTCAAGGTGACAGGCAGCAGTTTTCACCTAAGTGTTATGCCTAAGAAATGATAATAACACTGTTCACTGCCATATTTTAAGTTTAACCCCTGTACTTATTAAAGGGCTATCAAATTTGGTTGAGGAAGACCAGGGGTCATGAGAATAGTCTTGACCTTGCCAACTGCTGTATAGTGTGATCTTAAGTAATTCTCAGCCCCTTTCCTTTGTCCCTCCCATCTTACCATCTATCAGGAGGGGAGCCTGAATGGTCCCCTCTTCCTTGCAGGGGAGCTGTGGGGCACAGATGAGATAAAGCAGGTGGAGTACTTCAAGAAGTTTAAAACTTACAAATGCCAGAGACTTACTATCATCACTATCATTTGGACATGGAATAATTCACTTTCAATTCCTTATTCAGTATCACTTTTGTGGGCATGTCTTTTACCACCATATTTCATGCATACATGTGCCCAGTTCTGTGGAGCTCGGTTCCGAGCAGCGCTAGGGGCCTGAACTATTGTTGCCCTCTTAGGACACAATTTTATGTGGGGAGAAGCAGCAGGCTTTATTTCACCTGCTTGAAACTCTAGTTGCGGAGAAATTTGGCTCAGACTTTCCAAAATAAACTCACCTTTGGGCTGAATCCAGGAGTGGAAAATTTTAGCTGAAAAGGATGGCTTGTCAGAAAACATAGGAGTGACTGCCAGTTGGGGGTATATGTACTCCAGAGGAGGCGGGGTGTAAACCCAGCTGTACCATTCCCTGCACCGCATGCTCCAACCAGACCAACCCAGCCCTCCGTGAGTAGAGGTTACAGGCTTATTGGAAGGAGGGAGGCATGACAAATCTTAAGGATTGTCTGTTTTTTTCCACTGTCAGATAAACCTCCACGCTTTGGCTTCTAGAGTGATGGGTGGGCTTGCTTTCCTTTTGTGGACTTGATGGCATTTGACTGTATAATTATTCTTCTCAGCTGAATATCCCTGAGTGTCCTTTGACATGATGGTGGTATAGGTAGCTTTACCAGGCATAATTTCTATAATCCATAGAGTGTCAAGAAGGTACTTATTTTCCTATCAAATGCTGCTGACCTGATTAAGCCTTCTGCCTGGCTTTGTAGCTGAAGATAATGAGTTTGTCCAGTGCAGTGGCTGTTGGGACCTGGGGTCTTTCTGAAGATGATTGTAACCTGGGTGTGGAGTGGGGCCTTTTGTCAGTTGCTTTAAGTTAGATATCTGCTTCGGAGCTCTGTGTCTGGCTCTGTTCCCCAGGTCATAGTAGCCAACAAAGGGACCTGGTCCCCTGCAGTTGGCCCTTGAATTTTTTCTATTGTTTGAGAACTAGAAATTATTTCTGCCAGAGATTTCACCTGAGAATACATCCAGGTGAGTTCTTGAGGTTAGGGTAGGATGAGAAGCAGTAGAAGCCCTGGGGGAAAAGAATTCTGAGTTGATGCTGGGGTAGGAATGCCACAGGACTGGCCAGGAGAATAGTTTCACAGCTGCTGTTGTAGTTGGCAAGAGAAAGAGGCTGTGAAATGAAATATTACACAGGATTGCCTTAGACACTCAATGGAAAACTTTTTTCCCTCCTTCCACCAGAGGAAATGAATGCATGCTGATGGTAATGAGAAAATGAGGCTCTGAAAGTGCCTGCTTTTCCTTCATTTTCATCTTTCCCTTCTTTTCTCTGAATCCTCCCTGCCCTTGTGTCAAGCTTCATTCCTGGTTCTCCCAGGTCGGAGGAACTTGAAGCAGTGTTTGTCAACCAGTCTTGACTGAGAGGTGTCTGAGAAGACTGGGCTCTACCCTTGCAGGAGTCAGATTGGGTTCCAGAATGATCTTTGCTCTTGTTTCTGCTTTGAATGAATGGTTTGCACATGTCTCAATCTCTGGCATCACATCCCAGCAGTATCTTCTCTCCTGTTTATCCTGAGGCAGGATTTTGTATTGGCCGCCTGATAGTTTGGCCCCCCACAATGAATTAAATTTCAGGAGCAGGAAAATGGGAACCCCTGTCTTCTGTGTGTAAGAGAATCTAAGAATACTGCATGTGACTCATGGTAAGAGATTTGATCATCAATAGCAAGAAATACCTTTCATTTGAACTGTGTCTTTTAGTTACCAGAGTCCTTTCTCATTCCTTATTCCTGTGAGAAGGCAACTGGGGCAGAGGGTGGTTAAGTGATTTGCTCAAGATCCCAAACAGAATAAGCAATGACAGACATGAACTGGTTTTGCTTTTCACAGGTCAGTGGAAATTGAGTCGATTTTCCACTTTGACTGGGGAACTAGCTCTCTCCCCAAAGATGGGGGTCTTGGCCAACTCTGGAATTCTGTGATTTTATGACTGTTATATTCCTCAGTCTAACAAATACCACATCTGAGTCTGCAAGAGCTGGTGTTTGATGATTGCAGTGGAAGTCCCTCGTGGATCGCAGTTCATTACTTCACAGGCAGATATTCCTCGGCTGGAGCATGTGTCCCAGAACTTACCAGGTCTGCTTGCAGCCCAGGCCTGTGCATCAGTCCCCATCTGTTAAATGTGGAGGCTGCTGCCTTTCTTCTGCTCATCAAGAGTGAGTCCTAGCCAAGATTGTAATTGTTACCAAACATCTGAATTCACTGGAGAGGCAGGAAGGGTGAGTGGATAATAACACCTTATATTCCCATAGAAAGCTTTGTACTTCCCAGAGCCATTTAAACATTGATTATCTCATTCTAACTTCAGAACAGCCTTTATTATCTTCATTTGACAGATGGGGGAGAAATGGAGGCACAAAGGATTTGTCACTTGGCCAAGGTCACAAAGCAGACTCGAAGCTGGTCCTGTGACTTGCTCTTGCCCCTGTGCTTGTCCTTTTGGGAGAGGCTTTATCTGTTCATGGAAGTCAAGGATGTTTCCTTCAAATATTTTCCCCTCAGCCCCTGCTTTTGAGGATCTGCACTGGGGGAGGGAGAACATTTCTTCTGTGGCTTCTCATGTCTGTGGGACACACAGTTCGTGACGAATATGAAATAAAATGGAAATAGCTCCTGCATCCTCCCACACAGACGAGCTGAGAGTCTGCCTCTGATGTGAGAGCCAGCATGGAAGGAGCGATGGCTCTGACTGTCCCCTTCTCCTTAGTTCCCAACTGCCAAGCCAGGAATCAGACCTGGGAGTGCAGGCATGAAGCTCCAGTTAGGCAGGCCCCAGCCTTCCTGCAGCATGACTTATGTCTGGTACCCCTGCGGGTTGCATTCCTGCTACTTCTCATAAGGTAGACACAAATTGGAGGCCTCCTCGATGGCAGGCAGTGCATGAGGAATGCTGGGATGCTGCAGGGTGCTGCACATGTTTCCTGCCTTCGGTGAGCTCCTGATCTACTACCAAAGTCCGCCTCTGTCACTCCTCCCTACGCATCATAGGTTGGACTCGAGAGCCTGCAGATTTCCTTTAATGTCTTCCTGGGCAGAGCAAGTTGCTAAGCTGGGGCTCCAGTCCACAATCATCAAGTGCCACAGAACAAAGCTGTGAGGTCAGTTGTAGCAGAGATGGCTTATGTGTCCACCAAAGCCTACATCGTGGGAAAACAGCTAGACTACACCTCTCATTCCCTTATGACCAGGTGATATGGCTTGGCTGTGTCCCCACCCAAATCTCATCTTGAATTCCCACATGTTGTGGGAAGAACCTGGTGGGAGGTAATTGAATCATGGGGCCAGGTCTTTCCCACGCTGTTCTCATGATAGTGAATAAGCCTCATGAGATCTGATGGTTTTATAAGGGGGAGTTTCCCTGCACAAGCTCTCTCTCTTTGACTGCTGTTGTCCATGTAAGATGTGACTTGCTCCTCCTTGCCTTCCACCATGATGGTGAGGCCTCCCCAGCCACGTGGAACTGTAAGTCCATTAAACCTCTTTCTTTTGTTAATTGCCCAGCCTCGGGTATGTCTTTATCAGTAGTGTGAAAACGGACTAATACACCAGGTATGGCCAGGTGTGGTCCTGTGGCTCAATTCTGGCCAGTGGAATGTGGGTGAAAGGAGTAAGTGCTTCTTCTAGGCCAGCCCACAAAAACCTCCTGGGTCAGTGTCCCAGGTGCCTTCTCCCTCTGTTGGCTTAGAGCAGCCAGTCATAGTGGTCTTGGGGGCCATGTGTTGAAGGTGGCAGAGTCAGAAGAGGGAAGGAGCCTGACTCTCCAAATCCCTGCTTGGAAGAGAGCCACTCCTGTGTGGATAGTAGCACACAGTTTCACCTTGAATGGCAGTGAGCCACTATTTGGGGATTTACCTGTTACTCTAATATACCAGTTTGAGGGACAAAGACAATGGCTTGAGTCAGGATCATGGATTCAGTCTGGATGAGACAAGTGGGATTTGTGGAACTTACTGGCGCTGCTGCTCACACCTGGAGCTGCCTCTGGGTGTGAAAGAGTAGGAGGTGAAGACCCCCAATTCCCTTCTGGAAGAGGTTAGTAGGGCCTACCAGAGCTTGGTGGCAGGTGCTGGTCAGGAGCACCCTGGGCTGGGGCCAGCATACCGGGCAGACCCAGCCAGGCCAAGGTGGCAGCTGCTCCAACCAGGCCAAGACCCATGCACTGGGTTCTCAGCCTTCCTGGGTCAAGGCCAGAGGGCTGGTGTGATGGAAGATGCCCCAGTTCTGGCAGATCTTGGCTCTTGCTTCATGCCCTATATCAGCCAGCTATTTGACCTTGGACAAGGCCCTTCTCTGGCCCTTGGCATGATTCCTTTCATTTGCAGCAGCTGGGTGTGGACTAGATGATCATGGATGTCTATGAATGTGAATTTTGAAAGCTTTAGTACAGACTATGCTCTAGGAGTTTTTAGAGTTCCTGGGCCACCCCATCCCCATTCTGGATTCCAAGGCTATGGTTCTGCCTTAGTGTGACTGCTGCAGCATGTTGTCAAACAGCACTTTGACTTTCCCTGTGACCCTAAGTCAGGGACTTCCAGATCTAAACTCTTTCAAACTCTTTTGAATAAAATGGAAGGCATCTCATCTCCAGTCCCCATCTCTATTCACCTGGATATTGTGACATCTCCCACTGGGAGAGATGTCTCCTGTCTCCCCTGTGACCATGTATCTTTTTTTTTGTTTGTTTGAGACAGTCTCACTCTGTCACCCAGGCTGGAGTGCAGTGGCATGATCTCAGCTCACTGCAACCTCCACCTCCCAGGTTCAAGTGATTCTCATGCCTCAGCCTCCTGGGTAGCTGGGATTACAGGCACATGCCACCACGCCTGGCTAATTTTTGTATTATTTAGTAGAGATGGGGTTTCACCATGTTGGCCAGACTGGTCTCGAACCCCTGACCTCAAGTGATCCGGAAAGTTCTGGGATTACAGGCTTAGGCTACTGCGCCTGGCCCATTTATCTTATTTAATTAACACGTCCATAGCACTGGCTAGGTGCTGGGCACCGTTCTTGGACTTTTCTGTGTATTAACTCACTTAACCCCTGTAACAACCTGATGATGTAGGTACTATCACTATCCTCATATGACGGGTAAGAACACTGAGGCCCAGCCTGAGAGATTAAGGAACACATCCCCAGTTTTTCAGCAGTAAAGCAAGAGGCCAAGCTGGGATTTGAACCCAAATAGTCTGGCTTCAAAGTCCATACCCTTGCCCACTGAGGTACACAGCCTCTTGTAAGTACTCCTTGAAAGTCCATACATCCTCCAGAGTCTCTAATATGTCCTCCTGAGAGCTTTGCTCTCCTGCTTCTGAATCTCAGTCCTAGATGGTCTGGTCTCAGTGGAACCCTGGAGTGTTTTTTAGCTCTATTTTCTTCTGTATATTTTCCTGCATGTTTTTCTCTTTGTGAAGCCTGTCCATAGATTAATGATTCCATTGCCAGGCCCCAGGCCAGGATTCCCAGTCCCAAGAAGTGGCAGGAGAAGGCTCTGGACATTGCGGCTCCAGCATGGCCCAGAGTATGCCCAGGGCTTGGGGACTGGCTGTCACAGGGATTTACGGCTGTTACTAACTGACATCTTGTTTTTGCCAGGGCCAATCAGAGATGCTCAGGCCTGACTGATATACCATTGTTTGCCACCCTGATGTTTCTGGAGCTGAGGCCTGCAGACCCTCACCCCTAAAGGATCGGGGTGTTTTACTGCCTGGCAGGCCAGATGACACAACCTGACTTGTCTAGAGGCTGAACCAGGGGTGCTGGGAGAGAGGGGGGACCTTGCCTTCTCTCGCTTAACATGGGGTGGGAAAAATCCAGCCAGGCAAAAACATATTCCATCTGATCTCTCACTATTCTAAGTATTCAGTCTTTTTTCAGGTTGCTGCCCCCTCCCTGTCCCCTGTCCCCCTCCCTGTGGTTTTTGTGCTTTTAGATTGAAGGGAGCGCAGCTCAGAGCACGAACTTTGCAGTCCCAAAGATTAACGTGCAACTCAACCACTTACTTACTCTATGTGCAGCCACAGGCAAGGTACTTATCCCCTTTGTGCCTCAGTTTCCTTAGCTATAAAGCAGGGAGAAAAAAGAGTGCCTACCTCACAGAATTATTGTGAGGACCAGAGTAATAGACAACAGCTGCAAGGTACTTTCCACAGTGCTGGGCATATAACAAACAAGAGATCATGGACATCATGACCAAGAGCGAGGACTCAGGCCAGACTGCCTGGCTGCAAATCACAGCTCTGCTACCTATGACCTGGGTGACCTGGAGTAAGTCACTTAATGTCTCTGTGTCTCAATTGCCTCATCTGTAAAATGGGGATAATGAAAGTCCTTATTTCACAAGATCATTGCAATGATTAAATGAATTAGCATTTGTAAAGCACTTAGCGTGCCTGGTGCCTAGCAAATATTCAGTACTTGTTAAATTAACTATATAAGTGTTCAAGACATGTTGGCTATTACTTCTATTATGTTTCCATTATTGTTATTATTTATGTAATTTTTTGAGACGAGTCTTGCTCTGTCACCAGGCTGGAGTGCAATGGCATGATCTTGGCTCACTGCAACCTCTGCCTCTCTGGTTCAAGCAATTCTGCCTCAGCCTCCCGACTAGCTGAGATTACAGTCATGCGCGACCATGCCCAGCTAATTTTTCTATTTTTAGTAGAGATGGGGTTTCACTATGTCGGTCAGGATGGTCTTGATCTCCTGACCTCATGATCTGCATGCCTTGGCCTCCCAAAGTGCTGGGATTACAGGCATGAGCCAACACGCCCGGCCTCCATTATTATTAGTAACTTTATATTATGTCCTATAAAGGAGGCAGGACAAATACTCCTATTTCACTCTGCAGATGAAAGGTTATGTGACGGGGGCAGATCCTCAGTTTAGCCCCCACTGTTACTTGAGTAAAGAATTACATCTTCTCCACACTGTCTGTGTGCCCTCAGGTGTTCCTGTTGACAGTTGACCTCTTGCCACTCTACGGCCTGTCCTTTTTTTTTTTTTTTTTTTTTTTTTTTGAGACAGAGTTTTGCTCTTGTTCCCCAGGCTGGAGTGCAGTGGTGCAATCTCGGCTTACTGCAACCTCCACCTCCCAGGTTCAAGAGATTCTCCTGCCTCATCCTCCCGAGTAGCTGCGATTACAGGCATGCACCACCACGCCCAGCTACAGCTAATTTTTTGTAGTTTTAGTAGAGACGAGGGTTCCCCATATTGGCCAGGCTGGTCTCGAACTTCTGACCTCAAGTGATTTACCCCACCTTGGCCTTCCAAAGTGCTGGGATTACAGGCATGAGTCACTGCGCCCGGCCTGTCCTGTCTTTTTGACACCCAAATCTGATCATGCTATTCCCCCTGCTTAAAGCCCCTGATGGGAAGCCTGTACTGTTGGTGGCCTCCAGGAACGTCTCTCCTCCTTGGCAAGGCCCATGAAGCTCTGGACCAATTGGCCCTGGCTGGTCCCACTGACAGTTGCATTCCCTCTATGATCTGCTACACCTCTGGGGCCTGGACAGGCCATTCCCTTTGCCTGGAAGGGCCTTTTGCCTTTTTTCCATCCAGCTCAAGTGTCAGCTCCTCCCTGTACCTACAGGCAGAGTCTGGCTCCCTCCTCTGGGCTTCCATCTGCTTGGCTCCAGTGTTCTATTGCATGGTTCTCATTTGTTTAGGAGATGTTCAACTCCTCCAGCACACTTCCCTGTCCTTGGAGGGCGGGGACCATGTGTCATTTATCTTCGTATTCGCCCCATACTTCTACCTCTTTGAGGCTGAAAGTATACCTGGCATATGTTAAATGCTCAGAGATTGTGACTAGATGAATAATAATGATAATTACGACACTGTCGCCTTGCATCTGTAATGCGCATCATGATTCAAAAGCTCTCACACCTTTGTGTTTTCATCTTGGTCCCAGTCTGGTGCTGACTTGCAGTGCTGTCCTCCATAAGCTAGCTTATCTCCCTGGGCCTCAGTTTCTTTCCCTGTAAATGATCTGTAGTCGCTGTCACCTCGAGGCTCTTATAAAGGTGAAGTGGATGCTTATTTAAGAATGTGTTTGGAATCAAGTTCTAGACATACAGAGGCTGTCATTGTTTTTGCTCATCTTGCCCTTGGACTCCGCAGCTGATCACCTTGCCAGATGGGAAGAGCCACAGGAGAGCATATGCCTGAGGGTGGCTAATAATGTGTATTTTTCTTTGCCCTACATATTTGTGTGATGCCTGATGGTAATGGATAGCTGTAAAGACTCATTATGTCCTGTGTAGCTGCAGGGGTATGCATCTTCCTTCTGTGTTACTGATTGGGAGGCTGAGCCCACAGAGAACCATCCAGGGCACACAGGCAAACCCTGCTGTAAGAAACTCAGTATATGAACATCCGGACCAACAAAAAAGTGGATGGTATTAAAGCAATTTTAAAAAATCATTCTTCATTTGAAGAAGGGATCCACTGGCATTTCTTTAAATAGGAAACCATGGCTGTTTTTAGGTTGAGGAGTTAAAACCTACCTAATAATGAATGTGATGGGCCAAGAAGGGGGAAGGCAGAAAAGCCTAAAGATGTGGTATTAGTTTCCACTCATGGTAAATGAGAAGTGAAGATAAAACACCCCTGAAAAAGTGCATCTCTCTAGAAATAGATCTGGATTTGCAGGCATTCCATTTATGGGCACCTGTTTCAGAAGTAGGTCTGTGGTTATAACAGAGAGATACCCATAACAATCTTCATTTACACAAAGGACTTTTATTCTATAAAGCATTGGTTTGCAAACTTTTGCATTTCTTGAGACAGTAAAATGTCTCTTCCTTCAACCCCCACACCTCCAAAAGGGAAGGGCATTGACATAAAGTTATGTTCTTTTAATTTTACCAAGTAAGAATTTGAGCAATACATTTACTGTCATAATTATTTCATGAACAGAGCATTTTACTTCAATAATTAAATAAGCATTTTTTGAGATCCAGTAGCCCCAAACACTGTGCTAAGTAGTGGCTGTTTAATGGCAGACACGATAGGCATGGCCCCTGCTCTGATGGGACTTAGAGTCGGATGGAGGAGGGGCATGAAACAAGCCAATACATAAGAACACATAGAAAGGGTACTCTGAAGAGAGACACAGAGCTAAGATCAAGGTGAGGGGAGATGGCTTGCCTTTTGGTGGCATGGTCAGGGAAGGACTGTCCTACAAAGATGCAATAAACAGGGACAATGACATTGAGACACAAAGGGAGAGAAGGAGCTGAGTAAGGAAAGGGAAATAAGTGTTCCAGGAAGAGGAAACTGCACTTGCAGAGGCCATGAGGTGGGAAAAGAACTTGATGTGCTCAAGGTCAAAAAGCAGGACAGACACATCTCAGGATACAGAATGGCTCTTTAAATGAAACACATTCAGCTTTATGAAAACTTATGACAGTGAGTGTCTTTCTGTCTTGCTTTCTGCTTTCTTTCCTTGCTTTCCTCCTTCCTTATCTGGCTGTGGCCTCGTGAAAGGTCCTCTTGGCCCAGCACTACAATCCTGTTAAAGAGGTCCTGTGTGGGGAGTATAGACCGTGTGCTGAGGGGAATGGGGAGCTGGAGGTGTAACTCACTGGGTGTCTTCCCTGACTCAGGGGATGATGAGCCTTGAGCCTGTCCAGCCTGTCCTGAAATCTCCTTAGCATTCTTGGAGTCTAATGTCTGTATCCCTCGGAACCAAGGTGGACCTGAGGCATTGGCCACTGGCCTGAGAGTATTAGTCACTTTCATGAATGTGGGTAAGCTGGTTGCAGCCTCATGGTTTGGGTTTTTGGACAAGCAGACAACCACAAGGTGTTTCACCTCTTGGCCTTCAGGTTTCCGGCATCTGCAGGTTCCTCCTTAGGATTTGTTGTTTTCCCTGAAACAGGCTGGAGTTGTTCCCTGGCAGAAAATAAGACTGGGCTGCACAAAGCTTTTCCACAGGCAGGCAGGCAACTCGGAGCTGTGGGTTGAATGCATAACTCATTCACTCACTTACCAAATATTTCTTGAGTGCCAACTGTGTGCAACCGTGTGCATGACGCTGTGCAGCGCACCGCAGGAAGCAGAGGAGTGCCCACCACGAGATGCTCCTGGTCCACACAATGGCATCTTTTGCCTCAAACTCTCCCTATGTATATTGATCTTGTCACCTCTGCTAGGCTTAAGCTCCTTGTGGGAGGAAGCTTCTTGTCTCCTTCTGTTTTGACCCCTTGACACCCCTGATAGGTGCTAGTGAATCTTGAATTATGTCTCTGACTTTTGCAGTCTCAGGGAACTCAGAGTCCTTAAAGATACGGTTGGGTTTTCTTCTTTGACCAATTTTGGCTTCTCCTGTTGGAGGAAATCCCTCCCCTCTTGCTTCCATCTATCCAGTGTCCTTCATTGTCACAGGGTTTCTAAGGAGCAAGAGACTCCTGCTCATCTCTCCCAGAGACTTGGCTTCTTCTGAAATTTTCTACAAGAGTCAGTCTACAGGGTAGTCTATTCTAAGGTGTCAAGTCCCTTTTAAAAACAACATCTGCATGGTAAGGTATAAAGAGGAGATGAGCAGGTAAAGGGGGGATTATCTGTGGGTGGATTCTGAGAGCCCTCTGTCTTCTTTGCACTACACGAACTGCCTTTCTTTGGTGACTCAATTATTTTTGGGGGTGAGGATGGGGTCTGATGGTTTGGGACAGGTTGAGCAGTGTTGGCTGAAGGCAAACTGAAGTCCACAAAGCCTATCTTGATTGCTCTTCTTCCCTTTTCTGCACTCCCCCCATGATGCCTCTCATCTCAAAGCACCCCTGAACTCTCCCTCCTGGATGGAGGCCTAAAAGTCTCTGCTCCCAGTGCTGGGCCCACATTCTCAGCTGAGTCTTTCCTACTAAAATCCTGCTTCAGTTTTCGCTTCCAAGGTGCTTTTGAAACCTACAAGCCCCTCCTTTCTCTCCATTGTCTTTCTGCACTCGTGTGTTACTCACCTTCAATTGAATAGGGGCCCAGGCAGAACTGGAATCCCTGGGATGGTTGTTTCTCCAGCTTTCAAATGTCAAGGCTGGTGCCATGGTGTATTACTTCGTTCTCATGCTGCTATAAAGAACTGCCCTGGGGCCAGGTGCAGTGGCCCATGCCTGTAATCCTAGCCCTTTGGGAGGCCAAGGTGGGCAGATCACTTGAGGTCAGGAGTTCAAGATTAGCCTGGCCAACATGGTGAAACCCTGTGTCTACCAAAAATACAAAAATTAGCCAGGCGTGGTGTCGCATGCTTGTAGTCCTAGCTACTTGGGAGGCTGAGGCACGAGAATCACTTGAACTTAGGAAGCAGAAGTTGCAGAGAGCCAACTTCTGGAGTTCCAGTGCACTCCAGACTGGGAAACAGAGCAAGACTCTGTCAAGAAAGAAAAAGAAAGAAAGAAAAAGAAAGAAAGGAAGAAAAAGAAAGAAAGGAAGAAAGGAAGAAAGGAAGGAAGGAAGGAGAGGGAGAAGAAGAAGAAGAAGGAGAAGGAGAAGAAGAAGAAGAAGAAGAAGGAGAAGGAGAAGAAAAAGAAGAAGAAGAAGAAGAAGAGAAGGAAGGAAGGAAGGAAGGAAGGAAGGAAGGAAGGAAGGAAAGTAGGAAGGAACTTCCCGAGACTGCAGAATTTATAAAGAATAGAGGTTTAATTGACTCACAGTTCAGCATGGCTGGGGAGACCTCAGGAAACTTACAATCATGGCGGAAGAGGAAGCAAATACATCCTTCTTCATGTGGCAGCAGAAAGGAGAAGAATGAGAGCAGAGCGAAGGGAGAAGCCCCTTATAAAACCATCAGATCTTGTGAGAACTCACTATCATGAGAATAGCATGGGGGAACTGCTCCCATGATTCAATTACCTCCTACTGGGTCCTTCCCACCACATGTGGGGATTATGGGTACTACAAGATGAGATGAGATTTGGGTGGGGACACAGCCAAACCATGTCACATGGTGATGCCTCTGCTATCTGAACCTGTCCAAGGTCCCTAAGTGAAAGGATGAGGATCCCATTGTTTGCCTCCCACAACAGGCTAGGCCCAGATGAGGATGATAGAATTACAGTGAAGGAGGAGGAGCCCAGTTCTCCCATTTGCCACCCACAGTACAGCTTCTGTAGCATCCAGGTTTGTGTGTCTGTCAAGTCTGTTTGGACCTATGGGTTAAAGAGCAGCACTTAGATAACAACTGGTTTGTTCTCTCTGTCTGTCTTCTTACCCCCTCTCTCTCAATCAATCATCTATCTCCCTACCCATCACCTATCTTTTTCCATCTATTTATCTATACATGGGCACATGCATGTAAACATAGATAAGTATGTATTTTGGAAAGTTTTACTTGCAAAGGAATCCTACATTGGGTTCCCCCTAAAGCATATGGCATGTCTTGTGCATATCTGCACGTTCCCTGGAGCAAAATACGTTCCTTCTAAGTTCTGTAATCTGTCTTGACTGCAAGAAGAGGATCCTGAGGCTTTTTTCCTAATAGTTTTTGTATTTAATGGTGATGATGATATTTAATTTAGCCCGCCATAGTAGTCTGCAAGGGATGTCCAGACTTTTTCTTCTGCCCCTGTTTTGGGGACTCCTGAGGGTCCCTTACCCACTGGTCTGGCTACTTCCACAAACCGGTCATTAATCTTTGAGCAAATGAGAGTCAAACTGCATAATTGGCCTCATGTGGCTGTTAGCTATGGGCAGAGGACGGGGTAGAGGATGCTCCAGTATCACGGGTCTACTCTCTGGGTAACTGGCATTTGTGCCCCAGCCCCATATTGTACCTCTTGTGGACGTTAAAGGAAAGGCTCCTTTTATATATGAGCAAAGATGGGCCCCCTCAAGAAGCTGGTGGCTGGTTCTATAAGAATCCTTGTAGATACATTGTTTTGGTGAATTTACCAAGGTTCTCAGCTTTGCGGATCAAGACCATGGGTTTATAGCACTCAGCACTATTGACATTTGGGCCGGATAACTTTTCATTGGAGGAGGCTGTCTTACGCATTTTAGGGTGTTTAGTTGCTTCCCTGGCCTCTGCCCACTAAATGTCAATAGCACTTTCCTCTCAGTTGTGACAACCACAAATGTCTTTAGACATTACCAAATGTCCCCTGCAGGGCAAAATTGCCCCCAATTGAGAATCACTAGGTTAGCACATGAGGAAGGCTCCAGCAATTTGGGGAGAGCTAATAATTACCAAATGCTTACTTTTTTTTTTTTTTTTTTTTTTTTGAGACAGAGTCTTGCTCTGTCACCAGGCTGGAGTGCAGTGGCGTGATCTCGGCTCACTGCAATCTCCACCTCCCAGGTTCAAGCGAGTCTCCTGCCTCAGCCTCCTGAGTAGCTGGGATGACAGGCACGCACCACTACACTCAGCTAATTTTTGTATTTTTGTAGAGATGGAGTCTCACCATGTTGGCCAGGATGGTCTTGATCTCCTTACCTAGTGATCGGCCCACCTCGGCCTCCCAAAGTGCTGGGATTATAGGCATGAGCCACTGCGCCCAGCCAAGAACAATTGTTATATAAAGTTGATATACTGGTTCAAGTCAGGAAAATTGTGTGTTATGTCACCTGGGACTCTCGGATAAGTTTGCTAACCTGTTATAGCTCTGGAGGCAAGCTCTGCAGAAAACCCAACTCTATGCTGGAACCAGAGTCACAAAAATAAATTTAGTAATTTCATGGTTTAATCTGGAGCTCCAAGGAACACTAGTTTTGGAGTTATTAATGGTAGTTCCATATAGAAAGAGTTCTTATGGTCAAATGAATTGGGGAAATATTTAATTAAAAACAAACAGATTTCTTTATTTCAGAATTTATCAGAGCCTTTAATATGCTAATATAGGCTAAAAGTCACCTAAAGAATTGACATTCAGTGTTGGCCAAATTTATTAAAACTTGTGGAGTAATTCTTGAGACTTTTCTTCACAATGTAAAGTGTGGAAAAATGGTTTATTAGCAGCAGGTTGAGAAGGCTCGAGGCATCTATCCTTGCCACCTGTGGGCGGTGCTAGGATGGGCACTGTCATCCTGTGCTTGGGGACTTCCCTCTTCTTTGGCACTGTTGGCTGGTCCTGGCTACTCCCCAGCCCTACCCCAGCCTCCGGCTTCTTGGAGATGATGTTAATGTGTTTCATCAGATTGACATCTAATCTAAAGTGATTGCTTTTGCTTATCTCTGCACTGATTCAGCACTGGATTAATCTTACAGTTTTATTCTGAGAGAGCAAACTATGTTTCTTAACTTTTTTTATTCCCCCAATGGGAATATCAGTGGAGGCCCACGTGCTGACATCCTTTGGTTTATATTCCCAGGGTGTCCTGTGGACCACGGGAAGGACTGTTTGGGGCTCCTTCCCTCACTAGGGAAAGCAATGGCGGGCAGTTGGCACTTGGGAAATAGGTACTGAGTGACTGGATGGATAGTGGGTCACATCTGAAAGACAGGACCAGGATTTTATCTAATATGTATTTTGAGGTGTGGCACATCTGAAATCTATGCACATAATACATGCTATGTAGCCGTAAAACACACATGGCATTTGGATATGGCTTGGAAGAAATTTTCTCTCCCCCTTTTACAATCTAGATCAAACAAAATCATAACCCTCCTCCCCACAAAAACAATTAAAATACCCAGACTGGCCAAGTGCCGTGGCTCTTGCCTGTAATCCTAGCACTTTGGGAGGCCAAGGCAGGAGGATCACTTGAGCCCAGGAGTTCGAAGTTACAGTGAGCTATGATCTAGCCACTGCACCTAGTCTGGGTGAGAGAAAAAGACCCTGTCTCCTAAAAACAACAACAACGACAACAACAACAAAATAACAATAGCAACAGAGCTCTCAGACTGTTAGTAGGGAGTTCACAGATGGCTTGTTTGCTGGAGTCCCTTCCCAGTGATCACAGTCCAAGCAGCAGAATCTAAAGTCACACAGAAACAGCATTCCTTGGCTGCATCCTTCTTCTCTGATGGAGCTATGGGCTGCTTGCCAGGGACAGAGAGGGAGGGAGAGGGGCTGGAGGGGTAAGAGGAACTGTAGCAAGGTGCAGTAGGTGAGGGAAACAAGACTTCAAAGCTGGGAGCAGCCACTGTCCCACCCTTCTGGGGAGTTACCATAAAGTGGAGGAGTTGAGATAAAGTGAAGTGAGTGCGCTATCATTTCCACCTATCGGTTGGTAAAAGAACTACCTGGGAGGTTGGCGGGGGCGGTAGGGGTGCCTGGCATTGCTTCTAGGGATTTGAGGGCTCCCCAGTACCTCCCAGGGGTAGCTTGGGGAGTTTTCTGTGAGCGAGTGAGAGGAACAACATGCAGCCTCACAATACTGAAATCATAAAGTTCATGTCTGAGATGGAAATCTGTGACATTTGGGTAGGGAGTCTTAGATATGTCGCTGCCCACCAATGCCAGTAATTCATGGTCACTAAAAGCCAGTATCCCTCTTTGCCCACATTCACTTCCAAATGTTCCCCTGGGAGGGCAGTACTGTCCTCTGGTGAGACCCAAACTTGATGTATTGATGCATGCATTTTTCAGTCATTCACCTAATTATTCATGCAGGTGATAGTTAAGGTCATTTCTGCCTGTCATGGCTGTGAATTTGGAAAGAAGATTGGTCTGCTTCTAATATGCCAGCACTGTGCTTGGGGCTCAAGAGCGTTACTACTTTTAGTTCTCAGAAAAATCCTGAGCTGGCCAGGCACAGTGGCTCACACCTGTAATCCCAGCACTTTGGGAGGCCGAGGTGGGCAGATCACAAGGTCAGGAGTTCGAGACCAGCCTGGCCAATATGGTGAAACCCTGTCTCTACTAAAAGTACAAAAATTAGCCGTGTGTGGTGGCATGCACCTGTAGTCCCAGCTACTTGGGAGGCTGAGGCAAAAGAATCGCTTGAACCTGGGAGGCAGAGGTTGCAGTGAGCTGAGATTGTGCCACTGTACTCCAGCCTGGGCGACACAGCGAGACTCCATCTCAAAAAACAAAACAAAACAAAAAATCCTGAGCTAGGTGCTGTCGGAAGAGCAGGTAATTGCCTGGGTTTCACAGGAAGTCTGCCTGGTCTGCATTTTATAAACAAGGAAACTGAGGCTCTGTAACTTGCCCAAGGTCAGCCTGCTAGTTAAGAGGCAGAGCTAGGATTCAGACCCATTTTCACAGTTCCACATTGCCTTGGGGAAGCAAGACACACCCACAGGGAGAGTTAAATAACAACACAAGTTACATAACCCAGGACAATAGTGCAGGGGATGTCACCAGGCAGTGTCTGATGAAATGCTAGGTGGCATAGAAAAACTAGTTGTCAGGGGAGTGCAGAAGGTGGAATTCTCAGACGGATGGGGCTAGGTCAAGATTTGGTGGAAGACATGGGGGTGGTACCAGATCCTGAATGATAGATAGGGTCTGAGGGACAGAAAAGCAGCATAGTCCCAATTTAGTTTCTCAAAACACATAGATGAGAGTTGACATGGTGGCTCACGCCTGTAATCCCAGCGACTCTGGAGGCTGAGGCTGAGGCAGAAGGATCGCTTGAGACCAGTAGTTAGAGACCACCTGGGCAACAAGCTAAACCCCATCTCCACAAAAAAATTAAAAAATTAGCCAGGCATGGAGGTGTGCACCTGCAGTTCTAGCTACTTGGGAGGTTGAGGCAGGAGGCTTGTTTAAGCCTAGAAGTTCAAAGCTGCAGTGAGCTATGATCATGCCACTGTGCTGCAGCTGCGGTGATGGAGAGAGACCCTGACTCTTAAAAAAAAAAAAAAAAGAAACATAAATGGGATTTGAGCATCTTTCTTTCTTATGAACTACTGCTTTTCAAACTTTTGGGTCTCAAGATCAAAATTTAAGTTATTTAAATTTAAATATTTTAAAATTATTAAAGATTCCAGAGAGTTTCTGTTTATTTGGGGTACACCTATCCATATTTATCACATTAAAATTGAAACAGATACATTTTTAAATTACTTAATTAAAAAATAAGCCCATTGCATGTTAACACAAAGGGCATACTTTTATGAAATAAATGACACTTTCCAAAACAAAAGTCTTAGAGACATTGCACTGTTGTTTATTTTTTGCAAATCTCTTTTTAATTTTTTAATTTAATTTAGTTTTTATTATTCTTTAAGTTCTAGGGTCCATGTGCATCTCTGTGATGCCTGGCTTCATAGGAGTCAGCTGGATTCTTTTATTTGCTTCTGCATTCAGGCTATTGTCTTATCACATGTCATGTAGCCTCTGGACTCTCCTGAGAGTAAGAGAGTGAAAGTGACAAAAAAAGCGTTAGTATTATTGTAAGACTAATTATGACCTTGCATACCAACTGAAAAGGCCGCAGGAACCTCCAGAGGTTCCCAGACCACACTTTGGGAACCACTGCTTACATTTAAACCTAGGCAGAAGAGGATGCTGAACTTGGGCAGAAACTCAGGTCTTGGATCTCCCTTCGGAAATGGGAAGATGAGGAAAAGCAGATAGGTCACCATCCTTTTACTTCCTGGAGCCATTGTGTGGCCCATCTCTCTGCGTCTGAGTGTACTAAGCAGGTGTGATTCAGGAGTGGTGACAGATTTGGCCCATTTCCACTTGGAGTCCTAATCTCACCTTGTATATGTAACAAAAGCACCTCATGGCTTTCTTCATAGAAACCTAGGAATGCATTGTAGTCAGTTAAAAGATAAGTTAACAGGGCTGGGCGTGGTGGCTCACGCCTGTAATCCCAGCTCTTTGGGAGGCCGAGGTGGGCAGATCACTTGAGGTCAGGAGTTTGAGACCAGCCTGGCTAACATAGTGAAATCCTGTCTCTACTAAAAATACAAAAATTAGCCGGGTGTGGTGGAGGGGCACCTTAATCCCAGCTACTTGGGAGGCTGAGGAAGGAGAATCACTTGAACCCAGGAGGCAGACGTTGCAGTGAGCTGAGATCACACCATTGCACTCCAGCCTGGGTGACAGAATGAGACTGTCTCAAAACAACAAAAACAAAAAGATAAGTTAACAGTGTATTTGTTCTCTGTTTGCTAACTGTGGAAAATAGAATATGGGAGGCCACTTCTGCCCTCCTGGGACTTTCAGTCCACATGGTTTACACGTGGTTATTCTTCCCCTAGAGATTCTTGTAGAAAATGCCGTGACTCCTCCCTGTTAAAATATGCAAGGGAGGAGGAGAGGCCCCTATGAGCCAGCATCCAGTTCACATGTGTTTCCAAGGTAGTCATTAGAGGGTGCCTGTAATAAGCCTCAGGAGGCTTCCAGGGCCTGAGGTTGAAGTGTTAATTTTCAACACAGATGTGCTTCTAGGCTCCTGGACATTAGGTTAAGTGTGTCCTGCTTGGAGCTGATCTGGGACGGTGTTGCCCTTTTTTCTAACCTGTTTGCCCTGCTAATAGTCACGATTTACCGTTCCTTCTGCCCAGTGTGGATTCTCTGCTACTCAGGACAGCTCACTGGTTTAACATTCCAATACATGTTCTTTTGTTTTGTTTTGTTTTTTGAGACGGAGTTTCACTCTTTTGCCCAGGCTGGAGTGCAGTGGCGCGATCTCGGCTCACTGCAACCTCCGCCTTCCGGTTTCAAGCGATTCTCCTGCCTCAGCGTCCTGAATAGCTGGGATTATGGGCGCCCACCACCACACCCAGCTAATTTTTGTATTTTTAGTAGAGATAGGGTTTCACCATGTTGTCCAGGCTTGTCTCAAACTCCTGACCTCGTGATCTGCCTGCCTCGGCCTCCCAAAGTGCTGGGATTACAAAGGTGAGCCACTGCAACCAGCCCAATACATGTTCTTTTAATTTGTTCATTCTGTGATGACATAGTCTGTTCTTACATTCTTTGAGGAGACCCTGCTTTCAGCTCTCATTTTGAGCAGCTAGCAGTCTAGAACCTCCACTTTTCACTTCCTGGCTTCAGACTCTGGGCAGTGTGCTGGCATCTTGCTATATGCAGGCACACCTTGTTTTATTGCACTTCGCAGATGTTGTGCTTTTTACAGATTGGAAGTTTGTGGCAAGCCTGTGTCAGTCAAGCCTATGGCACCATTTTTCTAATAGCATATGTTCACTTCATGTCTCTGTGTCACATTTTGGTCATTTCTGCAATATTTCAAACTTTTTGGTACAATTACGTTTGTTTGATGTTACTATTATAACTGTTTTGGAGTGGCGTGAATTGCCCCCATATAAGATGGTGAACTTAATTGATAAATGTTGTGTGTGTCCTTACTGCTCCTCCAACTAGCCATTTCCCTGTCTCTCTCCCTCTCCTTCAGCCTCTCTAATTCTCTGAGACAAAATGATATTGAAATCAGGCCACTTAATAACCCTACAATGACCTCTAAGTGTTCCAGTGAAAGGAAGTCTCAGAGCTCTCACTTGAAATCAAAACTAGAAATGATGAAGCTTAGTGAGGAAGGCATGTTGAAAGCTGAGACAGCTGAAAGCTAGGCCTCTTGCACCAGACGGCCAAGTTGTGAATGCAAAGGAAAAGTTCTTGAAGGAAATTAAAAGTATTGCTCCAGTAAATACACGAATAAGAAAGTGAAACAGCCTTACTGCTGATACAGAGAAAGTTTGAGTGGTCTGGATAGAAGATCAAACCAGCCACAACATTCCCTTAAGCCAAAGCCTACTCCAGAGCAAGGCCCTAACTCTCTTTAATTCTATGAAGGTTGACAGGTAAGGAAGCTGCAGAAGAAAAATTGTAAGCTAGCAGAGGCTAGTTTATGACGTTTAAGGAAAGAAGCCATCTCCATAACATAAAAGTGCAAGGTGAAGCAGCAAGTGCTGATGGAGAAGCTGCAGCAGGTTACCCAGAAGATCTAGCTAAGACCGCTGATGAAGGTGGCTACAATAAACAACAGATTTTCAATGTAGATTAGAAGTTGCTATCTAACACTTTCATAGCTAAAGAGAAATCAATACCTGGCTTCAAAGCTTCAAAGGCCAGCCTGTCTCCCTTATTAGGGGCTAACACAGCTGGTGACTTTAAGTTGAAGCCAGTGCTCATTTACCATTCTTTACATTCTTAAGAATTATGCTGATTCTATTCTGCTCGTGCTCTGTCAATGGAATAACAAAGCCTGGATGATAGCACATCTGTTTACAGCATGGTTTACTGAATATTTTAGCCCACCATTGAGACCTGCTCAGAAAAAGATTTCTTTCAAAATGTTACTGTTCATTGACAGTGCACCTAGTCAACCAGGAGTTCTGATGGAGATGTACAAGGAGATTAATGTTGTTTTCATGCCTGCTAATACAACATCTATTCTACAGCCCATGGATCAAGGAGTAATTTTGACTTTGAAGTCTTATTGTTTAAGAAATACATTTCATAAGGCTTTAGCTGCCATAGATATTGATTTCTCTGATGGATTGGGGCAAAGTCAATTGAAAACCTTCTGGAAAGGATTCACCATTCTAGATGCCATTAAGAACACTCACATCTGTAATCCCAGCACTTTGGGAGACCGAGGCGGGCAGATCACGAGGTCAAGAGATCGAGACCATCCTGGCCAACATGGTGAAATTCCATCTCCACTAAAAATATAAAAATTAGCTGGGCGTGGTGGCACGCACCTGTAGTCCCAGCTACTTGGGAGGCTGAGGCAGGATGATCGCTTGAACCCGGGAGGCGGAGGTTGCAGTGAACCGAGATCACATCACTGTACTCTAGCCTCTTGACAGAGTGAGACTCCATCTCAAAAAAAAAACAAAAAACCGCCACCAACAACAAAAAAACCCACATTCATGATGCATGGGAGGAGGTGAAAATTTCAACATTATCAAAAATTTGGAGGAAGTTAATTCCAGCTCCGTGGATGACTTTGTGGGTTTCAGTACTTCAGCTGGGAAAGTCACTGCAGATGTGGTAGAAATAGCAAGAGAACTAGAATTAGAAATGGAGCCTGGCGATGTGACTGGATTGCTGCAGTCTCTTGACCAAACTTGAACGGATGAGGAGTTGCTTCTTAGGGAAAAACAAAGAAAGTGGTTTCTTGAGATAGAATCTATTCCTGGTGAAGATTCTGTGAATAACGTTGAAATGACAACAAAGGATTTAGAATATTACATTCACTGATAAAGCAGCAGCAAGGTTTGAGAGGATTGACTCCAATTTTGACAGAAAATGCCATCAAACAGTGTCACATGCTACAGAGAAATCTTTTGTGAAAGGAAGAGTCCATTATGTGGCAAACTTCATTGTCTTATTTTAAGAAATTGGCATAGCAATTTCTTGCTGTGGGGTTGCCACAGCCACCCTGACCTTCAGCAATCACTACCCTGATCAGTCAGCAGCTGTCAACATCGAGGCACGATT
Source organism: Homo sapiens (assembly GCF_000001405.40). Taxonomy (NCBI): domain Eukaryota; kingdom Metazoa; phylum Chordata; class Mammalia; order Primates; family Hominidae; genus Homo; species Homo sapiens. The sequence goes on from NC_000002.12 coordinate 45,726,448, forward strand.
CCCCAGCAGCAAAAAGATTACAACGTGTGCTAAAGGCTCAGATGGTCATTAGCATTTTTCTTAGCAATAAAGCACTTTTCAATTAAAGTATGTACATTTTTAGACATAATTACATCGTACACACAATAGACTACATATAGTGTAAACATAAATTTACGTACACTGGGAAACAAAATATTTTTATGACTTGCTTTATTATAGTTATCTGGAACTGAACCTTCAATATCTCTGATGTATACCTGTACTTTTGATTCTCAGGATACATTCTTCTAAAAAATATTGCTGATTTAAGGGGTCAGATATGTCCTGGGAGCCTGTGGCTACTGATCCTATTGCCTCGGTCATCAGCCCTCCTGTTTTCCTAGGTGACATAGAGGGCTTGTAGGGTGGCTGTAGGGTGGTGGAAAAAGAAGCAGAACTGAATTCCAGGGCTGACTTTGCTGCTTGTTAGCTGGGTGACCTTGGGAAAACCACTTAACCTTTCTGGCCCTTACTTTCCTCATGGGAAATAAGATTAAAAATGTATGCGAAGGCTTAATATTGACAAGCTCTATTGAGTTTGAGATTTGACCTTAGAGTTTTTATTAATAGACCTGCCATTTGCTAAGCAAATTTTCTAGATAAAGATGTATACCTGGATGCATGTCATAGTACAGTCCCTGTTTGCCCAAGGTGAAGTTAATTTTATGTGATGGGGCAGAGTTAATCCTTGTTAGGCAAATGATGCAGTCTTCTCCGGAGTAGAAAACTGTGTAGACAAGAACAGCTTACCTACCTCTTAAGGCCATAGTTATTTATTTAGCATAAACCAAATACATGGTGATAAGGGAGATACAGTAAGATCTTTTGGAAGTCTTTTTATGGAAACTGATGTGTATTGAAGGTAGAAGACAAGCAATGGCGGAATGTTGTGTATGTCCAACCAGTGCACAAAAGTGGGAGTGGGTACCTCTAATGGGAGAGATCACTGGGGGCTTCCCGGAGGACGGGGTTCAAACTCTGCCTAAAGGATAAGGATAAGAGGATTTGGACTAGGAGGGAGGGCATTCCAGGTAGCTTAGAGGATTTGACCAAGCTTTTGTACAACATCTGTCATTCCACCCAGATGTTCTGCTGGCCATCATTTGCTCCCTGATGCCTTTAGTTTCTTGCCATTGCATTGGTTGGACTCTGCTTCTTGACTTCACATTGGGGCATGTGTTTTATTTTATTTTATTTTATTTTTAAGACGGAGTCTCGCTCTGTCACCCAGGCTAGAGTGCAGTGGTGCGATCTCGGCTCACTGTAACCGCTGGCTCCTGGGTTCAAGCGATTCTCCCGCTTCAGCCTCCTGAGTAGCTGGGATTACAGGTGCCCGCCACCACACCCAGCTAATTTTTGTATTTTTAGTAGAGACGGGGTTTCACCATGTTGGTCAGGCTGGTCTCAAACTCCTGACCTCGTGATCTGCCTGCCTCGGCCTCCCAAAGTGCTGAGATTACAGACGTGAGCCACCGGGCCCAGCCAGGGCATGTATTTTTACAGTAAACTCTGGGAAGCCAAGATGGAAAATAAAGCCCTTACTGGCTTAAACCAGGCTGAGGGAGATGGTCTCTTGAGTAAACACCATGCCTCGCTTTCTGTTTAAGCGTATCTTTTCTTTTCAAGCCTGCTCCTTCTGTGTAAGTGTATTTTTCAAAGTGTGACTCCACATCCTTTCAGAAAGTCCTTCGTATCCCATCAAGGGAGTAAGGTGATGGGTGAGAAGCTACTCTAAATAAATTAAGGGTAGTATCTGTTTTGGCTTCAAAGGGCAAAGGATCAAGGTTAGGGCAAGTAGAAATTTCTCCCTCTTGATTTTAAGTGAAATTTTTTATTTTTATTTTTATAAGACCCTAATTGCCTGCTTCATACCTAGAAGGCCAGAAACATTCCTGGATGTTGGACTAGCAAGCCAGAGAACAATCTAAGCAATGCCATTTCACTGGCCCCTTCTTCACCAGAACCCTTCCCCCAATAGTCCCATGCCCAAACACACGCACTCTTCACAGTATCCTCTTGTGCATGCTGCTTGCTTTGAGGGTGGTGCAAGTGCTATTGGGTGTCATTTTATATTACAGTTGTAATGCCCACGTGCCGCTGGAATCTTTGTATCTTAGTCACAGACTTCTAGAGTGTCTGAGCTGGAAGGAACCTTCATTCTCAGCCCCTTGTTTTACAGATGGGGAACTGAAAGCCCCCAGGTTGCCTGACTGTAAGTTGAGGTCTGTCTTCACCAGTTCATGGTTTGTTTTCAGTATCTGAGCAATAACAGCTGCTAATTATTGAGGCCCTGTGCTGAGTGCTTTTCATGCATCATGTCACTTATTTTTCATAACAACTGTATGAGGAAGGTATGACCATCATCTCTCCTTTAAGGTTAGAGAGGTTGAGTAATGTGTTTAGAGTTGGGTGTTGGAGCTGGGTGTTAGCAAAGATTTGAACTCAGTATACGGTGGCACTGGGGCACTGGCTCCTAACTGGTAGGCTGTGCTGCACTGTGTTTGCCAAGTGAGGCTGCCTCTATTCCCACTTCTTCCCTCACTTCCCATCGTCTTTCTTTTTCACTGCCCCACCAGGGATCTTGCTCTCAACTTGCCAAGGTAGGATTCCGACCATGGCTACCATGATGACTTGGAAGCCTGGACTCCAAAGGAAGGAGTTCCAAAGCCTTGATCAATGGAACAGAGGCATTGTCCTTGGGACCCGAAGGAGCTGATACCACGTCACTTATACCAGGATCCTTGCTGGTTAATTCACATAGGGCGGTGGAGGACACAGTGCAGTCTCTGTTTGCACTGGCTTATGGGAGACTGAGCAAGATAGAGTAGAGAGAAAGTAGATGAAAGGTGCCATGAAAGCCATCCTCAGCTCAAGCCTGTGTCTTCTTAGCAGGGGTCATTGCATCCTCTTTATTATCAAAGGGTGTGATCCTAATACGCTTATGAGACAGCCAGTGTAGATGTGATATCAAGCCAGCTCGGCCCTCCCTGGAGCCTCCATCATATGCATCTATGTGTCCCCCTTCATTACTTTCCGATTCCTTTTCCCCCTCCTACAGCAATAGCCTGAAGGATATTTTTAGGCCCCAGTGAGGCTGTGATCACTGACCCTTGGCTTCTGAAAATTTTTACACCGTTTTGAAGGGATGTGCATACTCAGGAATACAGCTATTTTTGAATCTGTACTAGAGATTCTAGGCTGTATCCTCCATGGGGGCTTATTTTTTAAGTTTGAGCAGAAAATATTCCAAGGGACATTGGTAGTGTAATGGATGATGAGCCTGTATGCTGATGCTGATTAGGCCAGAGTGGGTCCAGACTGCTCTGGCCATCCTTGACCGGAGGAAGAACTAGTACGTCCACCTTGCCTCAAGGGGAGCAGATCTGTCAATGGCTCAAAGCCTGGAGTGCAGTTCCTACTAGCTCCACCTGGAGTCTTAAAAGAGGAACAGATCAGCATGGAGGAGATCTTTGGGTCCTGGGCATTTTGCATTTTTTAAGGGTATAGAGTCATACTTTTATAGTTCAACAACATTGACAAGAATGGATGTTTTGAGTCCGTTGGTTAACCTTGGATTTGAAAAGAGGAAGAAAAACAGAAACCACACATTAGCAGGGCAGCACTGAGGTTACAGTCATGTTACCATAGACGCCAGGCTTGAAGAGCCGTTTGGGGACAACAGAGCACAACACTGGAAAAATAAATTTTTTAGAGACAGGGTTCCGCTCTGTCACCCAGACTTGAGTGCAGTGGTGCTCACTGTAACCTCAAGTTTTTGGGCTCAAACAACCCTCCCATCTCAGCCTCCTGGGTAGCTAGGATTACAGGTGTGGGCCACCATACCCAGCTAATTTTTTATTTTTTATTTTTGTAGAGATGGAGTCTTGCTGTGTTGCCCAGGCTGGTCTCAAACTCCTGGCCTCAAGTGATCCTCCTACCTTGGCCTCCCAAAGCTCTGGGATTACAACTGTGAGCCACCAGTTGTAATTTTTTTTTTTTTTTTTTTCCCGAGACAGAGTCTCACCCTGTTGCCCAGGCTCGAGTACAGTGGCACAATCTCGGCTCACTGCGACTTCTGCCTCCTGGGTTCAGGCAATTCTTGTGCCTCAGCCACCTTAGTAGGTGGGATTACAGGTGTGCACCACCACACCTGGCTAATTTTTGTATTTTTAGTACAGACAGGGTTTCACCCCATTGGCCAGGCTGGTCTCAAACTCCTGGCCTTAAGCTATCTACCCGCCTCAGCCTCCCAAAGTGCTAGGATTACAGGTGTGAGCTACCATGCCTGGCAAGCACAACATTTTTAATTTTCAAGAGCTACCAGTTTCTTTTCTGTCTCTGAAGAGACACTTCTCCCAAGGAAATTTCCATTAAAAAATTAATTTTGTGTGTCTGCCCGACAGATCATGGGAGACAGAGTGCTGTTATTTGTAAAACATTTTTAAAAATACATTTTTACCTTTATGGAGCAATGATATTCCTGGATTTATCTAAAAGGAAAATCTGACTGGTGTGGAAGAACAAGTGGAAGCTGTTAATGAAAATTTTGAAGTGAAGGAAATAGGAATGTGGGAATAGTGGGAGCCTGGGTGTTCTCTAACCAGGGAGAACTCTCAGGCAGAAAGTGGCTACTGTGGACAGTTTAGAGACTGGTGAGTTTAGGGCCTGTTGATTTCTGTTATTAGTTAGCATTGGCCTTTGTGTTTAGAGAGGAAGATGGTTATTACAGCTAGTGTCAGGAGAGCAAGGGGTGTCTTAATGGAGTTATGCACAGTTTTTGCCTATGACAACTCAGCCTCTTGGGCTCAGAGCATTCACTTAGACAGAGCAGCTCCATTCCTTGTGGTTTTCTGGTCAGTATTTTAGGACCATCAGTTCTGTGGCTCATGCAGGTGTGATGTATAAATGTCTGGCCTGGGAGAGATGCCAAAAAAGAAGTGGGGAGATGGAGTAAAAATCATTTGTCTGGAGGTTTTTCATTTACTGAGTCTCTTCAGGAAACTGGGAGAAGTTGAGTTTCCTTCCTTAATTCTCAAGTTCATTTTAGACATGAGAGAAAGAGACTCAGAGACATTAAGTGTCTTGGATTTTGTAGTTACTAATGGGGAAACCTAAGCCTGAAAACCAAGAATTTTCTGAATTCCTGGAATTTTTTTTTTTTTTTTTTTTTTTTGAGGCAGGGTCTCACTCTGTTGCCCAGGAAGAAGTGCAGTGGTGCAAACATTGCTCCCTGCAGACTTGACCTCCTAGGCTCAAGTGATGCTCCTACCTCAGCCTCCCAAGTAGCTGGGACCATGGGTGTGTGCCACCACACCTGGCTAGAATTTTTTGTAGAGACAAGGTCTCACCGTGTTACCCAGGCTGGTCTTGAACTCCTGGGCTCAAGGTATCCTCCCAAAGTGCTAGGTTTACAGACATGAACCAGTGTACCTGGCCAATTCCTGGAGCTTTTTACTGCTACAGACTGCCATGTGATTCAAATTAGGCTTTCAGAATGACCTCCTACTCCACAGAACTCCATTTTCACTGTCAGCCACAGTCCTAGAAATTCCACCCTTAGAAAGTCTTTCCTGTAAGTTAAACCTTGTTATGAGTAGTTAAAATACAGATGTCCTAGAGAAGGGCCATACCATCTTATCAGTCATGTGAACCTCAGTATAAATGAAATTTATGAGAGCTTTTTTTTGGAACAGACTGTCATTGGAGAGGGAGGAAAGAATATGGGGGCCCTGGACATCCTAGGGCAGGCAAAGGGCTCCATGTCGGGAGGCTAGGGACAGACATGTCTCAGGGACTCAGGTTTTTCTATAGGTGAGCCCTGAATGCCATTTTAAGTACATTCTACCCAGGTTGTTAGTGTTAAAATATTTGGATATGTTGAGGTTCTTCATATGTTAGTATCAACTCACAGGGCAGATTTATGTTTCAGAGTACCTATCATATAACCAGGAGCTTACTAAATAATGAAATACAGTATTATTGGTCATTACCTGTATTAAATAGGTTTATTCATCCATTGATATCCACCTTTTTGAAAAAAGGTTTGAAGTCAGTCTATAATATATATTATATGTTTTACTTATAGCTTACTTTGGGCAGTAGTAGTAGTGGTAACAATAATCATTATAATATCTTAGATGCTGCTTCCTCCAGGAAGTCTTCCCGGATCCTCCAAATCCAGCTACACATAGCTTTCTATGTGCATCTGTAGTGTGTTGCCTGCACCTTCCTCAGCCAGCACCTAACACACTATTTGGTATTTTCCTATTTGTTTATCTGTCTCTTTCACTATCTTTCTCAAATAAGATTCCTCATCTGACCACAGAACAACAACAACAACAAAAAACCGACATGAGTGAACTGTTTTCTGAGTTCTCCTAAAGATGGTACATGATTGGTAATTTTAGATAAACAGGAGAGAAGTTAAATCGTTATAATTAATGGATGTCCTAGATCAAGGGTCGACGACTTTCTTTAAAGGATCAGAGAGTAAATATTTTTAGCTTTGCGGGCCACAGAGTCTCTGCGAAAACAACTTGGCTCTACCATTGTAGTGCAAAAGCAGCCATAGACAATACAAATAAACAAATTTATTTATAAACAAAGGCAGTGACTGAGATTTGGCCCTGGGGCTGCGGTTTACTGGTGATCCCTGTGGCTTAGGGCTTGAGAGTTTACTCCTCTCTCAGAAGCTGGCTGAGGAGGTATCAGACTGACTGCATGTGAGCTTGATGCAGGCAGAGATTCTGACTTGCTTCCCACCTTTCCCCTGGTGGCTGGCCCTGTCCTGGTACACAGTAACTGCTCAACAAATATTAGCTCTTGTTCATTCATTCATTCAACAAGAATTTGTTGAGTGCCTGTTGTGAGCCAGGCATGATTCGAGGAGCTTGGGATATGTGAGCACAGAAAACAGATAAGGTCTCTGTCCTCATGGAGCTCACATTTTAGCAAGGGAAGACAAATAATACGCAAGAAACAGTAAATCATAAATGGTGGGGTATGTGATAAGATGATAAAGGCCACGGAAAAAGAGACATTACTAAGCAAGGTAAGGGGCATTGGAATTCCCTGGGGAGGTGCGGAGTGGCCAGGTTGGGGTGTTATGTGGGCTGGTCAGCACTGGCCTCGTTGAGAGGGTGAGGTTTGAGCAAAGACTTGAAGGAGGTCATGGAGTCAGCCTAGTGGCTGGCCTGAAATGCCCTCTCTCCTCCCTCTCACCGTCTCCACTATCAGCTTTCTTTCTACGCAGCTAAGAGTCTCTCTTCCCCCAAAGTCGTGTAGTAGGAAGCGCTCGGGGCTTCAAGGGACCTGGATTCCAGGCATGGCTCTGCTGGTGACCTCGGTGGGCTCTTTCTGCTCTGCAAGTCATAAGGCCACTTGGGGCCTGCTGGCCCCTGCCTTCTCAGAACAACGATTTTGCTTTGAGCCTGTGCACATGGCATTCATTGTGTAGCAGTTTCATGGGGTGGTCTTAGCTTCAAGGAAAACCTCCTGGAAGGCAGGGGCCATCTCACACTTTTTATATCTGCTGTATAGCAGGTGGCACCATGTGGGCTGCGCAGTTGAGGCTGGGTAATTATGAAGTGCAGTCCAGTGGAAAACATTAAACCCTGGGCTGGGTGCGGTGGCTCACGCCTGTAATCCCAGCACTTTGGGAGTCCGAGGCAGGTGGATCATGAGGTCAATAGATTGAGACCATCCTGGCCAACATGGTGAAACCCCGTCTCTACTAAAAATACAAAAATTAGCTGGGCGTTGTGGCGTGCACCCGTAGTCCTAGCTACTTGGGAGGCTGAGGCAGGAGAATCGCTTGAACCTGGGAGGTGGAGGTTGCAGTGAACAGAGATGGCGCTACTGCACTCCATCCTGGCAATAGAGCAAGACTCCATCTCAGAAAAAAAAAAAAAAAATTAAACTCTGAAATTCAGTTCCATGTCTATAGTTGAGCCTGATTTTACGTAATGCTTGCAGTCCTGAAAGACAGTATACTCATCCATGTAAACGGGGGGGTTGTCTGCGTTAAGTGGTGTGAGCATTGGAAGTTAGCAAATGCCAGTGAGAGAAGCAGCAGCTTGATGGTATGACTGGGAATCTGACAAACACAAAAGGAGATGAGGTTACACAGGTCCGTGTGTTCTCCGCCTTCCTGGAGCAACAGGACTTTTGGCCTGGGCCTCTGTTGTGTGTTAAGAGAACCCTGAGCCTGAGTGTAGGGGTGGATTTTTTGATGCGCAGATCCCCCCTGCAGGCCTGAAGTACTCACTCCCCAACTGCTGGGAGTGTGGGCTGCTGACAGCTTGCAGCTGCGCCCCTCCTCCCCAGGACTATTGCCTCAGCAGAAGAGAAGCCCCTTCCTGAGGGCAGCCCTCATGGAAAGACTGGTTTATGGGAAAGGTCTAGCCTCCTTTCCCCAAAATGAGACAGTTCTCCAAGTCCATCCTCGCTGTAGAGCTCCCCTCGGGATTGCCTAGGACTTTTGTTACAGCTGCGTCGCAGCCCACCTGTTCCCTCTGCCCAGTCCTGCTTCTATCACCCCTTCCACCTAGATTGTTTCTGAGAACAGTCTTCAATAAACCTCCTACATGCTAATCTCCCTCTCAGAGTCACTGGGCCAGGCCAGCATCTGGTGGAAACAGTGGCCTGTGATGTGGGCAGGTCCCTTGGAGCCCTGGGCGCATGATGTGATTGCAACACCACATGTGGTCCATCACCCCTGCAGGCTGGTTTGGTTCCACGCATGGCAAGTCTGCCATATCTCCCACCACTAGAGGTTTCCAGCTTGAGTTAGACATCGTCCTCCTGATGCAGGCTCTCCTTTGGCTCAGAGTCCTCAGAGACTATCACTTCCATATGAACAAATATATCTCGGAACTGTTTAGTTGCAAAAAGGAACAATCAAAGCAGCTGTAAGACAGCTTGTAGTACAGTTTGGGGTCAAGACCATAGACTTTGGGTTTGAATTTTGCCTCCTCCATGGATTAGCTTTGGTCACCATAGGCAAGTCATTTGACTTTTCTGTACCCAGGCTCCATCACCTGTAAAATGGTGGTAATGGTAGCATTCACCTCATAGCATTGTTTTGCAGATTAAGTGAAGTGGTGCCGAGGTGCCTGGCACAGGCCTGTGTGAGTGTTGGCTCTTAGCAGATTTGTGGAAGGGAAAGGAGCTCAGGGAGATGGGAAGTGGCAGGAAAGCAAAGTGTTGGAGGAACCAAAGAGAAAATAACTCTTAGAACATGAACATTTTGTGCACTTGTCTGAAGGTGCACATGGGAATGAATGAGGAAGGCAAGCCGGATCCTTATTCTGGGGAACATAGACGCCAGGCAGGAGGTAAGGATGAGAGGATAAAGGCCAAGGCTTTCATTCTTGAGTTGCGGAGGGTTGTGGAGAAAGGAAATTAATGCTAATTTGACAACTACTATGTGCTAGGCACTGTGCCAAGTCTTCCTATATATTGTCCCATGTATTTTTTACCATCTGACATACACATTTTCTTTTTCTTTTTTTGAGAGAGAGTCTCACCGTCACCCAGGCTGGAGTACAGTGGTGGGATCTCAGCTCACTGCAACATCCGCCTCCTGGGTTTAAGCAATCCTCCCACCTCAGCTACCAGAGTACCTGGGATTACAGGTGTCTGCCACCACACTCAGCTGATTTTTGTATTTTTAGTAGAGACAGGTTTTCACCATGTTGGCTGGGCTGGTCTTGAACTCCTGGCTTCAAGTGATCTACCCACCTCTGCCTCCCAAAGTTTTGGGATTACAGGTGTGAGCCACTGTGCCTGACCGACATACACATTTTTATTCTTATTTCTGAGATGGCAAACTGAGGCTGTGAGAGATTAAGTCACTTGCCCCAGGTCAGAGAGCTATTACATGATAGGCGGGAGTTGGAAGGCTGCTCTGGGTGAGAGCAGGGCTGGTGTTCCTGTGACTAGATCATACTGTCTAAAGCATTTTTCTTCACTACTGTTGTGTGCCAGGGCTTGAAGGGCAGTTGCTTACAGAAAAATCAGTCTATTAGGCAAATTAGACGTGGAGCAGTCACCTCTTCCAGGAAGGCTTTCCTAAGTTCCCCTGCCCTGGAGTCTACTCCTCGCTCTGACTTCCTGACACTGCCTGCCTCTCCATCAACTTTAAAACTCCTCTCACTTTCTACCATGTGTTGTGGTTCGCAGTGGGGCTATCCTCATTCCTCTTACAGTCAAGTTTCTGGAGAACAGGAAGGGCTGAACCTCTTTCCTCTCATTGTCCTGCATGTGCGCCTTCCTTGAGCATCCTCCAGTAGATGTGAAGGACATTTCTGTGGGAAGAATTTATGGATAGGAACACTAGGCAGTGATGGTAAGCGACTGTGGATTCTGCATCCTCAGAGGCTTCAGAAGTCTGATGGAGGTAAGGATCATTTTGGTTTAAGGTGATCAGGGGAGACTTCACTGAGTGGATAAAGCCCAAATCCCAGTCCCAGAAAATGGGAATGACTGGGGGAATGAGCAGATGGAAGAGGGGCCCGGCCATGCTGAAAGGGAGCTGCCGCCTTCAGGAGATGGACGGTCGTCGGTCATCGTGCATCTCTCTGCCTGTGTGCTGTCAGGCCCCACACCTGGCCACCGGCATCTCCCCTGCAGCATGGGGTTGGGGGCTGGACGACTCTCTCCAAGGAAGTGTGGTTATGCTAGCCTTGCCAACTTGAGACCAAATGTTTCTCCCACGCAGCTGTCTTCAAAATGAAATCCTGAGAAGGAGGTGGGTGAGCGAGCGAGCAAGCATGAATTACCCTTGGCCCACGTCTTGGCTCACTTACAGATTCCTCTCATCTTCTGGATAAATCAGGAACTCCCAAACACTCTTCAAGGAGTCATCCCTCACTCCCCACCCTGCCTGAAGCCAGGCGGAATCAGGCCTGCCAGTCCTGGAACACGCTGTGCTCTTCTTCGGAGCACTCAGACATCCACTACCTGTCCAGCCTTTGTGCGGGTGGGAACAGTGTCCCCATTCACGAAGCGGGAGACCCGGAGTGGGGCTGATTTGCCAACGGCCCGGGGCTCCTCCTCGCAACTGCCCAGCGGAGGACCTCTCGGCTCCTTTTCTGCCTCTTTCCAGGTGTATCCTCTCGCCTGTGATGTGTAGATGTTCCCCAAGCGTCTGCCCTACCTGGCCCCCTTCTCCCCTGGAGCCTTAAGACACAGAATGTCAGGGTGGAGTCAGGTCCAATCACATGCTCTCTGCATGTCCCCTTGCCCTCAGGTGTGCTCTCCTTGCTCTGTCCACAGAGCTTGTCTTGCCCGGGGCCCTCCCTCACCTCCACCTGGGGCCTAAGACTCACCCCCTCTGCTGACTTGCGTACATTGCCAAGTGCTTCTTGGACATTTCAACCTGGACATCGCCCCAAGTTCAACAAAACCAGGAACAAATTTACATCCCTCCCCCAACCTTAGCACCCCTTCCTGATTATACAGCACCTCCATTCTTCCATCTCCCTGGCTTGAACCCTTTGTTTCATTCCTTTTCCCCATGTGCTCAACACCTCCTGGCAGGTCCTGACAGCCTCCTATGCCAGCGTCCTCCTCTCCACAGTCCTGCTGCAGGCGACGCAAACCTTTTGTCTGGGCTCTTGGAATTTTCTCCTAACTGGCCTCCCTGCTGCCAATCTCTCCCACCTCTAGCTTCATCCTGCAACTATTACCAGATTTACAGTTTTAATTATGTTAATTAAAATCATTAATTAACATAGTTTTAATGATGTTATTTTTCAGGGTTTTCTCTTTGCTTTAGCATTAAGCAATGACTTCTTGCATAGCAACTAGAGCCTTTTATGGCATTTACCCAGTCTTTCTGACTTAATTTCTTTACACCTGTAGATAAAGTACACTTCAGCCAGAAGAGCTGATTTGCTGTTTTCTTCTTAAGCTGTGTATTTCCTTCCTCTCTGCCTTTGCTCATGCCTTGCCTTCCCCGAAATGCCCTTCCTCCTCTCCTCCACTGTTTGAAATCCCACTGTTTTCAGATAACCTGTCTTCAAGGGTCTTTTTCTGATTTTTGCAACCAGACGTGTTTTCTCTTTCTTTTGGATTGCCTTTATGATGGAGATTATATCTTGTCATTCTTTATATAACCACAGATCTTAGCCTTGTACGTTGTTCTCAGTATTGGCTGAATTGTACTGAATTTGAGCATCTTGGGAAGGATCAGTGTGAGTTTCTATGAGGGCCTAAGGTGTGAATAACTCTGAGATGTTTGATTGTCATATATGGCCTAAGTGTTTTGCTTTTAACCTTACAGTTATTGGGCATTAAGATATGACAGCTCTTAAAAGTACAGGATTGGAAAGCATGTTTCTAGAGACTGAAATAGATGAATTTTAATATCCAACAGCTATGTAGTTTTTACACGGCTCAATCACAGCTGTTATTTCGTGATCTTCACCACACTTCAAAGTAATAGGTAGTTCATGCATTATTTTTATTAAGCAAATTAAGGGGCAGTGTTGGTTCATGTACCAGTCCAAGGATAGATGGAAGCAAAGTGGGATGACAGTGCTCATATGAAGTCATCATATTGCTGTCATTGTCCCTCCAGGCTGCTGTCTTCTGGCTGGCTGTATTCTCAGACAAGATCTTCCCAAGTGGTGGCACAAATGGCCACCAGCCTCTCCAGGCTTAAATTCAACTATTAATATTTTAGGAACCTACAGAATGATACGAGAGGGTATCTCTCCTGGTAGCTTTAGCAGAAGTCACTGGGAAGGCCCGTCTTTGGTCCACTGCTGTGGCTGGGTCTGGACATCATTGGACAGAGGAGAAAATTATGAGCCTTGGAAAAGCTAAGTGACTTTTCTAAGATCACACAGAAGACTGAAGTGCCTGTCTTGTGACCAAGAGTGTCCCTGTGTGAGCCCTTTTTTGAGTTTAGGGGCAGCTGTTGACTCAGTCGCAAAGGGAACAGATTGTATATTTGGGGTTTCAACTTTCCTTTTTCTGTACCCTTTTACAGCCTGCAGAGGACTCAGCTAATTCTGAAGACTCATCTAATGTCCAGTCTCTTAAAATTCTGTTTCCTCCCTTCCTTTTTAAAAACCTGACGTTTATATAAAAAAAATTATGTTCAGTGAAAGAAGCCAGACTGAAAAGGCTATATACTGTATTATCTCATGTATGTGGCTCTCTGGAGAAGACAAAATTCTAGGGTTAGGAAATAGATCAATGGCTGCCAGGAGTGGGGTGGGGGTACAAGATTGAGTACAAAGGGGCCCAGGGAATTTTTTGAGGCATGAACTGTTTAGATCTTGATGGTGGTGGTGGTTACAAGACTGTATATATTTGTCAAAATCCACAGAACTCTACACTAAAAAGGGAAAATTTCACAGTATGTAAATTATACTTGAATAAAAACAACAAAAAACCTTAAATCCTCTTTAGGCCTGTTTGACAATGGGATTTGCATCTTAATGAGCATCAATACTGTAGCTGTGATGAACTAAGTAGCTTTGAGATACACCATAATCTAATATCAAGAACAAGAAACCACAAAGTGTTAGATTCATTCAAGAATAATTGGCTGTCAGCCAGGCATGGTGGCTTGTGCCTATAGCCCCAACTACCTGGGAGGCTGAGGCTGGGGGATCACTTGAGCCCAGGAGTTTAAGACCAGCCTGGGCAACATGAGACCCCATCTCAAAAAAAAAAAAAGGACTTATTCACTGGAAAATGAACAAGTTGTCCCTGAACTGAGTAAACCAGTGGCCCTTATGCTGCTGCCACTATCTGACTGGAGCAGTGAAGCTGTGCCCCTAACTCTCCTTCCTTGGGCTTAGTCAGGAGTCCCTAGGGAATGTGGGAATCTGGGATGGAGGCAGAGGGCTTAGGGCAATATTCAGGAGGAAGCATCATTATCTCCACTCCAATTCTGTAGCAAGAATGATCCTTCCTAGCCAGTTGATAGGCTGGAAGGGGAGAGGAAAAGTCTGGCATTCAGGGTTCAGCATTGTTTCTCCTTTATGCTCTTTCCCCCTCACTCCTCTCCCTCCCCAACCACCTGACACGTTCTTTAGGCCCCACTTGGACGCACCCTTCCCCCTGCCCATTGCAAGCCCTCCTCAAACAGAGCATCCTCAGCTCCAGGAATCTCCCCAGGGGCCTGACTTTTCAGTCTTTTCCATTCCAGTTTTTGTATTCCCCATTCTCTCAAACTCCTCCCTAGTTACTTCTAGCTCATCTCATTACAATCTGAGCATTTTCCTTTTTCATTCATGTCTGGTTATTCACTTCGAACACTACACTCCCAAATGTTTCAGTCTCTCCCTGCCTCATTCTGATTCTACCTGGGTTCATCTCAGACCACAGTTGTTTGAAAGTGCAGTATTACAAGGAGATACTGTATAACATGCAGATTACAGAGTGGTTTGTGAAGTTTTAGTAGCCTTCTGCTCAGTGAAAGTCTTTACTGACATGGAGGTAATAAATACTTTCCATTGTAGATATTACATTTTCTGATATAAAACATCTGATGAAAAAATCTCTCTATATAAGATGCAAACACTTTTATTTTTTCTGAAATGATCTTTTTGTGAAAAAATTAAAAAGGTTGCTCACCAGTTGCTAAAATTAAATGCGGAAATTTCCTTAGTGGAATTGATACATTTGAATGCTGGCTTCGGGGATCCCAAATGTGATTGCTTCTATCGGTGCCTGTAAAGGAGTCTGTAATTATGGAAGCAGTCTTAGGCTGTAGGTAAGATCTGGAGCCAGGGTGGACCTTTGTATGTTCAGCAATGAGGGGATATTTTTGATGAGCTGGAATATCCAATTGAACAGCTGTAACAAAGTTTCTGAGAATCTTTTCCTCATGGTTGTTTATAGTTTGCTTCCAGCACACCCAGATCTGACACTTTCTGGCCTTAAAGTTGCATAAAACACCCTGTCAGTTGTAGGCAGTAAGACAGGGTCTTGGGCCGACTGGGGACAAATATCAGAATCTTCCTGGGGCCAGTAGCACCAGAATGGGGCCTGGCAGACAGAGAGCCAAGGTTCTTCTGGGAGAAACCAGCAATGCTCTGGTGGAACGAGGTCTGTTCTCCACGTCTGACACGGTCCTCAGCCAGTTTCTACCAATCAGATTGGAGCCTTTGCCGGCTCAGCCTGGCAGATGGGCATGTGCACGTTTTGGGCATGTGCAAGTTTTGGGCCTGTGCCCAGGCTGTAAGGTACTGCTGACAGGCTGCGGGCTGTGGTCTTGGAAGGGAAGGTTCAAGGGGTGGTGCAAGGCTAGTACAGCCTGTGCTGGATTACCCAGGAAAGCTGCCAGCATGACCACTGGGTGACCAGAGAAGCTCAACAGGTCTTCTCTGTTCCAGCACAGTCCTCTCAGTGGGCATGTGGAGAGCTACCAGAAGGCCATGGGTTACCCAGGGTCTCTCCTTTAAAGAGGGCGGAAGTCCCCTGTAATGCTTGTTACCTGGTCAGCCTGAGGGCACTTGACTGTGTGTCCTATGCTGCAAGGGATGTAGGAAGGCAGGCTGTGGTTAGAGTGTGGGCTTTCTGTGTTCTTGCTTCCAGGTGCTCTCCATCTCATTCTTGGGAATTTCTCGGATATCACACGAAAAGCACAGGCAACAAAAGCAAAAATAACAAGTGGGACTATGTCAAACTAAAAAGCTTCTGCACGGCAAAGAAAACAATCAACAAAACGAAAAGGAAACCCACAGAATGGGAGAAAATATTTGCAAACCATATATCCAATAAGGGTAACTATCCAAAATATATAAGGAACTTACATAACTCAATAGAAAAAAAAACACCACACAACTGGATTAAAACCTGTGCAAAAGGTGGCTTGCACCTATAATTCCAGCTACTTGGGAGGCTGAGGCAGGAGGATTGCTTGAGCCCAGGATTTCAAGGCTGCGATGAGCTATGATCATGCCACTGTACTCCAGCCTGGGTGACAGAGAACCTATCTCTAAAAAGAAAAAAAAAAAAACTAGGCAAAAGTCTTGAATGTACATTTTTCCAAAGAAGACAGACATATACCAACAGGTATATGAAAGGGTGTTCCACATCACTAATCATCAGAGAAATGCAAATCAAAGCCACAATGAGCTATCACCTCACACCTGTAAGAATCAGTATTATCAAAAAGATAATACTGCATGTTGGTGAGGATGTGGAGATAACATGTTGGTGAGGATGTGGAGAAAAAGGAATCCCTTTACATTGTTGGTGATAATGTAAGTTGGTACAACCATTATGAAAGACAGTATGGAGGTTCCTTTAAAAATCAGAGAATGACCTTATGATCCAGCAATCGCACTTCTGGGTGTGTATCCAAAGGAAATAAAATCACTGTCTCAAAGAGAAATCTGCACTTTCGTGTTCACTGCAGCATTATTTACAGTAGCCAAGATATGGAAACAACCTAAGTGTCTGTTGACAGATGGAAGGATTTTAAAAATGGAATATTATTCAGCCTTAAAGCAGAAGCAAATCCTGCCATTTGCAACAACATGGCTGAACCCTGAGGATATTAGGCTAAATGAAATAAGCCAGTCATAGAAAAATAAATATTGCATGATCTCATTTATATGTGGAATCAAAACAAGTCAGACTCAGAATAGAATGGTGGTTGCCAGGGGCTGGGTGGGGAGTGAGGGTAATGGGGAGATGTTGGTCAAAGGGCACAAACTTTCAATTATAAGATGAATAAGTTCTGGAAACCTAATGTACAGCATAATGACTGCAGTTAATAATAATGTGTTGTATTCTTGAAATTTGCCAAGAGGGTGGATCTTAACTATACTCACCATACAAAAAAGTAGGTGAGGTGAATATGATAATTAGCTTGATTGTGGTAATTACTTCACAATGTGCACTTATATCAAAACATCGCGGTGTACACCTTGAATGTAAACACTTTTTGTCAATTATACCTCAATAAAGTTGAAGAAAAATAGCCAGGAGCCACCTGATGGAAGTCTTTCTCTCCAGCTATTTCCCACCCCTCACCGAGAGAGGCCCAGGAGCTTTCGAGAGTAGACTTGATGCTTTTTTGCCTTTGAAGTTGCTCCGGAGAAAGGAACCAGGGGGAGCTGATGTAGGAAGTTAGCTCATCCCTTCCCACTGAGCCAACTCTGGTTTATCTTTCAGATCCCGCCCTGCCTGGCCACATCTGTGTACATTTACTTATTCCTCACATCCGTATTGTGGGCGTGGGTATCTTTTCCCCCGACTGCTTCTTTCAAAACCTTGCCCTAAGCAGGAGGTTTTTAAGACTGTGTTTAGTCCAGATACTTTGAGCCAACACATCCACATTAGCAGACTCCACAGAGAGCTTGATTCCGGCTCTGGTTCCTACAGATGTTCTGTTGGCTCTTGGGCCCTAGAAATAGGAAACTGGCCTGGTCAGAGATGGCCCAAGCACCAGCATGACCTCATCCCCAGGCCTGGTGAAGGGCGAACAGACCTGAGTGTACAGGAAGGAGCCTGCCTCCCGGGAGCTAAGTAGATTGTAGATTTGGCCGTTGTGTGTTTTTTTTTTTTTTTTCCAGATAATGCATCTAATAAAAATGATGTATGGGAGAAAGGCAGAGAGTACTGGGTTCAAATCCTGGACCACCACAAGCTGAGTAACTTTGTCTTTCTTGCTTGATGTTTCTGAGCTTAGTGTCCTTGTCAAATGGGAATAATAACACCAACCCTGTTGTTTGTCATGAGACATAATAGATACAATATGCGTAATATTCGTAGCTCAGGCACAGGAAGCCAGGAAGCTCTCAATCAATGGTAGTGGATGTTATTAGGACTATCAAGTAGAGTGTGTGTAGGTATTGTTTTCCAAAAAATTTCCTAGAGAAGGCAATGTTTTTCTCCGAATTCTGGCCACACATCAGAATCACATAAAGTAACTTTAAAAACCCAGTTGCCTGGTCTTTCTCTCTTTCTTTTCTTTTCTTTCTTTCTTTCTTTCTTTCTTTCTTTCTTTCTTTCTTTCTTTCTTTCTTTCTTTCTTTCTTTCTTTCTTTTTCTTTCTTTCTTTTCTTTCTTTCTTTCTTTCTTTCTTTTTCTTTCCTTCTTTCTTTCTTTCTTCCTTCCTTCCTTCCTTCCTTCCTTTCTTTTTCTTTCTTTCTTTCCTCCTTACTTCCTTCCTTTCTTTCTTTTGGAGACAGAGTCTCGCTGTGTCACCCAGGCTGGAGTGCAGTGGTGCCGTCTCCGGCTCACTGCAACCTCCGTCTCCAGAGCTCAAGCGATTCTCCTTCCTCAGCCTCCTAGATAGCTGGGACCACAGGTGTGCACCACCATGCCTGGCTAATTTTTGTATTTTGAATAGAGACAGGGTTTCACCATGTTGCCCAGGCTGATCTCAAACTCCTGGCCTCAAGTGATCCACCTGCCTTGGCCTCCCAAAGTGCTGGGATTATAGGCGTGAGCCACCGCACCCAGCCATTTGCCTAGTTTTTCAATCCTGGCGATTCTGATTTGTGAGTCTCTTGTGGTGCTCTGAAATCTGTATTTTTCCAAGTGCTCCAGATGACTCTGATATGCCCTCTGCTTTAACCCAAAGGAATGAACAGCCCTGAGTAGAATTTTAGACAATTGCTTGGGGTGCTATGGGGAGGCAGGGAGTGAGGGGAGTTTGAAGGGACAGGGAAGGCTGTTTTCTGGGGACTCTGAGATCAATTCCATCTTACAATTGTCCCTGTCTGTCATGCGGGTCCTGCAAACCATTCAATTCTGTGTATTCCCCTCCTTCCTGCAGCGACTGAGACAGATGGTGGTGGAGAGCAAGTGCCTGGTGGGGAGAGGAGGCCCGGGACACAGATACCTTAGTCTCACTGCCCTGACAGGCCCACCCCAACTTTCCCTGCAGTGCCTCCAGAACTTTGCCTGGAACTTAGTCACCCTGGGGAGGCTTCTTTCCCTATCTGCTCTGTTGTGCTTCGCTTTCTCATCCCTGTTCTCAACAACATTTCGTCCCCTCTGCCCCACCCACATCACTCGCTCTGCCCTTGGGAGACCTGATCTCTACCTGGCTGTCATTCCAGGAAGCTTGCTTTCTTGTTGAAACGAAAGCATGTGGAGGTTTTGCTTCTCTGTGTTTATGGTCTGCACAGATAACCACTCCCAAATGGAGCTGGGTATGGGGTGTTAAAAAAATTATAACTTTACTTTTAATCCCAGTTAATTTGGCATCTGGCGGCTAATGAGATGCCTGGGAGGTGGAGAGTTGGGCCCTGACTAGCCTAAGGGAGACCACCGATAGGGATAATACGTGTGGACCAGCCCCTGAGTGTGTCCTCAGTATCTGAACAGTGGTGAGGTGGGGAAAGCAGACAATATCAGCGTTCCAGTTTCTGTATTTCAGTTTGTTCAGCATCGAATTTCTTTTCCACCGTAGTTGAATTCTTTCTAGCCCTGGGTCACTGCACTAATTTAAATGGATGGCCTAATAGGTCATTATAGATGTCGTCACAAGCCTCTGGACTTTTACCATGCTAAGATGTTTTTTCTTTTTTTGTAAATTAGCTTGTTAATTATCACACGCCTACAAGTGATAGCCAAAAGAAATCAGACAGTGGAACTGAAGGAAGTTAGGCAGCAATCCTAAGTATCTGTCTCTGCTTTCCGAGATGTTCCTTCCCCTCCTTTTCCCTGCCCCTTCCCTCCTTCGTTGTTTTGCTTTCTTTCAGTTTTCATTTGTATTTGTAGGGAAAGCTATCAGCTATATTCAGTCCCATACCTTTAAATGATTCCTATATATTGATAATTATGGAATTTTCACTTCTGTCCAAATCACTCCTCTAAACCTCAGAGGTATATCCAACTCTCTGGGTATCTAATAGGCTTCTCACACCTCAGATGTCCAAAACCAAACTCGGTTTTCCTTCCCAAATCTGCTCCTCCTGCAGCCTTTCTGGTCCTCACTGTTGAGAAGGGCACCTGGCCCATAGTGGGTGCTCAAAATATATTTACAGAATGAATGAAGACTAAGAAATGGAAACATTTATACCTTCATGCTTGGAGTTAGGAGTGTATCCATTCCCTATTCTGTAGCTGATCAGCTGTGTGTCACCAGATGACTTGGTTTCTTTGTCTTCCTAAGTTTCTACCTCACTGAAATGTGGATAGTGCTACTTATTCTTTGATGGTTTGTGCCAGGACAAGGTATTATATCATTGCCCGTAATATTCTCCGTATTTTCAGTGTCCCGCCTTTCCCACAGCATCCCATGGACATTATACAAGACTTTTGTGGCTGGCTTGTTTTACTTAGCATAATTTTACCCAGCTTTCATTCAAGACTGCTTGACACATCCCTATCCTGCCTACCCAAATGATTTCCCAGCATGCTTCTTCTCTCCAAGGACACAGACTTCCTTATCGTCTCAGGAACATGTCATTGCATTCCTGCCCTTCAGTCTCCTCTCCTTATCCCAGGCCTGGATGCCCTCCTTTGTCCTCATACCTGTCTAGCCTCTTGCTACCTTTCAAGCCTCAGTCCCCGCCACCTCTGCAGTGTCCCACCACTGTGCAACTGAACTGATGACACGCTTCTCTGATTGCTCCACTACTGAGACACACTGGATTTTACCCTGCCTCCTTTTGCGTGCGCTCATCTCATTTTCTCAGAGATTATAACCTCTTGAGGCCAAGGCATTTGTTTCTCATTCTCTTGCATCTCCACAGTATGTAATATGAAACAACTGGGTATTTTTTTTGCAAATTAAAAAAATTGTGGTAAAATACACATGACACATGGCATAAAATTTATCATTGTAACCATTCTTAAGTTTATACTTCAGTGGCTTTAAGTGAGTTTGCATTTTTGTACATGCACTCTCCAGAACTCTTTTACCTTGCAAATCTGAAACCCAGTACCTATTAAACACTAACTTCCCATTTTCCCCTGCCCACATCCCCTGGAAGCCACTCTTCTACTTTCTGTCTCTATGAAGTGCACTACTCTAGCTACCTCACATAAGTGGGATTATACAGTATTTGTCCTTTTGTGACTGGCTTGTTTTACTTAGCATAATGTCCTCAGGGTTCATCTGTGTTGTAGCATATGTCAGAACTGCCCTCCTTTTTTAAGGCTGAGTAATATTCCATTGTATGGACATACCACATGTGGTTTTTCTAATCCATTGATGGATGCTTGGACTGTTTTCCCCTTTTGGCTATTGAATAATGATGCAATGAACATGGGTATACAACTATCTCTTTGAGACCCTGCTTCAGTTCTTTTGGGTACATACTAGAAGCAGAATTGCTAGGTGATATAGTAATTCTATTTTTAATTTTTTAAGAAACCCTCTTACTGTTTTTCATAGCAGCTGCACCATTTTACATTCCCACTGACAATGCACAAGGGTTCTAATTTCTCCACATCCTCACCAACACTTAGTCTTCTTTTTTTTTTCTTTTTGGATAGTAACCACCATTTTCATTTCTCTAATGAGCAATGTT
This sequence comes from Homo sapiens, assembly GCF_000001405.40. Classification (NCBI taxonomy): domain Eukaryota; kingdom Metazoa; phylum Chordata; class Mammalia; order Primates; family Hominidae; genus Homo; species Homo sapiens. Next base: position 45,747,930 of record NC_000002.12, read on the forward strand.
GAGCATCTTTTCATGTGCTTACTGGCCACCTGTATATCTTCTTTGGAGAAATGTCTGTTCAAGTCCTTTGCCCATACTTACATCTGGTTTTGCTGTTGTTATTAAGTTATAGGGGTTCTTTGTATATTCTAGATATTAACTCCTTATCAGGTATCTGATGTGCAACAATTAGGTGCTTTTGGGAGGGAACACATTGACAACCATTGGTTATTATAGGAGTCCACATCTGAAGGCAGGCATGTGAAAGAACTTTAAAAATCCATGGATATATGCCAGGCATCATCTCATGCAAAGCGCACAACTACCCTGTAAGATATGTGGCATCATTTTCATTTTGCAGGTGAGGAAATTGAGGCTCAGAGAAGTCCAATAATTTACTAAGCATTCCCCAGTCTAGTAAGAGTGGCAGAAGCAGGATGTGACGTCAAGCCTGCCTGACTCCCCACGTTGCCTCCTGCATCTTCAGGCTGCGTGAGAGAGCGCAAGCAAGCTTCACACATGTGTTGCTCATCACTCTTCTTCTCTGGATTTCATTAAAGAAACGCCTGTGCCTGGCAAGCAGGCCGCTGCCAGCATCCCTGACTCTGCAAAATGTGATCCTTCTGCACGTTTAGATCTCGGTATGACTCAAATACCTAATGTCCCTTTACCCAGCCTTCAATGGGAGGGCAGATACTCTGGCTTTTTGGATCTCTTATCTCTACCCTTCAGTCTCTAGTTTGGGTCTTCTCGGAGCTGGTCACACACATCAGTCACTTCAACAGGAAGCTTTGGAGAGGCAAGGATTTGTGTTGGATTCAGGGGGAAGGGATGATGCTCCTGCCCTGAAGGAGTAGCCCCTACAGGTGCTAGACTAGGTGGCGAATGCACCTGAGAGCAATGAGAGATGTTGTGCCTTTGAAAACCAAGTAAACAGTACAGTGCAGGCTATCAGGACTTCAAAAACAGAGAGGGAACAGGATTTTTTTTTTTTTTTCTCAGACTGAGTCTTGCTGTGTAGCCCAGGCTGGAGTACAGTGGTGTGATCTTGGCTCACTGCAACCTCTGCCTCTTGGGTTCAAGCAATTCTCCTGCCTCAGCCTCCTAAGTAGCTGGAATTATAGGCATGCACCACCATGCCCAGCTAATTTTTGTATTTTTAGTAGAGACGGGGTTTCACCATATTGACCAGGCTGGTCTAGAACTCCCGGCTTCAAGTGATCTGCTCACCTCAGCTTCTCAAAGTGCTTGGATTACAAGCGTGAGCTGAGTCCCTGACCTGGGAACAGGATTTTAATGGGTTCTTGAACCATCTTCCCTGATCCACCATGGGTATGTGCTCAGAAAAGCCAATCTATTTAATATTAGGCAGAGCAAAACCTATTTAGGAAGAATAAATGCTATAAGCAAATTCTGTAGTGCAGCCCATAGCTGAGAGATGTGATCTTCAGCTCATACGTTATTCTAGCTCCTGGGCCTCAGTTTACTTGGGAATTGAAAGAGCATCATTGGCATGTGGTTTGCAGCTCATGGGTGCAGTTCTGCTACAGGACACAGCCCAATCTCTTGGATGGATGAATGTCTGACATAAACTAAGAGAAGTTATTGTAAGAGGGCTTCACCAGCCTCAAAGAGAATTCACAGTACTAAATATGAAATGACAATCATACAATGTGGATTGCATGATTTTAATGTTATAGCACACATAATGAAAATTAGTGATAAGCATGTTATGAACAGTGTCTCATTTAATTTTTGAAAGAATGCTATGAAGTGTAGGTACTATGATTAGTGAGGCAAAGTGAATTCTCCAGAGTTTCACAGCTGGTAGATGATGGAACCAGAATTGAACATGAGTCTGCTTGGTTTCTAAAGTCTTTGCTCTCAAATGCTGCACTAAACCCCCTGTTCATTACAGCTGCTACAGGAAGACAGGACATAGGTTGATAAACTAAAGTATAAATGCCACTTATCCTGGCTCACACATAACATTCTTCCAGAGGTATTTAGAGGAGTCAAGAACTGCATAAAAGGATAAGGCCTTTTGGGGGGAGAACATATATTCTGTATTAAAAAAATCTTCACTTGTCTGCAGCCTGTGTTCTTTCTTCATGGTTGATTTTTCTAGGCTCTTAAGCACAAGTGGTGAATAATGTATCATCTTCATCTCCTTTGTTCTACACCCAAAGGGTTGGTGCATCCTGTTAGGGTTTTTAAAAAATTATGGTGAAGTACATATAACATAAAATGTACCGTTAGTGAAAATATCGCTAATGTACATTCACAGTGTTGTGCAACCATCACTACTATCTATTGCCAGAATATTTTTATCACCCCAAAAGGAAACCCTGTACTCATTGAGCAGTCACTCTCTGTTCCTCCCTCCCCCAGCCCCTGGGAAAAATTATTCTGCTTTCTCTCTCTCAGGATTTTCTGGCTCTGGGTATTTTATATAGATGGAATAATACAAGATGTGGCCTTGTGTGTGTGTCCTGTTGATTTAAGCACTTATAGTTCCTCCTTCCCATACCAAAATTTGCGGTCCCATTGCCTTGGTGTAGAGCTGTGCCCCTGCATAGGGAACTGAGTCCCAAGGTGGGTATTGGTTTGGGATCAGAGAGACTGCACCGGGCTGATGCCCAGACAAGTTATGTGACTTCTCTGAGTCTGTCAAGGTTGTTGCAAGGATTAAGTGAAATGATGTCAACTTCCTTGTTTTTGAACTTGGGCAAATTATTTAATACTGCTATGCCTCAGTTTTCTTCCCACATGAAATGGGACTATAATCATACCTATATCATGGGTCATTCTGAGAATTGAATGAGTAATACATGGAAGTATATAGAACAGTGTCTGAATGTGGGAGGTGCTTGATATGCATTAGTATTGCATGCTTGGTAAGTGTGTGGTGGCATGATTTTGACCAGGCCCCACACCATTCACTGGAGCAATCATGGAGGCCCCTTCAGTGGTCTTTCTCCTTCCTGTCTACCCTTGCAGCCAGAATATTATCACCAGAGTGTCACTATCACGCACTCTTCATCTCAAGACCCTTCTGCTAGCTTTGTGTTTAAGGCCCTCTGCATCTCACTTGCTTTCCTTTCTGGTTTCTCTTCCCATCCTATTCCCCAGGAACCCATTGCCTGCTACCGCTCTGGACCACCTTTGGTTCCCCAAGCCCCCTGGGCCTTTCAGCCTCTGTGCCTTTGCTTATACTCTTCCCTCTTTTGGGAATGACCTTCTACTCACCATCACTGGCAAAGCTGTGCTCATGTCTTTCACTCAGTTTTTCATCTGCCATAATGGTGTGTACATCATAGGGTTGTTCTGAGGATTGACTGACATGATACATGACCGAGATGATACACTGTACATAATAATATGAACTGAGATAATAAAGCCTGTATATGTGGGTACCATCTGGTAATTGTTCAATATGTTATCACATCATTATATAATTATATTAGGACTATTTATACACTCTTGCTTTCCTAATTAGGCTGCAAATTCCTTGAAAACAGGGCCGTGTCTTGTTAATCTCTGATCCCTACTTATATCAAGCATAGTACCCTGCATAAAGTTTCCATATTGTTTATTTGGTTTCTCAACAGTTCCTATGTATAACTCTTGTTTCTCTAATCAGGTCAAAAAAGTCAAGTCTCTGAAGGAGGGCCTGTGGTTTCTCCTTTTCTCAAATCCTCCGCAGCTTTTAGCACCAGGTTTTGCAGACAGAATATGATTAATACATACCCAATAGATGTCAGAATGTAATCGACTTTAAAAAATGACCCAAGCAACATTTTTCAAAACACATTTTTGAAAGTACAGAAAATAAAATGAAAATTTCCCATAACCCCACCCCCAGTGCTGTTCTAACTCCAGCCTCCAAAGCTAACCACTATTTTTTTTTTTTTTTTTTTTTTTTTTGAGACGGAGGCTCGCTCTGTCGCCCAGGCTGGAGTGCAGTGGCGGGATCTCGGCTCACTGCAAGCTCCGCCTCCCGGGTTCACGCCATTCTCCTGCCTCAGCCTCCCAAGTAGCTGGGACTACAGGCGCCCGCCACTACGCCCGGCTAATTTTTTGTATTTTTAGTAGAGACGGGGTTTCACCGTTTTAGCCGGGATGGTCTCGATCTGCTGACCTCGTGATCCGCCCGCCTCGGCCTTCCAAAGTGCTGGGATTACAGGCGTGAGCCACCGCGCCCGGCAGCTAACCACTATTAGCAAGAAAACAAGTGAACATCACATGGAATAACTGATATGTGTTGAATACTTGTTATGTGCTAAATATTCATCTGATTTCACTCATATTTAATTTTATTCCTGCTATGAAGCAGATATTATCGTTATCCCCATTTTACAGAACAGGAAACTGAGACACAAAGAAGTTAATTTATTCAAAGCCATAAGACTTTTAAGTAGAAGAGTTGAGTTTTAAACCCCAGCAATCTGGCTTCAGGGTCTGTACCCTCAACCCTGTGCTGAACTGCTTGCCTTCCTCCCTCCTACATCTACTGAGATATCGCCCTCCCTCCCCTCCCCACTGTTTAATGGAACTAATTCAGCACTGAGACTCAGAGAAGCTGGGATTTCTTTCTCCTGTGCATTCATTGGTTGTATGACGTTACGGTGATCACTTCACCTCTCTGAGCCTGTTTCCTCATCTATAAATCTGAGAGCCGGTCTCGGTGATCTCCCTTGCTCAGCCAGAACATTCTGTGATTTCATGAATTAGACACTGAAGCAGGGCCTTGGTTTTCCAGCATATGCTGCCCTCCTCTCATCTCCTGCGTCTGCAGGCGTATTATCTTTTGTACCATGCAGGCAGGCAGTCAGGTCACCCTGACCTAGGTACCTACCTCCACCTCAGTGTGCCTGGAGAAGTTGCCAGCCAGCCACAGCCAGAGACAGAGTACTCCGTGGGGTTTGCTGAGTACTGGGACTTAGTGGCTTATATAAGTTTTTTACGACCCATTTTAATAGAGTTTGCATCCTTTGAACTACAGATGGGGCACCGGCTGTTAATGGGGCTTTCTGGAGCATAGACTTAGGAGGAGGGTCCTTGGGGTTTATGGAGCTTTCCTGCGGCACACACATTTCATGGAGACTGTATTGTTTTGTTTCTTCTCCCCATCAACTTTCCTGGTCAGGGCACAGGGTGTAGGGCAGAGTTTATCTGAGTAGGGTGTATGCATGTATATACCGCTGTCGTGTGTTTAACAGGCTCAGGGTAATGGCTGGGTTACCTACCACCCCAGGGCAGTGAGCCTCAGAACTACCTGAAGCCTAGTTAAAAATGCACTAATTCCACCTCACCCCACCCTCCTCCCCATGTTTCTGATTAAGGAGGGCTTGGGCAGTACCTGGGCCTGACAATGTGCGTTTCTAACAAGTTCCCAGGTGATGCTGCACCTGCTGGGCCAGGAGCCACACTTCGACAACCACTGTGCCAGAGAAGTTTTATGGAGAACTTTACATCTTTTTAAGTACTAGACTGAAACTAAACTAAAACATTTCTGTCCATGTTTTTAGGTAAAAATGATTTACTTGTATTCCAATATACCAAAAAAGTAATATCATATCTTCTTGATCTGTAGTCATAATTATGACCATTCATTATTGTGGCCAGCTGTCATTCCAGGGTGTGCTGAGCCCGCCTTGAGACTGACCCAGGTTGTTTGAGTTGTTGGTTTGCATTCTGTGTTTGCAGATCGGCTGCTGCGCCCATAGCATTCTTCCCTTCCTGGAGCTTTAAAAAAAAACCTTTCTTATTAAAATGTTCACACCTATAAAAATAGAGAGAATAGTATGACCCACTCCCATGTCCCCATCATCTAGATTTTTAACATTTTTGCTTCATCTTTTTCTTGCGGAAATATTCTAAAGCCAATCCCAGACATCCTAACATTCCCCTCCAGGCATCCTAACATTCCCCTCCCAAATATTTCTGACTGCATCTCCAAAAAAATAAAGACATTTTCTTGCATAACCACAAAACCATGATCACAACAAATCCAGCAATTATTCCTAAGTATCCTCTAATACTCAAACCGTATTCAGATTTTCCCAGTTGCTCAAAAAGGTCTTTGCAGTTGAATGAGGAGATGAACAAGGCCTATATTCACATTGCCTTTGATTGCTAGCTACCTTTCCCTACAAAATTTGCTTTTGTAGGCGTAGGGGGATCTGCAGTGAGCTGGGGCTAGCTAGTTGCAACAAGTGACCCAGAGCTGTTGAAATGCATCTGAGGTGGGGAAAGCAGGTTTGAGGTAGGGTCTGTGAATAGAGTGCAGTACTGATTCTGAGGCCTGGAGACAGCTCTGTGCTGCTGAGATGCTTTCACTTTATTCTATTTTCTTTCATCTGAAGAGGCAAGGAGGCCAGGCATGTGACTTCTAGATCAGTGAGTTGCTTTCATGTGTGAATATGTAACTGTTAGAATATGTTTACAGAACAGATATGTTGCCTGGGGTAAGAAGAGGAGTTCTTGGCCCTGAAGAATCTTGGCTGTGGCTGTTCTAAAGTGTTTGGGGTATGCACTTTATTTATTCTCCGTGGGGTTTCTTTCTCTTTTTGTTAATAATCCAGCCTTCATTGCGGCTCTATGGAGGGAAAATATTCCTTCGAACTCCAGGCTCTGAGAGCTCCTCCACACACCTAGTCCACTTAGGTGGCCTGGTTTCATGCCAGAAGTATGATAAATAAATATTGATATGCTGTGCCTGCCCCCTTGAGGGCCTGCCCCTGGGTTCATCCCTCATGTAGGTGTTTTGAACATGTTACAGGCTTCTAATTTAGCTTCCCCATCCAAATCAAAGGTCCCTCGCTGCAATTTAAATGCCATGGTGTACCCGTGACTGGGCTGACGTGCATTGGAAGGCAAAGCTGTCCTGCATCACACAGCATCAGCTGGATCGCCATATGGACCACAATGCGGTGCTAGGAGAGGCTGCCAGCATCAAGCTGGCTAAGGATTGAGGTGCGAGGCTGCCAGGAGGGAAGGATTTTTCTGGACAGAGACCTGATTGTCAGGGGCTTCAGGGTCTTTCTACCTCTGGTTCGAGGTTGGGGAGCAGCAAGACTACGGCGTAGATACTGCAAGTAATGTAGCCTGCAAGTAATGTGGCCGGGCCTTGGCAAGGAGGGCCTGGAGGCGAGGGGAGTGTGCATTGCTGAATTCCTCATTTTGGCACACAGCAGTCCTCTCTGCTGCTTCCTGACCCAAGGGGGATGATTCTGATAGTCACCCTTGCACCTCTTTTGTGGCCACTCCACATTGTATAAGGTCGCCAACCACGTTGTATAATAATGGGCTGGTGCGTAGTTCTTACTGTTCTCTGGACTGGAAGATCCTCAGGGGCAGTGGACTATTTTGCTATTTGGTATACAGTGGCACTCAATAAAGGTGCAGCAAATACATTTTTGCAGCCCAGATAAGGGAGAGAAGGGAAGTGCTTAGGTTAAGCATATGATACAGAAATAAATCTGAGGTGGTCCTGAGTGTCATAGCAAATCTAACCTGCCCAAGACACGGTCCTTCATTCTACAGTGACCTTCATTCTACGGTGACTGCTAATGGCTGCTGTTTTGCTGAGAAATGCTTATTGACTTCCTGCGCCTCACATTTTCCTGCCTGGCAAATGCCAAACCTCCACTATATTTAGCTCAAATTTCTTATGGCAATTACCAGGTCATTTAGAAATATTTCAGTTGTAACCATGTCTTATTCTTGATCTGGATTTTATGCTGCATGAGGGCAGCGATTCCCCTTGATTTCTCTGTCTATCCTCCTAGGGCCCGGCTCTGTGGCTTGTATATATTATTGTATGTATTACCAGTGACTCAAAACTAGTTGCCCAACGAAATGCAAGGCTGCTGGGCTTAGTGAGTCCTAAAGAACTGGCTCAGACAGGGGCTGTCAAGTTCAGAGGAGGGAAAGCTCCTTGGGGCTGGAGTCACCAGAAGAAACTTCCTTAAAGGCAGCTGGAACTGGTTGGCACTCGGAGAATTGGAGAAGGTAGAAGGGAGGAGGATGGAGAGTGGATTCCGTGTTGGGAGGATCAGAGGAGACTTTGCATCCCCACTGCTGGGTATAATAAGGAGTTGCAGCTAATTCGCTGGGAACCACTGGCTTCTGGGCGTTTACTAGACACACAATGAACTGCCAAGGACTATAGAGGCTGACCGCAGGGAAGAGTGGCTACAGAATTCTTAAAACATGATGCTGACTCCAGTCTTTGGTGAGACTGATGGGGATGAGTCAGGTTAAGACAGGGATAAACATTTGCTTATCAGATGAAGATCCACCCTGTTTTCTAGGATCCTGGACTTCTTTGAAAAAGCATGCCTCCAAATACCAGATGATAGGGCAGAGAGGAAGAAGAGGATTAAGGGTATCCTGCTCCCAGGCTCTAGGGGTTCTGCTGGAAAGGAAATAGTGGGGTGGATTAGAGAGGATGGGAAAGTACAAAACTTCAGATGTAGAAAAAGTTTGATCGTATAGTCTCTCTGGAAAACATTTTGCAAGTTTCTTAAAAAGTTAAACGTAAACCTACCATGTGATCCAGCCATTTCACTCTAGGCCTTAATTCAAGATAAATGAAAGCATTTGTCCATTCAAAATCTGTCATGAATGTTCATAGCAGCTTCACTTGTAATAGTCTTAAACTGGAAACAACCCAATCTTTCATCAAGATAGAATGGATAAACAAATTGTGGTATATCTATACAATGGATACTATTTAGTAATAAAAAGGAATGGATGGATTAATCTCAAAATAATTATGCTGAGTGAAAAAAACAGACAATTTGGAATGCACATTATATGATTCCATTCATATAACATTTTGGAAAATGCAAGCTAATCTATAAGATAGGAAGTAAAACAGTGGTTGCCTCAGGATGGAGGTTGTGTGGGAGGGGCAGGAGCAAGAGATTATAAACTCTATGAGGAAACTTTGTGGGCTGAAGGATATGTTCATAATCTTGATTATGTGATGGTTTCACAGGGGTATATGTGTGTCAAAACTTATCAAGGTTTACTCTTATTTAAAGAGTGTTCAGCTGGGCGTGGTGGCTCATGCCTCTAATCCCAGCACTTTGGGAGGCCGAGGCGGGTGGATCACTTGAGGTCAGGAGTTTGAGATCAGTCTGGCCAACATGGTGAAACCCCATCTCTACTCCAAATACAAAAATTAGCCAGGCTAATTTAGAGACAGGTGAGACACCTGTATCACGCTAATTTAGAGACACCTATAGAGACAGGTGGTGCATGCCTGTAATCCCAGCGACTTGGGAGGCTGAGGCAGGAGAATCACTTGAACCCAGGAGGCGGAGTTGCAGTGTGTTGAGATTGCACCACTGCACTCCAGCTTGGGCAACAGAGTGAGACTGTCTCCAAAAAAAAAAAAAAAAAAAAAAAAAAAGAGTGTTCAATTGATTGTGGGTAAACTGTCCATTAATAAAGCTATTATAAAGAGCTGGGCATCATAGTTCATGCCTGTAATCCCAATACTTTTGGAGGCCAAGGCAGGAGAATTGCGTGTGGACAGGAGTTTAAAACCAGTCTGGGCAACATAGTGAGACTGTGTCTCTACAAAAAATAATAAAATTAGCTGGATGTGGTGGCATGCAGCTGTAGTGCCAGTAACTTGGAAGGCTGAGGCAGGAGGATCATTTGAGCCCAGGAGTTAGAGGTTACAGTGGCCATGATCACAACACTGCACTCCAGCCTGGGTGACAGAGCAAAATCCTGTCTCTATTAAAAAATAATAAATAATAAATAAAAGTGATAATTTAGAGATTCAATGCAAGTCAGTTAAACAAGCCATTATTGCCAACTCCTTACATTCCCATCCCCCACATGGAATTCATTCATTTCATTGGAAATGAGAGGAGAAAAAATAGCCTCAGCGTGCTTAGGATGGCAGGGGAGGACCACTGTCAAAACTGAATGTACATAAGGCAGGTCTTGACGGAGGTTGATGCTGGCAAAAACAAAAGGAACTGCCTTTGAGGACTAGTCAAGGGAAGCTCTGGGGCAGATGTAGGATCCAAGTGACTTCAATGACTGGGGACAATGTTAAAGGCAGTGAGGTACAAAATAAGCAAGGCCTAAAAGACGGAATCAACAGGCTTTGTTGAAGAACCAGGGGAGACCAGTACAGAGAAGGCTGAGGGTGCAAGGGGCTACTTTCAAGAATGAAAGCTAGATGGGCTGAGACAGATTGCCTCTCTATGCATCCTGGCTGCACCACTTAAAAACTGGGCAACCTTTGGGTAAATGACCTAAGTTCCCTGTGCCTTGGTTTTTCCATCTGTGAAATGGGAATAGTAATACATACCTCATGATGTTACACTGAACATTAAATGAATTACTGCATGAAAAGTATTTAGAACCATGCCTGGCATAAACTAAGTGCTTAATAAATGTTATTGCTACTGTAATTATTATCTACTCTTGGGGAGAATCTTGAATGCTAGGATTATTACAAAACAAGCAATAGGTACAGCAGTGAGAACCCCTAAACAAAAGTTTGAGAAACTGCTTCTAGCTTGTCCCTACCTCAGAGTCTTTGCACTTGCTGAGACAACTCTGCCTGGAACACTTTTCCTTGAGATGAACTCCTGCCTCACTCCCTCACATATTTTGATCTGTGCCCAAATGTTACCCCATCAGAGAGGCCTTCGCCAGCCACTATATTGAAAATTGCAGGCCCTTCCTCCCCTACTGCCTAACATAGGTATGTATCTTTATTTGCTTATTTTTCCTTCCTCCCACTAGAATGGAAGTTCTGTAAGCTCTTTAAGAATATGGACTTTGTTTTCTCTACAGTTATGTCCCCTGAGCCTAGGACACTGCCTGGAATGTAGTGGATGCTCAATAAATTTTTGTTGACTAGAAGATTTATTAGGCTGTGTCTTAGGGGTGAATCACCTAGCGTCTTCAGGCCTCAGCCTCCTCACCTGTAAAGTGCAGAGGGTGCATTGCAGCCTGAAGGTGATGTGAATTTGTGGGGAGTCCGGCGTGTTGTCTTGAACAAGGGAGTGATATGGTGAAGGGACCGTGGGAGAGTATCAGCACTCATGAGATAGCAGGAGAGCTTCCGGGTCATGCCTCCCACAGGGTGATTGAATTTACAAAGTGAATTTAGTTATTTATAGGTGATTTTGAAGATGACTTTCCAAACTCTCCCCTCTCCCCAATGGGGCACTGTGCTGTCCCCTGCCCCTGCCCTCCATTGAGAACCCCTTCTCTAGACACATACAGGGACAGAATATGCCAGAACAAGGCAGTATTGATAAAATGACAAATAAGTGACAAATAAGTGGTATGTGGGCTCATGGTTTTAGTATGTCTTGAGCTGCTCTGTTTTGAAGGACAGCTGACTCCAGGTTCTGGGCATAAGGAGCACATTAGGCTGACGGGGCCTGGAGGCTGGAGAGGAGCTGACACACGTGTGAGAGGAGGAGCCAGCCAGATGGCTCCGATTTATCCATGTCGGTGCAGGGCTGGAGAACGAGCTCGGCCCAGCTGGGACGCTACTGCTGTGAGGCTTCCCGTGCATCTCAGACCTTGAGAGACCAAGCCTCTCTTTTCACACCTGAGCTCCTGCAGGAAGCAAGGGCTGCGGTGGCTGGGAGATGCCTGTTGTTCCTCACATTCAGCAATTAGCGCCATCTCCTTAAGGGCAGACCTCCACGTAGCTGTAATCTGAAATGTCAGTTATTACACTCTTTGATGTAAGTATAGAAGTGCCTCGGTTATGATCTCAGGAGTAAGACAGAAATAGCTAGTCAGTGTGGTGAGTAATCTGCTAAAAGCATTCACAGGGATCATCCTCGCCATGGCATTATGTGCTGTTTAAAATCTGAGTAAATGCTTAGGAGTCCGGCATTCAGAGATGCAGGGAGGGGCGGTGGAATCTCTTGGAGGAATCCTGGCTTAAGTCTCCTCACTGCTTCTGTTGCAGGTGATGGATCATGCCTATGCTATTCTTTGAGTTTCTAATGTGTAGTTAGATTTTATGGGGGATACTGAAGGGCATGGGAGCAGCCCTTGAGTCTTAGCTTAGGTCCCAGTTAGGAGGGACAATACCTATGCACGCAAAAGCAGATGCATTTGAAAGTGCTGCAGGAAAGGGCTGTAACAGCTGCTGGAATTACAGGAGGGAGCAATCTCTGTGGAGTGAGGTGATCAGGGAAGGTTACTTGGAGGAGGCAGGCTGTGAAAAGGAGAAGAGATTAGGGGTAGAATGTATTGCTTTTACTTGGTTCCTGACCTGCCTCTGTCTTCTCAGGATGGAGGCATCTTCCTGCAAACCACCTTATCCAATAAAATTAACACACAAATAGAAAATCAAGGCCACAGAAAGAAAGAAAGTGGCTAGTATGGTTGCTCCAGTTGAGCACTGGATTTGGTTTTGCACTTCTTGGCAGCCAGGACATAATGAAAACCAGGTGAATCGCACAGCTTTATTGATCAGAAAGGGGAAAGTCTACCAACTCTTCAGGGGAGGCAAAATTCTTCCTGGCACATTTTTCTAAAATCATTTTCTCATGTGGGAGTTTACATAAAAGACACAGTGGCATAATAAACATAGGTCCATCGACAACAAAAGCCTTCATAAGCGTGGAGGATTGAACACCAAGGCGTGACACGATGAAGGTAATTTGGCCAGTGGCTAAGCTGGCAAGGTCCAGTGATGTGGCTTTTAGGGGCTCTGGCTTGATGTAAAATTAACTTAGAATCATTTTCTTGAAGACGAGACTGAAGACAAATTCCCAAAGGAGGCTTTGTAGTGGACATTCAGAGGGGAAAGCTCGTTGGCCTTGGTGAGATTATACCCGGTGAAAGGATGTGGGTGCCCTCCTGCCCCTGGGTTCCCACTTTCCATCATATAATTACCCTGTCTGGGTATCGGATTTGGTGCTGAGTGTCCTGGTGTCCAGAGGCATAAAGGGAAACGCACGTCTGATTCCAGAGTCCAGAGCTGACCTTGTCTCTTTACCAAAACCCTTAGTATACTATTCCCTGGTTTATCTTAACTGGGGCATTAGAGCACCTGCTCTTGACTTTGACATGTTCTCAAGGAGTTTGAAGTCTAGACAGGGTGATTTTACTTAAAAAAAAATTTAAGGCCGGGCATGGTGGCTCACGCCTGTAATCCCAGCACTTTGGGAGGCCAAGGTGGGCGGATCACGAGGTCAGGAGATTGAGACCATCTTGGCTAACACGGTGAAACCTCGTCTCTACTAAAAATACAAAAAATTAGCCGAGTGTGGTGGTGGGCGCCTGTGGTCTCAGCTACTCGGGAGGCTGAGGCAGGAGAATGGCGTGAACCCGGGAGGCAGAGCTTGCAGTAAGCCGAGATCACACCACTGCACTCCAGCCTGGGCGACAGAGCGAGACTCCATCTCAAAAAAAAAAAAAAAAAAAAAAAATCTAAGTACAGAAAGGAATACATGCCAGTAGGTTGGCTTTGCCTCAATTCCTCCTATCAATAGCTGCCATGTGTTAAGTATTTGCTGTGTCCCAAGCGCTTTACCTACAACACTTATGTCATCTTCACAATGACGTCCAGAAGTATACACTTTTATTGTCTCCATTTTATCAGAAAGAACGGGGCTTGTGGAGATTCTGATATTCTCTCAAGCCCCCAGCCTGAGGAAGATTCCAATTGGCCTCACTTTTGGGTCTAGTGGATCTGGACTTGGGCCCCAGTCTAATCTCTGGCCTGGGTCTCTCCCTCTCCCCTCTCGCACCCTCCTCTCTGGCCACAGTCTTCTGTTCTAAGCTTGCCCTGGCTTCCTGCAAGTTTCTGGCCTCTTGTATGAGATAAGCACTTCCCTATCTGATTTCAAAGGTTTTCTACTGAGCCCTCGCTGCCATATTCTGATCCCTGAGCCACCCCGCTTTCTCACCCTTCCTGCTTGAGCCAGGGCTGTCTGCATCCCATCGGTCCCTTCCAAGAATCATAAAAGCAGAGTCCAGGTCTCCTTGTTTTTAAAGCCTCCTTGCCCTTCAGGACCACCCAGCAAGTTCCTGCTTCCCATCAGGGAGTTACTGCAGATCAGGCATTGATGAGGGGTCCCTCCCAACCTGGGTTTCCATCCCACCCTCTCACATGGGTTCCCTTGGTTGGCGTGCACCATTCAGCCACTCTCTAGGGGAGTAGCTGCTATACACCACCACCATTTTATCGTATCAAAAATATGTTTCAAATACATTGAGACTTTTACTCTCATCAATGGAAGAGAAGGAGAAGCATGGCATTTTGTCAAGCTCTCTTACTTCCGAAGGATTTAGGACTCTTGCTGCCTTTGGCCACCAGGATCAGTAAGCATTCATTTCTATTGGAAGAGATTGTGTATCTGGGGATGTTGCCCAGCGGGTCTCACTATGCTGGGAAAACTGGTGACCAACTGAGTAATACTCAAATTTATGCCAAAATTCCTGCCTTTTTCCCTGATCAGTCTTCTCTTTTGCTCCCTGCTGAACTTTGTCACTTGGGAATGGGATGGGATGAGCTGGGTGGCCTCAAACTCACATCCTCAGAGGCTCAGAGGAAAGTCCCTTTTGGTACACCAAGGCTCTTTTTCATCCTTTGAAGCTTTTGAAGGATATTTTCAGTGGATCAAAATGGCATCTTGTGCCTGGCTCTATCTGGAAGAGCTTGCCTGGGAAGGCAAGGAAGATGTTATCTAAAAGATACATGGAGAGTGATTCTTCCCAGACCAGCACATCTAGAGTTGCATGGATAGCTTCATTTCTCCATCAACATAATACCTATTATTTATTGAGTACTTATTTTATGCTAGGTCCAGTGCTAATGCATTTGCTTATGTAATCTACCCAGCAACCTAACGGAAACCTGATAGCCCATTTTATAGATAAGAAAGTGTCAAGCCTAGGATAAAAAGCTTCTGTGCTGTTGGGGGCCCTCAGGCTGTAACAGGCAGAGTGGTCAAAGAGCAAGCTACAGGTAGGTGCTGGGAGAAAGCTGTGTCTCTTGAGGTGTTCTTTCTTTTCTTTTCTTTTCTTTTCTTCTTTTTTTTTTTTTGAGACGGAGTCCTGCTCTGTCACCCAGGCTGGAGTGCAGTGGCGCGATCTCGGCTCACTGCAAGCTCCGCCTCCTGGGTTCACACCATTCTCCTGCCTCATCAGCCTCCTGAGTAGCTGGGACTACAGGCGCCTGCCACCACACCCGGCTAATTTTTTGTATTTTTACTAGAGATGGGGTTTCACCATGTTAGCCAGGATGGTCTTGGTCTCCTGACCTCGTGATCCTCCCACCTCGGCCTCCCAAAGTTCTGGGATTACAGGCGTGAGCCACTGCTCCTGGCCTTGAGGTGTTCTTTCTTTGGCCAGTCTACATCTTGGGTGTGCTTTGCTTTGGGCCTGTGAATGGAAGGGGCATTTCTTTGTTAGATAAGGAACTTTTCAGTAAAAAACAGCAGAGACCTGTCTAGTGGATGATTAAGCCTAAGCTTATGCTAAAGGGCAGGGGCTGAAATGATTTCATAACATTTTTCATCCTCACCATCTGGACCTAGACCTAATGTTGTGCAGCCTAGTACAGGAATTGTTAAGGCTTTGCTCACGTCCCACCCCCTCCCTAGTCTCCAAAGGACCTCAGCCCTCATTGATTTTCCCTCTTCTAGGACAGTTTTCAGCATTTAAGTTTAGTAATACTCAGTGTAGGGCTTGATTCTGCAATCTCCCTTGGTATAACCCGCCATGCTGCTGCTAGTCTCAGGCTCCCTCCGCTGTCTTTTGCTGCCCTTCTGCCCAGACTCAGTGAGCGCTAAAGTCAGGAAGGGCCCAAGGGATCATGTAGTTTAACCCACTCATTTTATCAGTGGGGGAAAGAGAAGGCCAGCTCTAGGCTCTCTCTCACGGTGGAGGGAAAAGTGACACACACCTTGTTAAAAGAATCCCAAGCCGAATTGAACAGATTGGGAGCTTTGGTGTTTGTTTTGGTGGACTCTTTCTTGTATGCCTGCAGTTTCTCCACTTAGATCTGACATCCTTTTACCTAATTAAATTCCCTTCCCAGTCCTCTGCCGTCTTGCTTATGTTTTAGGTTGGTTCTGATTTTTAGTATCAACCACAGAATCTCAAAACTAGAAGGATCTTTTGATGTCCTGAACTGCGATCCCTTGGGTTGGGGCCAGTGCTTCAATTACAATACCCCAGGAGTTCTTGTTATCAGTGTATCTTAGGAGGAACCAAAAAGAGTCCTCCCACAATAAGAAGAATTGTTTTTATCTGTTCTTAAAACGCTAATTTCCTTGAGTTTCTTAAAGCAAAGCCCACCTGTACGAATGTCCGTAGGTGAAAATATTGGCCCATTTAAGTTACACTTCTGCAACACAAGAGGGGTAAAATTCCAGCCCACCTGAGGAAATTCAAACACGTGGTTTAAGAGCTTATAAATGAAGGCAGAAGATTTTAGTTCAAAGAAAGAAATGGTTATGGCTAGTAAAGCCAAAATGGGATCTTAATTCAGGATTAATTGATTAAATACTTAACTAATTAATCTTCTAACTGGCTTCTGTTGCAATCAGGGTTCAGTTTTTAGACATGACCCCTGCATGTGAAAGTGAATATCTGCAGCTCGAATGTGTGCAGTGGGACAGGCATGGCCCCGAAACCAGACAGGGCAATTCAGATCTGAGGCTAAATGAAAGAGGTAGGTGACAGCAGGTTTCAGCTTCCCAAATTTCTTTTCATCCATTTCTTTTATATCATAAATTTGAGAAAAAATTGATCTGTTCATTTAGTAAGCCCATTTAGAAATAAGCTCAAATTATTACTTCCATGCCAGAAACTTGAGGCTGGGGTTACTATTATTTTTGAGCTTGGAAATTGCCATTCATTCTGCTGCAAATGAATTAGACTATATATATATTTTAAACCCATTAAAATCAACATATATTAAAAATATTCCTAACTCCTGTCTTTATTCTTGTTCTTATGTCTCACACAATGGTCCTACTTGAATGCCTTAGAGACAATGGAGTCTCTGGCATCTCTCAGGTCTCTCCTTGACATCAAGAGCAGAGCAAACATGCTGAAGGACGTGGACCCCATGTGAACCATAGCCTTCCTCCCTGTGGCTTTGGCCTGGTACAGTCCAAAATGCCAGCCGCTCAAAAACCCACCCACTCACACGGGCCTTGTTTTCAGCAAATCTTCAAGTCTGGATGGAGGAAACGCTTTACCCTTAATACGTTCTTAAGCCATGCATAACTCTAAGCCTGTTTTAACCATGTGCTTCTAATTAATTTTTACTTAATTCTTCAGTGTTTCCTTTATTTTTGTTTTTTATAAGAAGCAGCCACATGATGAGTAAGCCTGGAGAATAAGCTTTCTGAAGAGGTTTTCTTGACAATAAAAACAATATGTTTATTGAAAGGTCAAACTAATGGCCAAGGCCAATGGAGTCTCCAGGTTGGGTTGTAAGGTGTGAACTGTAGGTAGAGTGCTGAGGAGATGCTTCATTTGGACTCCCCGGTGCCTTGAAGCTGTAGAGTAACCATCTCCGTTTGGCCTCGTTCTCAAATTCTACTACCTCCCTGCAGGGCTGTTGTGCTGTGTGTAGCAATACCTTTTGTGGTTTGCTTCCAAAGTTCTTCATTCAATACCTCATCTTTGCCTCTGCAGTGGTGTCATTCTTTTTCACTTCTTTCTTCCTCTTCCCCTTTTTCCTTTTCATTTGGGGGAAAGCATTTATGAAAAGAGGTCAAGTAACTTGGCCAAAGTTCTGATGGTGCTGGAAATAGAACTCTGGACTGTTGACCCCCACGTCCTAAGCCCAAAGATGAGACCACCCAGTGGGATCCTGGGCTGTCTCCAGAGCAGCTTCCCAGAACTGGGCTCTTGGCAGAGTTTGCCTTTTAGAATACAGAGAATTAATGCACAGAAGGGGATTTCCCTTTCTTCCTGCCACCCTCCCTCCTCCCACTTCCAATCAAGAGAAAAGCCTGTCCAAGTGTAGGAAAGGGAATTATATTGGGTAACTGTGGGTAGCAGAAAGAACTAAGAACCTTATTGCAATGAAGTTGCAAGTCCAGACGTTGGTTCCAACCTGATCCCCTCCCCCACCTCCAGGCAAAAGAAAAGTTAAAACAAATACTGGAGATAGGGGAGATTATTTTAGGACTCTGGCAAGCACAGCAGTTCCCTTGCATTGCTGGCAGGTACCCAAGTTTATCTGTGTTTATGGGGATCTGCAGTGTTGATCTGTGGTGCATGGAAGCGTGCAGGTCCGTATACTCCATAGTCAATTACGTTTCCTGCTCATCCAAAATTTCAGGGCAAGATAATCGACTGGGAGAAGGAAAGGAGGGGGCTTTTGATTAATCTGAAGGACTTGAACAAATGTTCTATTACCTTTTTTGGTCCTGGGTGCCGTGCAGACCTCTGTCAATTCTGAAGGAAGACTTCAGTGAGGCCTAGTACTTTCTCAATCCAGTAAGAGAAAAAGCCCTGTGGCCACTTGAGGGTTGGTTCTACTCTCTTCTTTTTTCCCAGTCTGCAGACCTTCTATTTCCCTTTGGGTTAGATCGGAGAGATTCCTAGAGAATTAATGGGGACACGGAGACAGAGAGAGATAGTTGAGGGAAGCATGATAAACAAATCACAGTAAGACAAAGGAAGAACCTGGGGTGTTTCTAACCAGTGAGAAATCTTCATGGTGGAATTTCAGACCTTAGGATGGCCTAATAGGCAGGGTACATGTTGGTTAGGGTGACTAGCATATCTTGGGCCTCTTGAATCATGCTTCATAGGTGCCTCTTCCACTCACATTCAAATTCCTAATTGTGGGACAAAAGAAAAAGTCTGGGCCGGGCACGGAGGCTCATGCCTGTAATCCTAGCACTTTGGGAGGCCAAGGTGGGAGGATTGCCTGAGCTCAGGGGTTCGAGACCAGCCTGGGCAACACGGTGAAACCCCATCTCTACTAAAATACAAAAAAATTAGCCGGGCATGATGGCGTGTGCCAGTAGTCCCAGCTACTCAGGAGGCTGAGGCAAGAGAATCGCTTGAACCTGGGAGGTGGAGGTTGCAGTGAGCTGAGATCAGGCCACTGCACTCCAGCCTGGGCAACAGAGTGAAACTCAGTCTAAAAAAAAAAAAATAAGTAACTTCCTGTGGGCAAATTTGGAAAAATGGCACGGTCATGTTCTACTTTGGTCTTTGCGTTTGCTTCCCGTAGAAATGTACTTTTTCTAATTATCAAATAATTATCTCAAATATAAGATGCAGGCAACAGTTTTCTCAAATACCTCTGCTTCTGGAAGGAGGGTAGAGAGGAATTAGCCCAACCCTCTAACTTAATACATTGATGTTCTTTGAAACTTTTTAAAAAAAGGAACAAGAAAGTAAAAAATCTGCACAGCAATGGCTCCTTTTAACCAACCTCTTAATGGGCAATTTTAAGTACTTTCAGAATTTGGAAGAATGTTTATGTCAGAAATATGTATCATCTCAGCATCTTGGTTATGCTTATCCAAAAGTCTTGGCCTTCCTGCCTCTTCCTCTTGTAAGGGAATTTATGTAGAAAGAGGGTATGTAATCAACCATGTTCACACTGCAGAGAGAGTTTATACAGGAAGGCACTGGTTTGGGCTTTGTAATACTGAAGGCTTTACACCCAGAAGAATTTTGTAATCTAGCACACTCAATCTCCGGGGGCATAAGTTTTCTCCAATTATTGCCTTGAAGTTTTATTAAGGATCAAAGGAACGGCCTTACAAAGAATGTGCCTTCACTGTCAGCAGTGCTTCTGTGGACTTGCTGCTTTCTCTAGCATGCATGTCCATTGGAAAGACCCATGTGTTGGATTCCTTATTGGATGGTTTTACTGGAGGAAGACTTAGGGCTTTATTTTAGGAATTTGAAGACTTCCACCACCCTTCACAGTATCACAGGTGTTTGCCTCCTAGAGCATTGTAAACTAGAAACACCAAGGGATAGAAAACATTTGTGGGAATAATGGATCCATGCAAAAATACCTCAAAGAGCAAAATTTGGCTTGATACCAAGCAGAGGAGTGAAAACTCAAGTGCTGAGCTTCCAGAAGCTTCCTGGAGAGGAGCTATTCCTTGGCATTGGTGCCAGTGCCCTGGTGAGAAGCAAAATTGTTGGCCAGGGTTCATGAGTGGTTACCCAAACCTAGATGCCAGAGATCATGGAGAAGAAACTCTAAGATGGCCAAGCTTTTCCCACTCTTCTCCTCCAGATGTTTCCCAGTGGGTAGATGTGATCTCTTAGGAAATTTGACCATTTTCATAGCAGAAAGAAATCAAAACACGAAAGAGCCTTGAAAAGCTGTTACAGTGCTAAATGTATATTATGGGAATGCTTTTTTCCTTGGCCTTATCCTGGCCTGGCTCTAATTATCTACAGAGACATCTGATTAACTCCAAATGACATCGTCTATGTGTGAGTCCCATGGGGATGGCTTCTGGAAGGAACAGTTCAGGGACCATATCACATTTCATTAGTTGGGTTCCCCCTTTCATGATTTCTCATTTTGGTTGAGAAATGAAGGACATTTTAGCTTTCCCTTCCCTCTTTTCCTTCTGTAAAAACTTAAGTCTCTGATAGTTGGCCAGGGGGCTCGATGGGTAGGGGAGAGTTAGGAGGGGACAGTGAGGGCTGGGAGATGATGCTAGGTGCTCTTTTCCTTCTCACCTGAGCCCTACCTGAACAATGGGCCAGACAGAGAATGGATATTGAGCAATTATGCTGTTTTCTTTCTCTGTTTATCCAAATGCTCTGTCTTTCACATGCGAGATGAAGGAAAACCCATTTCTACTACTGATTTTCTCTCCCTTCTCTGAATATGTGTAGGAATTATAGTCTTTACCATGCAGCTTAACACACATTTTACATCTATCTGTTGGCTAATGCTTAATTATATCCAAATGTTGTGTCTCCACCTTGCAGTAGGCTACTGGAGGCCCAGAACTCAATGGACAACTTCATATCTCCACGTTACCAGGACAGGGCTTAGCCACAGATATTTATGGATCACCTGATTGTTCTGCTACTGACATGTTCACCTCCTCAAAACCTGCTTTCAAAGCTTGGCAAATTCCGGGCCATTTTGGCAGCAGAGCTGTGGGACAAGATTTAAATTGTTTGTTGCCATTTATTGGTGAACTGGACAATCAATCCAAATTTAAAATTCTCTAATCAGATTAGTTTATTTTTAATCATCTGGAGTCTGGCTGGGTTTGTTCTGTGTGGGAGCCAGTGAGACCCAACTGTTTCATTGACTTCCTTTGTATACTCTTGACAAAAGTCTTTTCATCCTCGCCCACCTTATGCCTTCAAAACTGTGAGTCAAGCTGCATTTCCTTTTTTTCTCCTTCCTCCCCATGGATACATCTTAGTTGCCATTTTTTCTTACACCCCTTTTGTTAGGTGTTAGGGCTTCAGTCATGCTGCCTCCCTTTGGCAGGGCTGGGAGGGGTGTGTGTGTATGTACATATCTGCATCTGTGTGTGTGTGGCTTTTTGCATGCGTATCTGATGGTTGTGTGTACACTCATTCATGCACAATCGCTGGCGAGTAGTTTGAGTAACATGGCATCCAGCAGGGATCTTGGGCCCCGGAAACTGAAGAACTAACCATTTTTCATCCAGAGACTAGTTTATTTCTCACTGATATTAAGTTTGTTTAACCTGTGATACAGAATTGTGAAGGGATTCTATTTCATGAGTTTGTAAGTTCTTTTCTTTTCTATGGGTTTTAGCCAGTTTGTCTTTAATGTGAAATTTGTATTCTGTGCTCACATATTTTGATATGTTTTGCTTCCTGGGGTCATACTTAGGGTACAAATCAACCAGATACAGATTAACCTGTGGATGTTTAGCCTTTGCTAAGTGCATCCTTGTCTCTAAATTCTTAAATTCCAGCACCCTGGTTAAAACAGTAGGAGGTGTGAGGAGGAACCCTTCTGAGAACAGATAGGCAGAAACATGTACACGGCGCCAATCTCCCATGGCTCCTTGCTCTTGCCAGGGTGCAGCAGGCACACGTGCACCCCGTACTGTCACTCACAGACACATGCCTGGATGCCCAGGTGCACACTCACACAGCCATCACACAGGATTTGCAGTTCTGCAAGAGGTGGGGCTGTGAAACGCTCTCCTTCTCTATGCGCATGTCTTTTATCCCCTCTCTTGGGTGGCTCCTGCAGTAGCGGGTGCTATTGGAGTAGTGTATGCTCCAGCCCTCTCTCGGACTGCAGCCCTGGGGGACACTGTTCTGCTCCCCTCCTGTCCGGGGAGTTGCTGCTCTGCCCTAGGGTCAAATGCAGACTGGTCAGGGACAATCTGGAAATACTGTAGGGATGCATGGGGTAGGTAAAAACCATGCTTCCTCTGTCTGGAAACAACACTGACTGTGGCTTTTTTATTTTAGGGACATGATGTCACTCTTCTGTTTCAAAAGTGTGCATATTGCCTAAGGTTCTCATGTTCACGTAGACTGTAATTTTTGAGATAGGCTGTGAGACACTAGATATATGGCGTCCCTTCGGCCACTTGTGTTTCTGGAGCTCGCAGAAGGACGGTTTACTGTTTCCACAGAAGTCTGAATGTTGGTTGAGCGTCCTACCTTCACAGGAGGACCAGGCAGGGCACAGCCATGGTACCGCCCCCCACAACCACAAAAACACCCTATGATTTAGACAAGAGACAGTTATGGGCATCTTTACTTCATAGGTGGATGATGAAATTGAGACAGCGAGAAGCCCAGGGGCTGGGATGCCAGCTCTCTAACCGTACCCTCTCTCTCAACCTGCAGGTCACCAGTACTGGCCCCATCTGCAGCGGATTATTTCTTCCTTCCTAAAAATCCAGGCTGCTTCTTGCCATGTGGAGACAATGAGCTCCTTAACCAAGGGTGAAAAAGACCAACCAAATCAAAACAAACAAGGGCTTTTTTTTTTTTTTTAACACTTTTCTTAGGAAGTCATTAAGGAATTATTGAGCTGATTAATGTGAGTGGAAAATATTTAAGTTTGGTCATTGTTTATGCTGGCCAGTTTGATTGCATTAGCAATTGACTTACAAAGCTGCTGTAGTGTTCCCTCCAAGCGTACTTTCATTCCTGGGTTGACTAATCAGTGGATCCCTGAGCTCAATGATGATGAGGGTCCCCCAGTGTTTAGAGGGGCTGCACTGGGGAGTAGAGAATGCAGGGGTGGGAAGAGGTGGGTCAATGCAGACCACTCCTCCCAGGCTGAGATTCACTTTTGTCCTTTGTTGGCAAAGATGGTGATGCTAGGGAATTTGGAAGCTGAAAGGAAAACAAAGGACGGGGCTCAGGCAGAAGGCAAAGTGAAAAGGAGCGAGCAGCATCTGTTTATATAGGGCTCCAAGAGGCTCACGTTAGGCAGATCCTTTTTCTGGCAGATGCTGTGAGCAGCCTGCGGAGGAAGAGCCTCTCAGACAGCTAATGACAGGTTCCTTCTCCCTGGCGCGGCCACCTCCCCTCTCCAGCGGGTGGAGATGGAGAACCTGTCGGCCGGCCTCAGGGTGACCTCTCTCTCCACAGTCCCCTGCAACGGCCTCATCTCTGCTGACAGCAGGCACAACACAGCACACACTCTGTGGGCCAGGATTTTCCTCCCTCTGAGAGCCGCCCATTGTGAAGTGGACTAAATCCTGGCCATCTTCCTCTTCCTCCCCCTTTGTCTTTTCTTAGAACTTCTGTTCCAGTTTTGTACTTGCCTAAGATACAGGGGACGTGGAGTGACTCTACAGAGTGGGGCGTGTGTGTGTGTGTGTGTGTGTGTGTGTGTGTGTGAGTGTGTGTTGGGGGCTGGCTAACACCAGTGGCAGGCAGGCTGTGCCCCTTCCTCCCCAGAGCCCTCTAGCCCATTTCTGCCCCTGCTATTTCCCTGGGGTCCCAAGTCTTCCAAAGGTTGGTTTGGGCAGGGATGGTGGAGCTGGATCTGCATGTGTCATTCCAGCTTCCCGGTTGGCATGCTCAGTCATTGCCATGGGGCCCAAACCACAGCCCCCAACTCTCTGAACACACACTGCCGACCATGGGAGGGAAGGGCAACCCCTTCTCATATCATTTCATGCTCTCAGTGGCTCTTGGAGATGTGATTGTTCCCATTTGACAGCAAGGGAAACCGAGGTCAGAGAGACTGAGTAGATTGTTCATCCTGGTTAAGTAGGTAGTCCGAGTGCAGCCAGAATTAGCACCCAGACATGCTGGTGCCTAATTTTGTGTTTCTTCTTCATAAAGCTGGATAGCAGGGAGACTAAGGTAGAAGGATTCCTTGAGCCCAGGAGTTCAAGACCAGCCTGGGCAGCATAGCAAGACCCCATCTCAAAATAAAAAAAAAAAAAGCCAGACAGCAAGGAAAAGATAGGGAGTAAAAGTAACCTAAGGAGAAAGAGAAACAGAGAGCAATGGGAAAGAGAAAAGGGAGGTGGTAGAAGTAAGGAGGGATTTAGGAACCTGGGAGGGACAGTCTCCTATCTCCAAGGGTCACAATGAGAAAGAAATGCAATAAATACTGTATATCTCCTAGGAAATGCAGATTTTGTCAGCTTGCCATGATATTCATTGATCACTTTCACTATTCAATTGACCATCTCCTGGGTACTCTGCCTGATCCTAGGCTCTTTGGGGACCCTTGAGACTGAGGAGAGATAGGCTCTTCCCACAGTGAGCTTGCTGCCTTCACTGGACATCCATGCTTGGAGAAGTTAAGTGGCAGCTGCTTACTGAAGAGATGTGAGTTGAGCATCTGCCACATGCTCAGCACCATTTAGGGTGAAGTTGTGGGTTCTAAGGAGCAAGCTCTGCATGGGGAAGGTGGTCAGGGAGTGTATCTCGGGGAAGAGGAGCAGGGGCTGAAGAGGACAAGGTGTCCTCCTCCCATTCTTAGCATGGAAAGGCATGCTGCATGAACCCTGAGACTATGTGCTGTACCCGTGACACCCTATTGAGCCCCTGTTTGTCATTGTTTAGGTGTTTAGACTGGCCCGAATGGAGTGGTGATGGCAGGTGGCTGGGCCGTGTATGACTGGGAAGGCTTTCTGGGAGAAGTGCACCGTCCTGCCCTGGAAGGCAAGAGCCCTACCTAATAACTTCCTTCTGGCTGCTCTGCTCCTTCCCCTTCAGGATTCCTTAGGCACTGGCTGCATAGCCCCTCCGAGGGGCTTTTGAGCAGGACCTCTCAGGGTGGGTCTTTGAAGGTCATAAACCCAAGAAGATCCATGTTGGCTCCTGGGACCCACAGTCTTCCAACTCTGCTCTCTGATGTCACTGTCCCCAGGAGAAGGGTCACCCAGGCTACAGGAGGGTGAGGCCTTTTGGGAGTGGTGGCCGAGGAGACCTGGATTCAGGCTTGTTTCTGGCCAGCTGTGTGACATTGAGTGGAGATGATGATGGCCGAAGTAGTGACAGACACTATTCATTGAGCCTGGCCCTGTGCTAAGCACTTGACAGACATCAACTCATCTGCTACTCACAGCAGCTCTGTAAGGGAGGTGCTGTCATCCTCCTTGTGCAGACGAAGAAGCCAAAGCTGATGGAACTCCTGGGCATCAAGAGGTAGGGTTGAGATTCACACCTGCTCTTGCTGACTCCAAAGGCCTTGTGCTAATGATTAGGCCACACTGCCTCCCCAGTTATTACTCCTGGGCCTCCCTTCTCACTGTGTAATTGGGACTTGAATTGACTGTTTGGGAGCATTCTAGAATTCCAGTGAGAGGTGTCCCCAAGTAGGCCTTGGCCTGGGGAAAGACGATGCTTCAGAAATGGCAGGGAGGAGCAGGCCCAAGTTACAGAGCCCCTGTTTGCCCCACAGCAGCCTGTGGGCTGCTTCTCACCTCCTTCCTCCCCTGGCCATCCAGAGTGGCCTGCTCTGCTAGAAGCCCACGAAGTATACCCTGGGGCTCCTGTACCTACGGCTGCCAGGCCTTGGGTAAGGTGCCCTGGGCAGCTGCCCAAGGCTGCCCTCCTCGTGGAGCAGGCCTTCAGCAAACATCCCTGCTGAGCGATGCTCTTGCTCGGTGCTGTCCGCTGCTGTCATCCCGTGGCTGCTGCTGTCTGCCACATCAGGTTAGAAGTAGAAATTTCCTTCTAGACCCCAGAGTCCTCCCCTCCCCCGCTGCTGCTGTTCATCTTGGGGGACCCACCCTTTGTTGGTAGGACCTCCCTTGGAGAGATGGGGGCTGGAGGGAGCCAGGGACTTGTCATCCTGGGAGTTCCAGGGCTGGGCTTGGCTGGGACATGTTGGGCTGACCACCCCTGTGGTCAGGGCCTGCGACTGGTGAGGTTCTAAGGCCTCCCCTCTCTCAGCAGCTGCTTCACAGCCTCACGGGAGGTGATCGGACACCAGCCTGGCAGGGCAGCCTCATCTCATCTTCTGTAGCTCCCAGCCTTCCACTGTGGAAGTGCTCACTAAATAGGTGTTGAACGGAGGTGTGAACCCAGGATGAGGCAGAGTCCCGTCAGAGGCCTGTACAGGCAAACTCAGCATCAGCACGGCTTTAGAGACCGAGTGCCCGCTTTTTCTCTCTTTTTGATAAATTCTCTTCCCTCCCTGTCTCTCCTGTCTCCTTTCCATCATGCCAAAGCACCCCATGCCTTGGGGAAAGCTGAATGCCAGGAATCGGGTGGCTTTTGGTGTGACTGTACAGAGCAGGCAGCCTGTGGGGTAGGGTTGCACTGAGAGGGGTATTCTGAAGCCACAGGCCCAGGGAGACAGACAGGCTGTGGTCTGTGAGACTACCTGATTTCCCACCTTGCCTTCTGATAGATGAATCAAGCCGGGACGCCCAGTCACCCTGACTTTGACTCTTTCCTGGAGGGACCCACCCAAGCTGCACATTCCCAGGGCCAGTGCACCCTTTCCCGTGTGCCTGGGAGTCTCAGTCCTGCTCCTCCCATTCCTGAGTTCGTCTCCAAGTCCAGGGTATCACTGTGACCCGAGGAAGCCCAGTGACACGGTCCCAGCAAGGGTGTGGTGAAGGAAGTTGTTTTTCTTAATGGTAAACAGGATAGTAAAATGACAATAGCAGCGTAGACACTTCTCAGTTATTTACAAGTGGATTCCTCTGCCTTCTGGATGATCTCCTCCCCACGGTTGAATTGGTTCCCAAGGGGGGCCTTGAGGAAGGAACAAAGATTACTGAGACTGTATTACATGTCAGGTGTCGTGGCAGGCACTTTACGTAATTGCCCCTCAAGCCCCATTGTCCATGTTTATATCTCATTTGCTCATAAGGAACTAAGGCTCTTGGACTTTATTAAATAAGTTTCCTGTGGTCATTTGGTTAAAAAGTGCCCTCACCAGGCCATCTCACTCCATGAGTTACTGTCTTCCTGCTCCGTGAGTGTGCCCCGTGTGCATGTACACAAGTGTATGCGGAAAGGGCACAAGGGAAGGTGGACTCCACGCAGTCCGCCCGTTCTCATGCTTCATGCAGTGCTCACAGCATTTGAGGCTCATGAAATTCTCCCACCAGCAAGAGCTTATTCATACTGCCTTTGAATTTCTGGGGCCATTTTAAATCAAAGAGCCCCCAAACATTTCCATAGAGTTGTTTTCAACTTATTTTCATACCTCCCTGGAAGATGGAAAGTGGGAGCTGAAACTATTGCAAACTAGGAAACTTAGGGCCCAAGAAGAGAATAAATCCAGAATCTGACCCCTTCTCTTCATTTCCACTACCCTGGTCTGAGCCTCTGCCTTCTCCTACCAGGGAACTTGCAGTCACCTCCTAATGGGTCTCTCGGCTTCCACCCTTGAGCTTCCTGCTGCCTCAGCCAGCATGATCCTCGGGTTACGTTATTCTTCTGCTCAGAATCCCACAGTGGGCTCTCATCATGGGTGAAAATCCTTAAAACAGCCTACAAGGCCACACATGGTCTGTACCCCACCCCTGCTTCTCCGGCCTCATTGTGCATTTTTCTCTCCCAACTCCTCCCACTGGCCTCCTTGCATCCCTGAGACTTACTAGGCATCCCCTTGTTGTCTTGGCCATTCCCTCTGCCTGGATCACTTTTGATCACTGAAACCCCACTTCAAATCTTTGTTGTAATGTGCCCACAATAAGGCATACCCTGAATACTCTACTTAAAACCGCAATGCCCTTCCCCCATCCTGATCTCCTTACCCCATGCTATTTATTCTGTAGTGCAGAGTATGTACTTATCACATTCTGAAAGATCATATAATTTACTTATGGAGTTGAAGAGATTTAGAATTCTGCCTTTCAGTAAAATTAGACAATGAATTCTGTGCATAACATGGGTTGAATAGCAAAGCTTCTGAGAAAAGGCGACCTGATGAACACCCTCCTTAAACTCTCCTCACTTTCTGAGCCATCCCTTTGGCATTTTCCTTGAGGTCAGGGATCAGACATCATTACTTGAATCCCCTACGAGTTTCGGCTTTTCTGCTGGTACACACTCAGTAGGCGTTGGTGGACTTGAGAGGAACTGAAATTGCCACTGCTCCTGAAGAGAACAAATAACCAGGAACTTGCAGATTAAAGGATGAAGGTAGATTTTTTTAGGGTGTCCTAATAAACGGACCAAGCCCAGAATCTCACCCACATGATCTTGCAGGCTTTTGCTCAAGGGACTTTGATCTTAAGCTCAGTATTTTCCAGTAGGTGGTCTGCTCGCAAACTTATTTGCTTTTAATCAAGACCTGCCTGTGAGAACTATTAATTCAGATGATCTAATCAAAACCACACAGGAGGCTTTAATGATGCTACTCTGCCCCTGCTTCTCCCCCTCCCTCCACCATGACACTCTGATTCCGTTTAAAGAAGCCCAAATGTGGTTTCAGGGCCTTGGAGAAAACTGCTGGAGGAAGGCCAGCCTCACAGCCTTTTGTCATGTATGCCTCTGGTTCTTTTCTGACTAGAACTCTCCAAGCAAACTCATTTGAAGAGTCCACAGACCATTCTTCCTTCTGATCTGTGTATCTTCTCTCAAGGAATCACCCCAGCCTTAATATGAAAGTTATCATTTTTTTTTTGATATAACTAAAAACCCCTTAGAAGCAGTATGGCCTAGTGAGAGGAGTGCAGGGTCTCATGGCTTGCTGACTGACAGGCTGTGTGGGTCTTGGAAGAATAACGTGAGTTCCCAGAACATCAGTTTGCTCATCTGCAAAATGGGGAATTACAGTCCACAATTAATAATTCACTCGACATTTGGAATATGTATTATAAGGGAAAGCATAGGGTGTTATGAAAGCATGAAATAGTGGGATCTAACCTTGTTGAAACAGGCAGAGTGGGACTGGGGGTTGTCAGGGACAACTTTCTTGAGAAGGTAAGTTTGAGATGGGTGTTGATAGAGGGTGAGTTTTAAGTAGGCCGAGTCAGCACCTTGGTCCCCCTTCCTTTATATTCATGTACCAGCTTGATCTCCTGGGGAAATGTGAGAAGTGTTCTGGAGAAGCATGGAGGTTTAGAGCCACCGTGAACCTCAGAGCACATTATGTAGCCCACCCTGTCTGCCCTCACTCTTCTCAGTATTGCCAATGAAGGCAGTGGCGCCCACGAGCTAATGTGACTTCCTCATACCCCTCAGCTGATGAGCAACAGAGCTGGGACTACAGGACATAGCCATCTTTGTCCCTATTATGTGCCAGACATACGTCTAGCACCCTGCGTACTTGATATTGAATCTGCACTAGCAACTCTATGCAGTACGTATTATTATTACTTCTTGTTTACAGATGAGGAAACAGAGGCCCCGGGAGGGTAGGCACCCCTGTAAAGGTCATACGGTTCGGGAAAGAGTCAGGATTTGGATTCAGCCTGACTGCACAGCCCCCACACTCCTAATCACAGCATTGTCCTTCCCCCTGCCAGAAACTTGGTTTGCAGTATTTCTACTGAAACGTGACATTTTACCTGCCCTCATGGAGGTATGATCTTTTTGGAGAGAAAAGATAGCAACAATTCAACACAGACACCACACCAAAGGTTCTTGAGATGGAACAGAATGCAGGCCCCAGGGACTCAAAGTCATTTTTCAGCATGGGAAGACTTGGCACCGAGTCTGTATCACAGGATGAGCAGGGCTGTGCAGAGAAAACCCAGAGGACTGGAGGGTGGGCTTTGGGAGGAGCAAGTCAATTTATCTCTTGGGCTTCATTTTCCTCATTGGGAGCATTGAGGAAGAGTAAGGGTGGGAGGGAGGGGTGGGTTGGCAAATGTTTTCCCAAGTCCCTGGGGTTGGTGGGTGGAGTTTAAGCCAATTGCTGATGGCTTTGCCACCAGGTGGCAAAGTTTAGACTTTGTCTAGAAGAAGTGGGGAGCCATGAGGGGTTTTGAGCAGTGGGACATGAAAGTATTGCTTTGGGAAGTTGGAATCCAGGAGGCTTTTATCTTCCAGTCTTGCTTCTCTGGAGACTGATGTCCCAAGAGAACATGCCTGGCCGCTTAGCTCCGTGGAGTTTATGCTCTGGGAGACCCTGATGGGGAGATCCTCATTTCGACTGGTCACATTAATACTACTTTTCGAGTGTGAAAGGTTGAGTCAAGGTTTGGACTTCTGGCAGGTTCTCGCCTTTGGCTGGTGTTCCGCCTTTGAGATGGTCCCACTACTTTCACTCAGCGTCCCTACCCCACACACATCTCCCCCTCTACACAGACACTAAGGGCTCCTCATGGGGTTTCATTATTGGTTTTTAGCGGATGTTCCTCTAACTCGGTGCATTTCCTCAAGCCAACGTCTATTCCACTATCATGGGGAAATTAATATAGAAATTTCCTCCTTTGTATCATCAATTTCAGAGGATGTATGTTCCCGGCTGATGGCCCTCCCCTCTATTTGCATAACAGCAGGTAAACAATACTGCCACCTAGTGGGAGCTCAAGGTGTGACCTTCGGAGCTCCTCCTCCTGACCCCGGGACATTATTTCTATTACTGTTAATATTTAAACTAATGGGCAGTTCTGAGCTCAGTGCTCTTCCCAGTGAGTGGATCCACGTGGATTTTCACGTCTCCTTCTCATTCTCTTAAAACTTGGAGTTACAAGTGTCAGAGAAGCTGTTTTGTGTACGCAGAACGATTGAAACAGGTGCAGGGAGTTTTACCTACTTTACTTTGACTTTTGCTCACAGCAGTCCAGGTAGGTAACTGGATTCCCGTTTTATACGTGAGGAAACCCAGGCTCAGTAAGATTAAGTAACTTGGAACTTTACTGAGCACCTAACGTGCCCAACTACGTCCTGGACTACCTAGGTAGTATGGGGATTGTGGCCTGTTTTCCTCTAAGAATGCGCTGTCCAGACACAGTGGCAAGGCGTAGTTAGCTCCTGGCCAACTTGTAGAGGAGAGGAGAGACCCTTGCACACTGCAGTAGTGCAGCAAGACTGCTTGGATGGAAGAAGTGGGTCTGGAGCTAGGATTCGAAAGGTGGCATGGGAAGAGAATGTTTGGCGGATGAAGGCACAGAGGCGGCGCTAGTGCTAGGGATGTCCGGGGGCGAGGAAAGACTTGCTGATCTTGGGCTGTGCCAGGTGTTGTGGGTTGAGGGGTCTGGGATACAGAGCCTGCGAGAGCTAGGTTGAGAGCTCCAGGGAGTCACTGCGACTACTTCCTTGCTCCATTTGTGAACTGAGAAGTAAGACTCGTTTGATGGACGAAATTTAAATAATGCAGAAATATATTAAAGTAAAAAAAAAAAAAAAAGAGAAAATCTCCTACCAGGCCTATTCTCCCCCAGAAAACATGATTAATAGTTAAACGTTTGGGGTACATGCTTTCAGAAGATTTTCTTTGCCTGTATATAGATATATATGTCTATTCAAGTATATAAAAATTAATACATGCATATGTAGTGTGATTTATTTTAATAGGGTTATGTTTTAACTATTATTTTATAATTTCCTTGTCATCAAAAATTCAAAAATATATCACAGTCATCTTTTAACTTAAACCTTTTACTATGGAAAATTTTAAACATATGCAAACCTAGAACAGTATAATAAATCTCCCTCAGCTTCAACATTTATCAATACATAATCAATTTTGTTTTCTCCCTACCTCACTCCATAGGTTCTCCTGAACTGGATTATTTTAAATAAAGCTCCAGACATCATACATTGCATCTGTAAATACATCTGTATCGATCTCAAAGACACTTTTAAAACATATATAACCACAGTGCCATTATCACATTAAAGAAACCTGTATTCTTTCATATCATCAAATAGCTAATTAGTGTTCAAATTTTTCCACTTGTCTCATAAACTTTGAACAGCTGATGTGCTTGAATGATGATTCAAATAAGGTCTATACGTTGCATTTGAGTGCTGTTTTTTATGTCTCATTCCATTCATAGATTTCTACTCCCTCCTTTTTCTTTTTTTGTTTTTGCCATTTCTTTTTTTGTTGAAGAAACTAGTCATTGTCCTGTAAAGTTTCCCACATTTTGGATTTTGCTGATTGTATTCCCATGGTGTCTTTTAACCTGTTCCTCTGGCCCTATATTCCTTGTAAACTGGTAATGAGTTCTAGGTGCTTGAGCAGAATTAGATTTGATTTCTTGGCATAAAGATGGGAGCTTCTTAGGCAGGAGAATGAGGCGACCAAGAGCCAGAGTGGTGGGATTGAAGAAAGAAGGACACATCTCACTGGCCTCCCCAAGCAATCCCTTTCACTTGTCTTTCGAGGCACATGTGAGAGACAAAGGGGGCACCCCAAACCTCTGTAGGGTTGGCCTCAGGGATGCTCAGTTTCCAGGGGGTCACATCTCAGAGCCTTCCATGGGTGGCCCACCCAATCCCACCATCTGGTCAGCCAGGGTTGCTCAGTAACTTGTTCTCATGATGAGTGGAAGTCATAGCTTCCTCCTCTCATTGTGGTTTCACATTTGCTTTCTTCCCTTCTTATAACATGTTTCTATTTTCTAAAATATCACAAAAATGCTGTCTTTCCAATTCTCAGCTAGCTCATCCCGTTGACACTGCTGAGCCACTGAGGACAGCTTAACTGTCTCAGCTCAGAGCCAGGAAAAATTTGGACAGTGTTTGCAGAAATTGCCAGGGCTCGTGAAATGCTTTACATATTGTATCACAAGCTCCTGAGGAAGAATCACTTAATTTAGAAATCAAATGACTAGGCCGGGCATAGTGGCTCAAGGCTGTAATCCCAGCACTTTGGGAGGCTGAGGCGGGAGGATCACTTGAGCCCAGGAGTTCAAGACCAGCCTGGGCAACATACGGAGACCCCCCCATCTCTACAAAATAATAATAAAAAAAAAAGCCTGGTGTGGAGTATGTCTGTGATCCCAGCTGCTTGGGAGGTTGAGGTGGGAGGATTGCTTGAGCCCATGAGGTTGAGGCTGCAGTGAGCCGTGATCGCACCATTGCATTCCGGCATGGGTGACAGAGCATGACCCTGTCTCAAAACCAAAAAGAAATCAAATTACTACCTCTGACTCCTGCTTACCACCCTATCGCAGGGAGTCCAACCTCAGCCCTGTTTTTCTTAAATGATCATATTCAGTTCTTCAGTATCTTTGATTAGTCTCCCCTCCCCCTACCTTAATGACAATTTGTTTGTTATTTTCTATTAATCAAAATTTGCAGTTGCAAGTGTCAGAGGGGCTGTTCTGCATACAGGCAGAACCTTTGAAACAGGTGCAGGGAGCTTTACTCAGAACAAGAGATGCTCATCACCAGCAGCTGATGCAGGGCCTCCACCCGCGCCCGCCCCCCGGCCCCCGACATGATATTGGAACAGCTACATCTGATAATGTAGTTTGCTGTGTGGTCTGATCTCTGTGAAATATTTGCTTTTCTTTAGGCTTTCAGAAATATTCAAAATAGCTTCTCATTATCACTTTCCTAAACTCCTGTGGTGTCTAGGACACCACAGTGCGGGGTTACTTCTGTTAGTTATTAGAATCATCAATTTCATTGCTAGAGGGGACCACAGAAGCCACCCTGGTCCAGGGTCCTGCCTCATCCATCCCTCTTCAGTCTACTCACTTGAAAAACAAATTACCTGAATCCTAGACAGGTTACATCCTTTCTCAGGACCAATAGATAATAAATGGAGGTGAGGTTTGAGCCTCGTTTTTGGTTATGAGTTTTATCAAAATTATTTTATTTTTAAATAATTCATCTACAGAGAGAAGAAAGCTCAAATTAAGGGCCAGCCTTCATAGATGCAGTCCGTGAAAGTGTTTCTCCTTAAGTCTGTCTTGTAAACTCTTCGGAGCTGAGCTAAGAAAGGGATACTTTCTCAACTCCAAGCTATCAGTGCTTTACCAAGCCTCCTCTCGTCCAGGCCCATCTTCCGACTTGACCCCAGCAAGTGCCCATTTCCTGGGAATGAATGTTGATTTTAGAGACTGTCCTTAGGTTTTTTCAGGGAGGCAGTATGGTGTCACAACACAAACCCCAGACAGACTTGGGTTCTAATCCCAAGTCCCCACTTGATTAGCGAGGTGGTGTTGGGTTAGTCACTTCGATTCTGATCCTCCATTTCCTTATCTTTAAAATAGGCCGAGAGTCCCCATCCCAGGTTATTCCTGACTGTGCATCTCCAGCCGGTGACATATCCCACACGCGTCATAAATGGTTGCTATTGTTCCTGTGGGAAGGCAGAGTTGAATCTAGCCTCTAGGGAAAAGAGGATGGGCAAGACCTAAGATAGAAAGCCAGTGTTTCCAAGATAATGTACCCTTGTGTTTGACCCTCAGATTTGGGAAAGATGGTTGTTTTTTATGAACTGTCCACTTTTCTTCCTCACCAGCTAGAAACTGAGTTGAGATAATCAACCCTCTGTCAAACAATCTATACACACACACAACTATATATATATACACACACATACACACACACACTCACACACACACACCCAGAAAAGGGGAAAAATACTCAGCAAAGCTCTATCCACATGTTGGCATGTGATTTCTGGAACTTTGTCAGCCAGTTTTCTCGTGTCTGAATCCAGAAAGCAAACTGGGTTGGAGACAGTTCACGAGAAACATCCCCTCAGATGACCTACTCAGGTACTTCCTCTATATTATTTCATTACTTTTTTGTCCTGATGAATTTTGCTCTTACAGTTTCAAGATAATCAATTTATTTTCATGCGCCTTCCCCGTCCAAATTGGATTATGAATATAAATAGCCATGTGCTGGCCCCAGTGGCCAGTGTGCACTCCCAGGCTGGTGCTTGGCAGACTGGGTCCTGGGGAAGGCTTGGGCTGTTTGTTTATTTTCAATTGAAGCTCTAAATGCTGGAATGACTTCCAGCTCCTTTACGCACAGCCATCTCAAAACTCCCTTTGTTCCCTGGTTGCAGAGGCCAAATACTCAGGGTTTTCTTTAGCTATGGTAAGAATGCCGGTGCTCTGGGCATCATCCTGCTGGTGGCTGTCCTGTGGTGAGCCTTTTTATATAAAAATCACTGTGTGCACTTGTGCACACATAGACCCCCACCCACCGAAGGCTGCACCCTGTTGGTTTTCTTTCTAGGAACAGGAAAAGCACCACTGGGTAATGTCATAAGGGAAATAGGACGGAGTCTCAGGTCAGGAACTGCAGTCATCTCCTTTGCTGGGTTTCAGCATTTCCCTCCTTGGGAATCTACTTCTATCTGCAGGTTTTTTATACCTTATGTTCACCTTTGGTTGTATGGAAGTCGTTCTCTTACTGTTTAATCCAACCTCCAGTGACAGAAGTAGAATTAACTAAAACACAAGTTAGGCTCCATGCTAGCCAAGAACTCAGTTTTTCTTGGTCTGCAGATGAGGGGATGTTCAGTATCCTAACCTGTTCTCTGGTCACAGGATGGTGTTTCTCTGGGTGTGGCTCACGAGCCTCCCATCTTAGAATCTTCTAGGAGCCGGGAAGTGTGCAAGCTCTAGAGCCCTACTCCGGACTTGTTGAATCTGAATGTGTAGTGCTGGGGCTCAGGACCTGTGATAGGAAAGTCACAGAAAGCATAGATCTGTCTGAAGAAACTGCTGCAGCCTCCATTCATTTCTTTCTTCATCTTCCAGGCCATGACTTCGAACTTTGTTAGGATCCAACCTGCAGGGAGATTTCATGTCAGTTCAGTCACACACACACTCACCCACTAGCATCGCTGTATCCAATATCTTCTCTGGATGTCAGGAGAGCTCTGTGCTGGCGCTCAAGGACCTCAGGGTCTAGTTGAAGGAATGAAGTGTGCTCATATTAAAAGAAAAGTAGCAATGCAAAGCAAAGAAGGCCAAGTGCAAATGTGCAGTGTAAACTTGATTTTAAGGGAGGGGAGAGGCTTTGGCCTTGGCCAGGATCCCAAGGAAGGAGCTGAAGACATGGAATTGGAGGCAGTGAGAAAGGTGGTCTTTGCAGAGGGAGCAGTGTTGACAAGGCCCCTGTAGGCGTGAGGGCCACTTGCGGGTGAGGTGTGGAACCGAACCTGCCAAAAAAGGAAGAAGTGGGCTGGCTGTGAATCTAGGAGAAGACTTACATTTGGAGAGCTTAAAAGATAATCAGATTAATTGGGATTTGCCGGAGAAACTTTGGCAAATCAGTGCTATAATCAGCTTCGTGTTGGGATTTGCAAAGTCGGAATCCAATTTCCTAATTTGATGTCTTCCCAGTTCATGGTGCCCCAAATTGTAGATCTCATCCCATTAGAGGGTTAGAGGGTCTAGAGAAGATTTTAGATAAAGTAAGAACAGGGCATCTCCTAGCTTTTTGTTTTTTTTTAAACAAACCTTTTTATTTTGAAAAATTTCAAACACTTACAAAAGTATAACATGAGCAGAACTTTGATTTAACAGTGATGAAGCTACGCCTGTGAGCCAATAATATGAAATTCAAAAACAGAAAAAAATGAACCTATGGGGATAGAAAGGAAAATGGTGGTTGACTTTGGTTGGGTACTTGACTGTGAAGGAGAAGGGGAGAACTTTCTGGAATAATGATAATGTTTTTTGTCTTTATTGGAGTATATGTGATTTGTCAAACTCAGCAAACTGTACACTTAAGATCTGGTACTATACCTCAAAAATATAAAGGTATTTCTTATCCTTTTCCTCTAATTTTCTTTCAGTCCTTCTCATCAAATCAAAGAGAAACTCTCAGCTTAGGGCTAGAGTGTCATTACCATCTCTCTAATACTTATCACCCTCTTCACACAGAGGCAGAGGGCCTTAGCATGATATTATTTCATTTTCATTGCATTAAAAAATACTATGGCCAGTGAATCTAATTTTCTTAAGTTGTATTATAGCATTTTTCTTTTAAAAGAAAATTATTTAAGAAAAAAAGAGGCCAGGCACGGTGGCGCACACCTTTAATTCCAGCACTTTGGGAGGCTGAGGCGGGCAGATCACTTGAGGTCAGGAGTTAGAGACCAGCCTGGCCAACATGGCGAAACCCTGTCTCTACTAAAATTACAAAAATTAGCTGGGTGTGGTGGTACACACCTGTAGTTCCACCTACTCAGGAGGCTGAGGCAGGAGAATTGCTTGGACCTGGGAGGCAGAGGTTGCAGTGAGCCAAGATCATGCCACTGCACTCCAGCCTGGGTGACAGATGAGACTCCCTCTCAAAAAAAGAATAAAAAAAAAAAAGAAATGTAAGTGGTAAACATATATGGTGAAAGCTGGAGGCAGTGCATGACTGGCAGAGGTTTGAGAAACGCTGTAGAAGGGGAGCTACTACTTCAGGTGTCCCTGTGGGATGGATGAGGACTCTTGCTGAACACGATCTGTTCTTCTGACTGGGCATCACTCAGGCATCCTATGTAGCACCTGGTTTTGTTTTCCAAACTTATGGTGACCACTACCCTCAGAGCCAGTGGCACTGAGAGATGCTGGTCAGGGTTAGGGGATCTGTGGTGAACTGGAGACCACTCAACCCAGGCCGAGGAAGCACAACAGATGGGAGTGCTCCTATGACACCAGGAGGCCAAACTCGAACCTCTGCCTCACATGCAGCACCGGGCAGACTGAGCTGTTGGAGTAAGATGGAGACAGCAGGGATGGCTCGTTGCCTTGAAACCTCTCCCTTAGGCACCTGCTGCTGAGACCCAGAACCTTCCTAGGGTTCTGCTGCAGTCATGCTGCCTCAGCGCTGCTGAGGGGTCTAGAGTCTCACAGCCCTGCTGGGTCATCGTGGGGGTGAATAGATACCTGCTTCTCTCCAGGGACCTATGGCCTTCCATAGGCACCTGCTGGGGATCTTTATTTGAAATGAGCAATGTATTATTAGCAAGGGGCATTGATTGCAGTCTGCCAGTGACTTATTTATCCCCCGTGCTGCTTCTTGCTCTCCGGTTTCCAGGGAGTGCTGGGCTTTCCAGGTTGCCTGTCCAGCGTCTCTGTGTCTCCCTGGCCTGGCCACACAGTAGAATTCATCCCAAGTTTCCAGGAGGAGTTACAATGAAGAGACAGTTCAAGTGACAGTTGCTGTTTAACCGCCTCATCCGTGGGGTTCCAAGAAAACTGTGACATCAGTGAAGTTTGTATTCCCTACCGCAACTTCCGTTTCTGTACCCACCCACTCCCTCTCTTTCTGGCTGCTCCTAGTATCTGCTTTCAGCCATTTTATCTTTAGTTTCCATCTGCACACTACCTAATTCACTTCAACAAGACCTGAAGCAGACAGGCCCCACTAACAGGAACAGGACAGGCCTTAGGGGCCTTCAGACCTTGGCACTGGAGGTTCAACTGGGAAGACAGAGTATTTTGTATGAGATTCAGGGGTGGGAGTGAGGGGGCAAGGGTTTAAGTTTATTATCAAGGAACAGCAGCAAACCTTACTGGGGGTTCACCCTGTGCCAAGCAGGCTCTGAGTGCTGTGTACAGCCTCTTGGCCACCTAATCCTCCAACAGTTCAGTGAGGTAACCACTACCCTCACCCCCGTTTTACAGAGGTGGAAACCGAGGGTTTAGACAGCTGAAGTAACTTGCACAAAATCACATGGCAATAGTAGAGATGCGATTCAAACCCTAGGGAATACGATTCCAGAACCTCACTGTTAACCAGGAAGCTGGTGTTTCTCAAACTCGCCTGGTGAGTCACTTGAGGCTTTGGTTCAAGTCGGGATTTCCCATCGGTTTCCCCTGGATCCGATGATCCTATGGGTTTGGGAATCTGCACATTGAATAGAGACCCTGAGTGAATCTTATCTGCTGGTGGATGTGGGAAAATCTACACTTGGCCATTTGGAAGTGAGGTGTCCCCCCAAGCTGGGAGGAGCGTGGCTGTAGCTGGCAGCCCTGCTGGGGGCGCTGAGCTTCTCAACAGGAGCTGGTGATAGCTGGAGCTGAGTGCAGGCTCGGAAGCTTGACCAAAACGGGATTCCAGGCACAGGAACTCAATGATCACACCTAGATAGTTTTGGGGGTGGATTTGGAGAACAAATAGCCTAGTAGGATAAAATGTGATGAGGGAGAGGGAGAGACAGAGACAGAGAGAGAGAGAGACACAAAGTCAGAGACATCTGAGCTGAATAGCAGCTGAGAGGCCCCTGACCAGTCATCACCTCTGGGCAATGCTGGCCACAGAATGGGACTGAGCCTGCAGGTGCGTCTGGGGAGGGGAAGTTCAGTTGTAGGCAATGGAGCCAGGCAGGTCTTTTCCAGATGGTTTCCTAAACAGGTGTTTCATGGGAACCTGATGAGAGGGAGGGGTGACAAGACTCATGCTATGGAAAGCCCTTCAACCAGGGGTATCCCATTTTCTCTTTATAATATATTTGGGTTCCATATAAGATTTCATCTGGAGAGGGGAAAGATATTGAAAACGACAAGGCTTACCGTATCAACAGAAGAGACCTGACAACTTGGCTCAGGGTTCGCGATACAGGTATTAACCATCCCATGGATTTTTGCATCTAAAGAAAGTGTCTGGGTAGTGGGATGTATGACCTCAAGGGATGAAGTTCTCAGCAAGGAATTGCAGGCCTGGAGATCCTGTGCAGGGGAGTGATATGTAACCAGCGGCCCATCCAGAGCATTGCGATCCTGCCAGCCACAGAGGCTTCTCACTGCTCTCCCTTTGTCTTAGCTGTCTCTCATGTTAGGTTTTCAATGAAAGCTTGGAGTACCCTGTGTGTGCCTAGAAACCCTGAAGGTCAGGATCGTTCAATAATATTCTCCCCCATTTCAGGCCTCACCGTGTTCTGACTCTGAGAGGGACAGGATTTCTTCCTGGTCAAGCCGAAACTTTTCCTGCCAAAGTGTCTCCTACTGAAGTCTGTGGCTACTTGGGATTCTCAGGGCATGGGTTGTTCTGGGTGACTGCAATTTCCAAATAGCTAAAGGCGTATTCCTTAAACTACACTTACCTTTTATTATTACTATTTTGGATGGAAGTCATCACCCCTATTTCAGCTTTCATAAAATGGTTATAATGAACATAATTTAACTCATCCTTGGTGACTCTGGGCTTTTCTTAGGAGCATCGGTAATGTTGCTATGCAGTGGCACGTTGATGTTCACAGAGCCATTCTGGATACATCAAGGTGTTTGTCCCTTCATTAGAGAATCCTGACTCCAGTGTTTTTACGTGCAGTGTCTACTTACTTCAGTTTTTCTGTGTCTTCTCTATCAGCACTCACTTCTCATTGCAATCAGGGGGCCTGCTTCTACACAGCCTCTCTCATCCTTTCTACCTACCCCTCCATTGCCTCTAATTTACTTGATTCTGATCAGCTGTTGGTTTAGAAACCAGATAAGTGATCTTGTTTCAACAGTGCATGAAATGAAACAAGCTTTTCATGAGGACCAGAGGGACACTCCGTCTGAAAGGGATGTATGTGGACATTATAACATCAAATCTAATTCTCTATTCAGATGCCTTTATTACTTACTTTCTGTCTAAAGTAGGCAAAGTAGTGCTATTCTCGGGATTTTTAGGTCTGAAGAAATATATGAAGATACATTTCCTGATTCTTTAGCTTCATATGTTTAAGGATAGGTCAATCAGAGAAGGGCATTGACTTACACCATTGGTCCTCAACTCTGGCTGAATATTCAAATAATATTCAAATACCAGAACCTAGTCCTACCCCAGACCAATTAAATCAGAATCTTTGGAGATGTGTCCCATGCATTTTAATAACTCTCCTTGGGATTCTAATGTGCAAGCAAGGTGGAGAACCACCCACTTAGACCCTCGCAAAACCACCGCACTGAAGACTTGTGTCTTTTAAGACAGATGACAGGTTCTTGGTGGGGGAAGGTGGCTCATGCCTATAATCCCAGCACTTTGGGACGCTGAAGCAGGAGGATTGCTTGAGGACAGGAGTTCAAGACCAGCCTGGACAACATAGCAAGATCCCATGTCTACAAAAGAAAAGGTGCCTCTGGATTTTGTATAATAATGTGATAACTCAGAAATTTGTGTACAGAGACCATAAGATTGACCATATTATTTAATACATTTATTAAAATACTGTTCACAGTTCATGCATTTATTGCATGTCTTCTTTCACTGTGCTAATGTGTATGTTTGACAAAAGCCTAGGACCATAGTGAGACCTTGGCTCTACAAAAATTTTTTAAATCATATGGGCATGTAACTCATCACTGTAACTCCAGTGGAGCATAGCTCCTGCCTGTGGTCCTAGCTACTCAGGAAGCTGAGGCAGGAGGATTGTTTGAGCCTAGTAGTTCAAAGCTGCAGTGAGCTAATGATCATGCCACTGCACTCCAGCCTGGGCAACAGAGTGAGACTGTCTCTCTGGTTGGGGGAAAGGGGGGAAAGACAGGGATTCTCAACCCTCAGCCCTGGCTGTCCTTAAGAACCATCTGGAAGAGCTAGGAATCATTTGAAAATACCCCTGCCACCCATTTTTAATGAGCAGTCAGGGCTGAGAATCACAACTTTAAGATATTTTGCCTGTAATTAATATTTATATTTTAAATCTACATTTTCTGAGAAGCTCGGAATTTTAAAAAATGTATTAGTATCTTTCTGAAGATAATGAAAACTTGTGTCTTTAGATTAGCTTTACATATCTGACACCTAAATGGTAGTGTTCATTCATATTGATAGGATAATGAAGGAAAGAAGAGCTTTGATCAAACGCCTGGGACACCAAAGATTTATCTCTGGTCCCAAGAGTGGAAATCTCGAGAGTGGCCCTGAATTACAGAGCTGGCAGGAGCTCACAAGTGGTTTGTGGAAAGATCAGCTCTTTTGTGATGGCTCTTGGGACAGACAGTTCCTGTGTAGCCAGCTCTTCAGTATTGTCTACCGTGCATTTTGTAGTTGCAAAAATGCACATATGCATAAATGAGAGCATCCTTCAGCCTTTGGATGAAATGTGCAGCTGAATGAGGAATGCTGAAGAGATCATCAATGCCACCAAATCCTCCAGTGTTGTATGAAAGCATCAGTTTCAACCGAGATTCAGGGGAAAAGATAATATGAAAATGTGTCGAGGGTGGCAGCACGTGGGAAAACTTGCAGGATGCGCTGAGAAAAACACACACGTGTGTTCCAGTCTCACTGATTTGGAGCCTCAAATCTGCTAATAGGGCCTGTGATATTTTTAGCCTTGTTATCAGAGCGTAGAGCAAGTTTTCAAGGCTTGTAGGATGTATCTATTAAAATAACCTATGTGACTGAGTGGCTGCTCTCTATAACATTTTTGTTCCACTGAAATACAATGAGAGGAAATGGGGCTGCAGGAAATGGCCATTCTGTCAGAGGACCCAAAGCACACAGGGCCAGTCCAGTATTTACACACATTCTGGCCATTGTGCTTGCAACCTTGGGTAACCCTTCACGTTTTTCTTCTCCTTTTTCATCTTCTTCAGATTTTGAAGGTTATTCGGCTTGAGAAGGGATGTACTATGCTCTGGGAAATTGATTTGTGAATACACTTTGTATCTGTTTCTGCACAATCCTTGGAAGTTTTCAAGGCTGTTGATTCTCTAACAAGTAGCTGACAGTATGAACTTCTGGTCCTGATGATGGTGCTGGTGGTGGTAAGCGGGGAATGTGGTGGCACAACTATCAGACACCTGAGGCCCGTACCTGATTAAGGACCTCTAGAAAGGCGTGTAGGCCTCCCACAGAGGCCAGGCCAGCGTCTCCAGACCTTTGAAAAGGGAACAGAGCAGGCATGTGTTCCAGCCCCTCCACCTCCGCACAAACGTCTGCAGTCTACAGCCAGCTCACTTTGGTGAAGAAGGGAAGGTTTTGTGTAGAGGTCTCTGAATTGGCTGGTAGAGGTGCCTCTGACTGGTCACGGGGCTTGGGGACTAGGGATAGTTTCTGTGCCCTGCTGAACCTCCTCATTCCCACCTAATCAGCCCCTTTAAGTCCTTTTTACATATTGAGCTTTCTGGTAAAGAGGTTCCTGCTGTCCAAAGATTGAAACCAACTAAAAATAACAGAACGCGAGAGATGGAAAAGACTGTAAGGCAAGCTCTCTGGCTTTCAGTGGGGAAAGCTATAGTGAGCACGTGGGGGTCCTGGTCCAGAGTCCCTTTACCCATGGAGCCCCAAGAGCAGGCCCTACACCCGCTGGGCCTTGCCCCCTTCTAGTTTCAGGCTACCCTGTGGGCCAGCAGGCTCAGCATTACACTGTATTTGTATAATTCCCTATGTCCTTTCCTTCCATATCCTCTTTCTTTTAGTTCTTTTCTTTCTTTTAGTTCTTTCTTGAAGAATGGGGTCAATTGATTGATCTTGAGTAAACAAATAGTAGCCTGAGTGAATACCTGCAGAATTAAATTCTGATAGCTTATTTCACTCTAGAATCTTTATGGGTAGCTGCGCAAAGTGGTGTACTTTCCTTAAAGACAGCCTTTCCTTGATGCTGGGTTAATGCGCTCCTCTCTGCCCTTGCTGGTGCTAAAGGGTCACTGAGGCTCAGATGCTCACTGCCATCTGTAACTCCAGTGGAGCATAATGGTCAGGAGCACGGGCTTTGACCCCAGCTCTCTCAATGAGAATCCCGGTTCAAATACATTTGACCCACAGGACCTCTCTGGGTCTCAGTTTTCTTATCCCTGGAATGAGGATAATGGCACCTGTTCCACGGGGTATTTGTAAATGACCACATGCCTGTAGTGCTTAGTTGACACACAGTGTTTTAGTCCATTTAGTGTTACTCTAACAGAATAGCTAAGGCTGGATAATTTATAAGGAAAAGAGCCTTGCTTAGTTCATGGTTCTGCAGGATGGCAAGCTCCAGAAGCCTGGTGCTGGCATCTGCTTGGCATCTGGTGAGGGCTTTCGTGCTGTGTCACAACATGGCAGAAGGGCAAAGGGGAAGTGGTGCAAAGAGGCCAAACCTGAGGGGTGTCCTGGCTTTTAACAACCCAGTCTCACCAGAAGTAATCCAGTCTCCCCAGAGCAAGAACTCACTACCATGAGAATGGCACCAAGCCATTCATGAGAGATCCATCCCCATAACCCAGACACCTCTCATGAGGCCCCACCTCCCAACACCACCACACTTGGGATCACATTTCAACATGAGTTTTGGCGGGGACAACTCAAATCATAGCATACGATGAGTGCTCAGTAAATGCTAAGCTATTGTCAGTGGTCACTTTCCATCCCTACCCCAAACACAAAGCTAGAGAAGGGTGCCCTTCCCACCCTTTCCCTTCTATCAGCTTGTTCTGGTGGCTCTAACACGCAGGAGAGATGCTGGCCGAGGGTGGCTTCTGCTGCCTGGTGCTCAAGTTCCTGTCCCACTTTTACTGCTCACTAACTGTGTGACTCTGGATAATCTACGTAGCCTCTCTGTGCCTGGGTTTCCTGCCTTGAAAGATGGGGTTAAGGAGAGTTTCTTTCTTCAAGGACTGGTT
Source organism: Homo sapiens (assembly GCF_000001405.40). Lineage (NCBI taxonomy): Eukaryota > Metazoa > Chordata > Mammalia > Primates > Hominidae > Homo > Homo sapiens. The sequence continues at coordinate 45,792,719 of NC_000002.12, forward strand.
GTAGGATTAAATGAGATAATGCTTATTGTAAAAGTGCATCCATTTTGTCGTGAGCACTGATAAATGGTAGGTGGTATAATTAATTAATTTTTTTTGTTGAGACAGAGTCTTGCTCCATCACCCAGGCTGGAGTACAGTGGCACGATCTCGGCTCACTGCAACCTCTGTCTCCCGGGTTCAGGTGATTCTCCTGCCTTAGCCTCCAGAGTAGCTGGGATTACAGGCACCCGCCACCACTTCTGGCTAATTTTTGTATTTTTAGTAGAGACGGGGTTTCACCATGTTGGCCAGGATGGTCTCAAACTCCTGACCTCAGGTGATCTGCCCGCCTTGGCCTCCCAAAGAGCTGGGATTACAGGCGTGAGCCACCCTACCCAGCCTAATTAATTTATTTGCCCTTCCTTGTTCCAGAATAGATTTAAGCAGGGCAGAGAAGAGGTGTTGAGTAAACAAAATGTCCTGGAAAGCTCTTTGCTGACTGAGAGAGAGCTGCAGAGGAGCCTTCCTATTTGTTGAATTTGGGCGAATGGGGAAAATGCAAAGCTCCCAATCCCCCAATTTCTCCATCTGTTTCCTGGGCTGCTGCTCTTCTTTCTCGCTTGTTCTCTTTCTTCTTCTGCTCTTGTGTGTTCCATGTTTGGTTAGACACTTCGGGGGAGGGAGGCAAGCTGAGAGGGGAAGAAAGAAGAAAAAATTATACCCAGACTCCCCCAAATCCTGCTCTTTGGAAACCCTGAGAGCTGACAGGTGTTCTATCTCGTTTGTCTGCAATGAAGATTACTGATGAATCCAAGCTGCAGGTTGTTTTTCTCTAGCAATGGTAAAGTATGTGTCCAAAAGCAACTCCAGACGGTGGCCTCAGCTTACTGATTTTCTCTCTGATGCTCTGGCCTTTGAGTTCTGTGTGAGCATATGTTGGGCAGTTAGCCAATTCCAGGTGTAGAGTTTTGTTTTCACAGCCATGATCAAGGCCAAACACCATACTTTGATCGAGGCCATCAGGAACCATCAAAAACAGCAACAATTGTTTAAATTTCCCCCTAGATATGTTTGGAACTGGGATCCGGGCTAAACCTGTGCTGGTGCTTGTCAAGGACAAGGACAGGGTCTCACACTGACTGGTGAACAGCCCTGTTACATAGCCAGGAACAAAGGACTCTGAGTCATGAGTGTTCACATTTTTTTTTTCTTGCTTGGTTCGGATTGGTTCTAGTTATTGGGATATTAACAGAAATGAAAAGGTTTAGATAAAATCCACAGCAATCCCACATCTCCATGCCTGAATCCCAGAGAGTATGATTCGGATTAGCCCTAAAACCTTGCCTTATTATCGTGGGGCAGCCGCCCTGGGACCCCAGCTAGAGAAGCAGGGAGACGCAGATGTTTCAGCTTGTTGCAAATGGAATTGTTGACCAGTCAATGCAGAACTCTTCCTCAGGAGTGTGGCATCATTGATTTATGAATTATGGCCCTTTTAAACTCTCTGCTTGCCTTCTCGGATATCGACGTTTTAAAAAGCGATTGCTCATGTGGATCCTTTTCAGAAACACATACACATGGCCCGAGATGAGCTCTTATGTCAGAGTAAATGGAGTGGCGCACTCTGGGCTGGCGTTTCCTTCGAATAATGAATTATTCAGGGAGGGATTTTTGTTTTTGAAAATGGCAAATGCATTGACGGGGCAGACAGGAAGGAATTACACTCTGGGCTGAGTACTTTCTTATCTTTCAAGGGAGGGGTTAACCAGCCTGGATGAAGCAGGGTGCCAATTCGTTCTCATTCCTGCGGTATTCTAGCACGGACCCTGATGCACGGCTTTCTGTGGTTTCAAGCGCCTGGGGAGGAACCTGGGCAAGGCTGTGGCAAGGAATCTCAGGAAGGGCATGGATCTCGCCTGACAGCCCCGTCTCTGGAGGGAGATGTGTGACAGTCTCTGACCACTCACTGCTTTTTCATTTTCCTTCTGAACATCTCTGACTTCCTTTCTTCCTCTCCCACTCCCAAGGTTGGACTGTTCGAATACAAGCCTCCTCCACTTCTAATTACTTGAAGTATTCATCAAAATGATAGACATCCTTTATTGATCACCTATAGAATCCTATGGGGGAGGGACAATTATTGCCCTACCCCCCCCCCCATCCACCATTTCTTTTTTTCTTAACGGGAGAAGAAACTGAACCTCAAACAAGTAGAAATGTCAAGATCACAGAGCTAATGAGAGCAGAGTGATTCAGACTCCGCTTCTGCTGTTGTTGGTTTGTTGCTGTTGTTTTCCACTCTTTCCTTTCATCTTTGTGCCACCCAGCCCTGTCTGTTCGAGGTACATGACCCCACCTTCTGAGGAGGTGAGGCCAGCACCTCTTCTCCTTCTTGAGGTCCCCCACGGGGGTTTCCAGAGACTGCAGCATCCATGCTGATGAGCCAGCCAGGGCCCCAGCCTCACAGTTTCTGGTCTTCCTTGGCATGGGCGTGTCGTGGAGTGACCAGACCTTCCACCTAGAGCTTTGACCCTGCCCTCAACTCTCCCACCACCCCGCACCACCACATCCATGCTCTGCTCTCCCTCAAACCTGAACCACTTGAACATTATTGTTATTATTTTTTTTGAGATGGAGTGTTGCTCTTGTCACCCAGGCTGGAGTGCAGTGGCGTGATCTCAGCTCACTGCAACCTCCGCCTCCCGGGTTCAAGTGATTCTCCTGCCTCAGCCTCCCGAGTAGCTGGGATTACAGGTGCCCACCACCACGCCTGGCTAATTTTGTATTTTTTTAGTAGAGATGGGGTTTCATCATGTTGGCCAGGCTGGTCTCGAACTCCTGACCTCAGGTGATCCACCCTCCTCAGCCTTCCAAAATGCTGGGATTACAGATGTGAGCCACTGCGCCCGGCCTGAACATTTTTAATTGCCCAGTCTATTCTGCTGCTCTCCATACTGGATTCTCCACCTGGCCTGAAGGTCATAGTCAGCTTCTTCAAACCACACAAACTGGCTCTGTGGGCCCTGGTTCCGTCAGCAGGGTGCTTCCTGGGATTGGCCACTATGTTCTTTGCCCCTTCTCATGTCACTGTCTGCTGGTCCTGCTCAGGTGGCCAGGAGCAGAGCAGAGCTCGGCAATGCTGTGAGACCCCCCGCAGAGTTGTCTTCTGCAGGTTTGCACAGCTTTTAGCATGACCTCCACTCCACCCAGGCTTGACAGCGCTTTTTCAAATTTCAAGCATTCAGAAAAGTTGAAAAGAATAGAAAATAAACACAGCTCATTATTTCTAAGCAATACTCCCATCCTCCATCTCCCTTCACTCTAAGCTTCTTTGCATTTCTTTGAAAGCAGTTGTTCTTCACACCTCTGTGCCTTTGCTCATGCTGTTCCTTCAGTGTAGAATGCCCTTCCCTGCTCTACTTGCTGAACTCCAGCTAATTCTTTGATGTCTTCTCCAGGTTCTCCATTCCCATGCCTGCCCCAGTTAGTTGTCTTATTCTAGGCTGACAAAATGTCCAGGTGTCGTTTGTATAACGTAGTAATTGATGATAGACTCTAGAGCCAGGCTGCCTGGCTTCAAACCCCAGCTCTCTCACTAGCTGTAAGAAACCTTGGACTGTTACTGAACCCTTTATGCATTAATTTTCTCATGTGTCAACCGAAGATAATAATAATTTCTACTTCTTAGGGATGTAATGAGCACTAAATGAATTAATATACATTATGAGAACAATGCTTGGTGTATGGGTGCCACATAATACAAGCATTGGCTGCTATTATATCTCTTATGATGATTTCACTGAAATTATCACTAAAATTGAACTTCTTGAGAGGTGGCACTGTCTTATCTTGACTTGGGCAATCTGCTTCCAGGCCAATTAACTTAACCTCTCTGACTTCACCTTCTCCACCTGCAAAATGGGGTTGATATGATATACTGGGTACCTGGGGGGATGAAATGAGTAAATACAGGTATGTCATTGTGGTCAAACAAGGGTGAGCCATCATTCTTAGCTATTGTGCATTTTTCCCAGAGCCCAGGTCAAGACTTGCAGAGCTAGAAAAGACTTCACAGGTCACGAGGTTTTACTTTTTGTTTTGTAGAGATGGGGGTCTCACTATGTTACCCAGACTGCTCATGAACTCCTGGCCTCAAGTGATCCTCGCGCCTCAGCGTCCCAGAGTGCTAAGAGTATAGGCACGAACCACCATGTCCAGCCACCTTGAGGATTTTTGTTTTTTAATGTTATAGATAAAGAGCTCAGAACAGTTAAGACATCATTGAGGGTTACGTAACTCCATTTACTATTTATTTGAGACACAATGGTACAAGAGGGTGAATCCCTAGGAGTGTCAGTGTTTCAGACAAAGCAGCTTTGGGAAGAGGGAGAATAATGCTTGCTGTCTAGCGTTTGATGTTTTCACAGATTGCCTGTGACCGCCTGTATGTAACAGGTATAGTATCATTAGCTTGTTGTCCATGTGGGGAGACTGCACCCAAACCCATTCTGGTGACATCACACAGTTGGAAGGCCACTTTACTCATTCTGCCTCATGGCTTAGCTTTCATAGAACAAAACCCCTACCAGAAATAAGCTGCAGGGTGAAGGGGAGGGAGGGAGCCACGCATGTCCTTGTCCTTACTAGGGTTTCTCAGCTCTCCACGACTGCGGTAACCACACACCCTGGTTTGCCCAGAACAATCTCAGTTTACACCTGTGGACCCAGTTCCATGGTGCACCACATACCTGTTCACTTGCAGAAGTGCCTTTTACAGTGCTGGGGAGCCACATCTTATGTTTTGCTTTTTTAACCTGCCAGCAGGCTTCTTGCACGCACCAGGCTGAGGCCGTTGTTCTCCTTAATTAATTCGCTCTGCAAGCCAGCCAACCCCACTGAAGCTCTGGGAGAAGGACAAGGAACATTTAAACTGACCTGTCTTTGGTTGGGGCGGTCTCTGCTGTTGGGGCAACAGCACTACGCAGAGGATGGCTGGAGTCCACATGCTCAGGAAGGACTGCATTGCACTTCATAGTTTTGTTTTCTTCCCAGCCCCATCTTTTTCAATTGGGACTACCGTGGTAGCTTTGGCGCTTGGCGCTTTCAGCATAGGTACTGCTATTCTTACAAGTGCTCTACCTCAGTAAAGGTTGAGGGGATCCAGGCCTTCTCATGGAACTCTGGTATTTAGCTGGATTGTAGCTGGAAGGAGAATGCACATTGCCAACATAACAAAACAGGCGCTGGGCTTACTGAGTTCCTTCGCCAAAACCCAGGAATGTAGACTTGTTCTCATTTCCTCATTTTATACTCCTGTGAGGAATTCTTGGGGCTGCATAAAGTGATTAACCCAGGAGCCAGCTCCTTGGCGTGTCGGGTAGAGAGGCCAGGCTTAATGAGTGTACTTTCTCCTGCCTTGATCTCAAGGAGCTCAGCAAAGTCGTTTGTGCAAATAAAGTATACAGTGGAAACCACTGTTTACTCCATTGGATTAGGCTAAACCAGATTGTAAAAGGCAGATGGGAAAAATAAAAAATAAATAGTTCTAAAATAAAAAAGGAATTTATATATGTGGAGCATATAAGCTAGGTTTTATTATGTCTATTTTAGAGATATAGAAACTGAGGCTCCCAAGAGTTAAGAGTAGCAGAGCTGTGGTTTGGATTTGGAAGCCCAAGCTCTCCCCACCAAAACACGTTGCCTCCTCCTTTGCCTCACATACATGCCTGCCCCCGACTTTTGTGGGACCTCCTGTAGGCGCTAAGGGAGAGCCATATACAATGTGTCCAAATATTGAAACATTAGATGTCAAACATAAAGACTGTTAAGATGTGTTCCAGCCTCCCAGCTTGACAAATATACCTTCAGAATGACAAAATTTAAAAAGTGTAAAGCCAGAGTTTTATATGATTGAAAGCAAAATATCAAGTTCAAGTTGCATATTTAATGGGAATATTTTTCTTGCTAATTTTCATTGTTTTGATCAGTAATTATTTCCTAAGTCTTTATTAAATCGAGAATTTATAATATCGTTTCAAAGTGTATATGGGCCATGCTCAACAGAAGTGGCTTTTTTTTTTTTACCTGTTTTCAGTGTTTTTAAAATTTAAAAAACTATATTTTATATTGTATTTCTTATTATTATGGGCACATAATTGGTGTTTTCTGTTTTTTAAAATGTGAGCATTGGCCGGGCACGGTGGCTCACGCCTATAATCCCAGCACTTTGGGAGGCTGAGGTGGGCAGATCACAAGGTCAGGAGATCAAGACCATCCTGGCTAACATGGTGAAACCCCGTCTCTACTAAAAATACAAAAATTAGCCGGGCATGGTGGTGGGCTCCTGTAGTCCCAGCTACTCAGGAGGCTGAGGCAAGAGAATGGCGTGAACCAGGGAGGCGGAGCTTGCAGTAACCTGAGATCGTGCCACGGCACTCCAGCCTGGGCAACAGAGTGGGACTCCGTTTCAAAAAAAAAAAAAGAAAAAAGTGAGCATTTTCATTCATTATTGATGTTCTATTATTTATTCTTTTCAGCTCCTTTTTTCTGAGCTCCACTTTTCTATTTCAATCATAATCCCAATTTATACTCATTTTCAGTGATCTAAAGAATTACACAAGGAAATTTAATTATATTCAAAGTGTATAAAAATTGAGTATATATTTAGTAAATAGATAAATTGTAGTAAATATAAAAGTTAAAATATTTGGTCAGGTTTGGTGGCATGTGCCTGTAGTCCTAGCTACTCAGGAGGCTGAGTGGGGAAGATTGCTTAAGCCCAGGAGTTGGAGGCTGTTGTGCACGATGATCATGACTGTGAATAACCACTGCACTCTAGCCTGGGCAACGTAGCAAGACCCTGTCTCTAAAAGAAAAGAATATTTTTTAAAAAATTAAAATTATTTCAATGTTTTCAAAAAAAGATTGTCTTCCAAATATTCAAAATTAAAAGGCACATGTCAGTATAATTAGTGCATACTCAAAATCTGATACTTTTTAAAGCATGGGGCTCAGGGCAGGCTCCTGTTGTCCCTAGTCTGCGGATGGCACTGCTCACACATTTAATTTGTACAAGGAGAAGATTCCATTTCTTCTTGCTGAGATGATGTCAGAAGTAGTTACCAGAATCAGGACCCAGTCTAGGGTCAGGGTTTTCCAGCAGAGGCAGGATCAGGAATTGCAGTCATGTCACCAGGCTGCAGCTTAATGAGGTGTAGGTTAAGCTCCTAGCATCTGAATGTCTGGACTTCTTGTCCACAAGACAAAGAAAGCCTGGATTTGAGACTGTTTCCATGGTGGGTCCTGGGGAGGAGGAAGGCTGATATGTGGGTAGTCACCTCCAGGCTGGTCAAGTGGGGAGAGATTTTCCCCCTAGTTCTCTAGTTTGTATAATGCTGGGTAGATGAAAATATAGTTGCAGGGTAGGGTAGTGGTGGCGCAGGAGTGCCCAGCGGCTGGATACTTGATAGTGTGTTAAAGCAAAGGCATGGAGCAGTATGCTAAACTCTGCACAGTCAGGCTACAAGGTTGCTGGGTCAGCTGGGGGTCAGGGTGTTTTCACAAAATAAGAAAGGACTGAACGGGAAAGGCTGTTCAGTATAAGTCACCTTGAGAGCATGGGGAGTCACACTGCCCAGGCAGCAGCCCTTCCATAAAGCCTCATGCTGGGGGGTCTGACTCGAGAGAGCAATCAGGTTGCCTATGTCATTGGTCAGGCTTCTGGGCCAGGGCTGGAGTGGCTGGAGCCCAGGTAGACCTGTGGCACCTGGCAGGTGCCAAGGGCAGTTTTAGTCAGCAGTTGGCTACAGGCTCTTGCCAATAGGCAATGAGAGGCCTGTCTAGACTGGGGTTTGAGGGCAGCCTTCACTCCTTACTCCTAGAAGGAGTAAGTTCTGGAGAGAAGGACAAGGGAGAGCCACAGTCTTGGCAGAACTGGGCTGCTGGGCAAGGGGTCAAGTCCATGCCTTAAGCCCCACAAGGAGTTTCAACCTATGGGGTTCAAGGCAGAAGAACAAAATAAAACTTCCGCCATTAAAATTGGAGAAGGAACTTGGGGGTAGAACTAACAGTAGAGCTGGCTTCCTTCGGCCCGTAAATCTTCACTAATTATCTCCTATGCACCATGCACTGTGCTAGGCACTGACATACATGTATGCATGAGCCATGGTTCCAGGTCCTCCCAGAGCCGGGGATTATAATCCACTCTATGAGAGAGGCAGAAGAGCAGATCATTACAATACCTGGAAACTAACGCAGTCATAGAGAAATGCAGCAGTTGCCTGGGAAAGATTCCTCAACAAGTCTCAGAAGATGGGTAAGAATTAGTGGGGGGAAGGGCATTCCAGGCAGGGGGAACAGCATAAGTGAAAGCAGAGAGGTGGTGGCAGCACTGGAGTGTTCTCGGGTGTATAGGCAGTTGAGTGGGCCAAGTTTTCAGCAGGGTGGTGAGAGATGTGTTGAGAAGAGTTAGCCACATGTGGGGACTGATGGCCGCGCTCAGGAGATCTTCCTTTGATCTCATGGGGTACCATAGAAGAGTGTTAAGCTGACCAGTGGCCAGGAAAATTTGAATTTTAGGAAGACATTTGGTATTTTTAGTGCCTTATTAGAGGTTGGATTTAAAAATGAATTTTCAGGGATGAATGTGAAGGGGAGAAGGCCAGAGGAGGGAATCCATTTAGATTGCTGTTCTGGAATTTCAGGCCAAGGGTTGCAAAAACGGGGACTGGGGCTGTGCTCATTGGAACAGGAAGGGGAGCAGTGGAGAAGGGGGTAAATCCCACAGGACTCAGTCATCAGTGAGTGCTGAGGGTGAGGGTGAGGGAGAGGGAGGAGGCGGGAATGCTGCCCAGGTTTCCAGCTCAGGTGATATGTCCTAAACTCTGCACAGTCAGGCTTCAAGATGCTGGGAATTTAGGATGAGGTGCTGGGAAGGAAGATGGGGAGTGCAGTTTGAGAGCCAGCTAGAGAGGAGGCTGAGGAAGGCCGTTGGGCAGAGCCAGGGTGGGAGACTGTGGGAAAGGAAATGCAGCCCCAGAAAGGACGTTCTTCCCTGGTGTGTCCTGGCTGTCCATGGGACAGGTTGCCAAACCTGAAGCAGGCTGCTGTGGGTGTGGCCTGAGGATGCTCCAGAGACCCAAGTCAGAAGTTTCAATGTTGTGCTGATCCTAGCCTTGCTGCTGGGGTCAATTTTGCACTTCTCCTTTCCTTTTCTACAAAATGGGGATAATAATACTTAACATCTAGGCTGCGGTTTGAAAGCAATACTAGGCCAGGCCCAGTGGCTCATGCCTGTAATTCTAGCACTTTAGGAAGGCCAAGGCGAGAGGATCACTTGAGACCAGGAGTTCAAGAACAACCTGGGCAACATAACAAGACCCTATCTTAAAAAAAAAAAAAAAAAAAACACCCAAAAACTTAGCAGGGTGTGGGCATGGTGGTACATGCCTGTAGTCTCAGCTGCTTGGAAGGGTGAGGCAGGAGTTGAAGCTCAGGAGTAGAAGGCTGCAGTGAGCTATGATCACACTCCAGCCTGGGTGACAGAGTGAGACCCTATCATTCCTTCATACATGAGTAAATAAATAAGCAAATAAATAAAGTATGCATTTGGTTAAATCTTACATTTTTCCAACTTTCAATTTCTAAGAATTCCAAATACATCTGGCAAAGGTAGGCTATTATATTTTATATTGGTCCCTTTTTTTTCTTTATTAATGATGCATAAAGGTCCATCTTAAAGTGATAGTATCTTAGATAAGATGATCTACTGTAATTGATGTGAATGTGTTTTGAAAACCTCAACGGAGTAGACTATTATAAAGCCTTTCACAGCCTGCCTCACACTGATGAGGCTCTGTCTTCTGGTGTAATCTTCACAACAACAAATACATTAAAATGTATTAAAGTACACTATTAAAAGCAAATGGAGTAAGCCCTCCAGGGAAGTCAGTCACTTTAGAATGCTCCACTCCGCCCCACTTCACAGCCCGGGATTTGACAGATCTCTGAAAGCAGAAAGGCTGGAATACACATGAGCTTTTCTTTTGTTCTTTCCATAGGGATCCAGTTCAGTGGCTCTCAAACTTTACTGTGAATTAAGATCGGTGGACATAGACGTATAAACATGCACAGTATATGCACTAAATCATATGGTGCTTTAAGATTTTCTAGGACCATCTTGATTATTATTCAGTGTTTTTAGTCACCAACTGTAGAACACAGCTCGCTTCTGGATATGATGCAATGTCACCTTTTTACCGAGGAAGGCCCAAGTGTTATGTGAACAAGCAACTTAGATTGGAGCCATTTGGCTCACAGTATGAAAGGTATAGACACGTATTTTTTTAAGCAATAAGGTATGGCTTGAAAGGTGGCACTTGATTTCTAAACAATATTCCAAAGCAATCTTAAAGAGAAATTCAAAATTTAACATGTCTCAGACCGTGGTGGATCTTAGAGGAATCATTAATAAACATTATGAGCTTTGAAGAAAAAGGAGAATGTTTAGATACAAGGGAACAAGATTTGGTCTATACCTAGGTGTTTGAATTGTACAGGATGATCTGGTCTTTTAGCCGTGACCATTTCACACCACGAAATAATACACTGAAATTAAGTCCTAGAATAAAGATTTTGGGTAAGTGCTTTGGAATCTGTTGAGCATCATAGGCGCTGGTGCTACCCTTGAACACAGTGAAGTCTCTAGTGTTTATTCCCCACTGGAATTTTGCCATATGGACAGTTTCCACTCTCTTTAGGCAAGGATTAGAAGATAGCTTGTGGCTATGCTTTTCCCAATGGCATTATCAGAGACAGTGGGAAGGGTTTGCTAGAATCCCTCTGCCCTGCTTGTCACATTTGAGTTAGGGGAGTGGTCACGAGGATGCTTTTAAATGTAATCCCTCTTTGGTCCCCAGCTGTAGGTTGGCCTTTAATATTTACTGATGGTTTGGATGTGGACAGTCAAGGACTTCTTACCATCCTCAGCGGTAATGAGTACTGGCTCAGTCACTGTGGGTTATGCTCAATTTAGGTCAATGGAATAAATGTTTAGTAAATTGTTTCTGAAATGTTTTAATAACAGAGTGCTTCCCTCCAAAATATTGTATACACTGTAAATTTCATTAATTTACATAATGTATTATGCTTTGCAGGGTGAGTGGGGGCTCCATGAAATAGTCTGTCTAAAGTTGCAGAGATTCTGTACACAGGATGTTGTTTAATGGGCAAAGCTGGAAGTCAGGATCCTCCGGTCCTTATCCCTGCCCCATCCAGGAGAGGGAAATTTAGTCTCACATTTGAGCCAATCTCAGATTCACCATCTTGCAGGAACCTGTTTCTCCCTTACTAGACAGAGGGTCCTGGGTTGCCTGGGCTATCTGTGGCTGGCCCATCACCACCTCTACAGCACCAGTTGAGTGTCTTGCCTGCCAGGAGTGCTTAATGCATGACTCTAGTGGGTGCTTTATGATGATGCCACAGCCAGTGGGAGCAAACCCAATGCTGCGTAGCCAAAGCCAAGGGCTCCAGTAGGAGCAAACCCAATGCTGTGTAGCCAAAGCCAAGGGCTTTTGGGAAAGAAAATGGAATGGGTTTCAACCCTGACTAAACATCAGCATTATGTGGAGGAGCTTTAAAAACCACCAGTGTGCAGGCCCCACCCCATCCCTACCGACCTGAATTCCATTGAGAGGACCTGGGCATGCCGAGTCGAGGTGGCCGCAGGTTATTCTAATGGCCTTCCAGGGTTGAGAGCTCCTGGCCTGGTTGAGCAAGGCAGATCAGGAAAGGCTTGTTTTGGTTAGCAATGACTTCTCCTATACTGAGGTGCTGAAGTATGTGGGTAGCAGAAGGAACAAGCTCTGGGAAAATCTCTACAGGCTGTTCTAGAAAGCACTCTGCTGCCTGGGTTTTGGAGTTGGCCAGCTCCTTGTAGAGGCTGACTTCATGGGGAAGGAACATGGTTCCACTCAGAAAACAATTCAACTATAATTGAGAAAGAGGAGAGGTTGCTGTTCGTTCTCCCCAGTCACCCAGTAAATTTGGAGGCTGAGGGACTTAACATTACTGGCAGTCGGCTTGGCAGTGTTGATGTATGGATGTTGGAAATCAGAGATTAAGGCAAATTAGTATAGGAAGGCCAACCAGGAATCAAATTTGATTGTTTCAAAAGCCTTTCCTATTTGTTTCTTTGGGACAGGATTTTGTTTTAAGCCTTTTAAAGACTTTGTTCAGCTAAACTCATCAACTTTTTTTTTTTTTTTTTGCATTTGCTCTATGTTCTGTTTTATGCTAGAAGAGATGACTGTTCTAGAAAACCTTTCTAGAATGAGGCTGGATATATGGAAGCCAAGGAAAGGAAATATAAAAGACAAGTCAAAGATTCAATAATTAGAATAGCTAAGTCATAACTGTCTTCTTCTTTTTAGATACTGTTCTGAGCACTAATTTATCTAATCTTTACAGAAACCCTGTGGGTTAGACACTATTACTACGATTCCTATCTTACAGATGAGAAAACAGAGCCATAGAGAGGGTAAATAACTTGCCCAAGATTGTATAGCTGGACTCAAACCCAGTTGGACAGCATGATTTTGTGCTCCTAGCCACTACACATAAGGCCTTTTAAGTTTGGAGCCTGGTGAGGGGTCATCACACAATTATAGATGAGTCCTGCCTTATTGGTTTGGTTCAGTGTTCCTTCTCAGCGTTCGTGCCCACACACAAAGGATGCTGTGATATTGTTTACTTGTGCCACTCTTTACTTGTGTGACTCTCTAGGCCATGACTCCCAGAGGACAGGTGTGGGTCCTACAGTGCACACCCTGGGAATTAAAGATTTTTGAAGAAAGTTCACTTATTGAAGCTTATGCTAAGTATTTGCATACATTACCTTCCTCTTTTTTTTTTTTTTTGTTAGACAGAGTTTCATTCTTGTTGCCCAGGCTGGAGTGCAGTGGTGTGGTCTTGGCCCACTGCAACCTCCGCCTCCCGGGTTAAAGTGATTCTCCTGCCTCAGCCACCCAAGTAGCTGGGATTACAGGCACCTGCCACCGTGCCCGGCCAATTCTTTTGTATTTTTAGTAGAGACAGGGTTTCACCATGATGGCCAGGCTGGTCTTGAACCCCTGGCCTCAAGTGATCCTCCCTCCTTGGCCTCCCAAAGTGCTGGGATTACAGGCGTGAGCCACCGCACCCAGCCTACATTACCTTCTTTATCCTATCACAACTCTCCTGTTTTACACAGAAAGAAATGACCTTCAGAGAGGTCAAGGAGCTTGCCCAAGGTCTCACAGCCATCTACTGTTTCTGTGTCCATGCTCTTGAGCTCCCCACTGTCTAACTCAATACATCCTTGCTGAATGAGCTCCAGGATTTTGATGCAGAGTTTTAGTTGCCTGGGATATTGGAGGAGGGGATACTGGGGCGCTCATCCCAACCTTCAAGGGGAAAGTTCTTAATCTACATCTACATCCTTGAGAATGAAGATTATAGAAGGAATTTGCTTCGGGAATCCTGGCTGGCACGTGAACCAAAGGGTCCCATGTGTGTGAGAAGGCTTGTGAGCAGGAGATGTGATTTACAGCTTTGCTGGTCCATGATATGCATGTCAATGGTGCTGCCCTTAACCCACCCGCTCCCCAAGCAGGGACTCAGAGATTGACTTCTCTTCTTTCACTTGATTCATTTATTCATTTGTTTAATTAGTTTGTTTATTTTAGAAGTTGTGGCAAAATACACATAAAACTGAACATCTTACTCGTTTTTAAGTGCACAGATCAGCGGCATTAAGTCCGTTCACATTGTTGTGCAGCCATCACCACCATCTATCCACAAAACTCTTTTCATCTTGTAGAACCGTAACTGTCTCTTTAAACAGCAACCCCCATTCCCCTCTCCTCATAAGCACAGGCAACCACCCTTCTACTTTCTGTCTCTATGAATGTGACTACTGTAGGACCTCGTGTAAGTGGATCATACAGTACATGTCCTTTTGTGATCAGCTTATTTCACTTAGGTCGCTGGATTCTTTACCCTTAATTGTTCTCAGGATGAGTACAGATGAGGGAGGACCCCGGGGTGGGTGAGGAAATGAGTGTGCAGGGAGATACCATGTACGTCAGGGACTAAGGAGGGGAAGGCTGGGGAAGCTCTGAGATCCCATGGGCCTGGGAAGGTAGGGTCCGGGCTTGCTGCTTAGAGCTTCTGTGAGGCTTCTTTAAATAGTTGGGCCCCTGAGGATGTTTTGCCTAGAGAGCCACTGTGGGTAGACCTCAGGAGGCTGATGAGACTATGCTGAAGCTGCTTCCAAGAGCTTTCTGCAGGTCTGGATAGATAGAACAGGACAGGCTGTGGGATTCAGGGCTGGCACGGGCTGGGGAGCAGATAGGCCTTGGTGTTGAATACTGGCTCTGCCTTTTGTTAGAGGTGTGATCTTGAGCAAGCCATGTAACTGGTCTCAGCCTCAGTTTTTTCATCTGTAAAATGGGGATAATAATCGCTATCTTGCAATGTTGCTGTAAAGAGGTAATATACATAAAGTGTGAAGCATAGTGCCTAGCACATGGCGGATGCTCACACATAACAGTGGAATGATCAAAGATGGGCTTCTCACACTTGGCATTTTTAAAGAAGATGAAACCTCCAACTGGACAGTGTCTTCTGGTCTTTGCTGATGGCCCAGAATCATGGCTGCTAATTTCTCTCAAAAGGCGATGTGTTTCACACAGAAATGAGAAGTGGGGCTATGAATAGATGTGACAGCTAGTGGTTGGTGTCTCCTAATCCCATTTACCCAAAACTAGAAAACAGCAAAGGGTACAGAAAAGCCATTTGTAGAAATGGAGACGAGCAGAGTGCAAATCATTCCTCCAGACAAATCATGACTTCCACTCCGTTTCCATTTAGTCGAGGCAAGGTCTCCCAGAGCTCCCACCTGCCCAACATTCATGGCTAACAGTCTAGCTGAGTGGTTCTCAAAGCCAGAACTCTGCACCAGCAGCATCAGCCTCACCTGGAAACTTGTTAGAAATGCAAATTCTGAGACCCCCATCTCAGACCTCCTGAGTCAGGAGCTGCCAATGGAGCCCAGCAATCTCTGCTTTACCAAGCCCTCCAGGTGATCCTGCTGTGAGCTCAAGTTTGATAGCTCCAGCCCCTGCCCCACCCGATTTCTACTTTCTCTCCCCCTGCTGCTTGACACACATTTCCTGGTCCAGCCAGACTGGTCTCCCTTTTGAAAATTCGAAGGGTATTTCTACTCTCCCTCCCTTGCTGTGCCACCCCCTGCATCTGGACTATCACTGGAAGCCCACTCATCCTCCAAGGCTGCCCACAGATTTCAGCGCTCCCAGACTGTTGCTGATCATGGTAGCGCATAGTGGTCACTCCCTCTCTGACCATCTGTAACCCTCACCACCTGAGCCTCACACTGCCACTTTTATTGGCAGTTAACTGGTCTTTTCCCCCAAGCCAGAGTTATAAGTGTCTGGTTGGCAAGCACCAACCAGTTCTTTGCTTCCCCTTTAACATTCAACGTGTGTTTTACCATTATGAGCACTGGAGTAGGGCACATGGTAGACACTCAGTATATACCTAGGTGATGAATTGACAATTGTAGGTTTGGAGGTTGGAGAAAAAGAACTGTGGAAAATTGCCCAGGGAATATTGTTCCTGTCATTTTTGATGGTACATCATGATCAACACTAACAACCATAAAAAAGTGTTATTCCCTAGATGCCCAACTTTTCACATCATTGGAGGAAACTCAACAGGTGTTGCTGGAGTGCTGATTAAACAATTATCACTCCTCCCTGGCTTCCTGTTTGTGTACCGTCTGGAGAATGCCAAAGTCACTGATGGTGCCAGCCCTTCCCATTGTCACTTGAGCTATCTGCCAGGGAGCTGCCAGGATCGGAGCCCCCTACCGTCTGGCACTGGGTTGGGTGGTGGGAGGGCTGTCTCTGCACGTGACCCTGCTGAGCTGAAGATGCTCTCAAGGCTGCTGAGATTGTTTTGTTCTAGAAGTATATAATCTTAGGACTGGAAATTGGTTAGTCCAGTCTCAGATGGGGAATCTGAGGCCCAGTGAGGGAGAGTGCCTTGCTCAGTGAGACTACCAGTTAGCGGGAGGGGATGCTGGTTCCTCTTATTCCTAGCTTAGTGCTTGTTCTCCAACAATACCTGGGATGGGCATGAACAGAGCTATAGTTTGGGGGGTCTCCTCATATATCCTACTCCCTCCTGTTGCCCTCTTCCTAAATTACTACTGTACCCGGCTCTAATCTGCCCAGAATCCTGAACCTGAGAGTCCTCGTCTACCCTGGTGGTGTGTCCCTTCTGTGATTTCTATGGGTATGGGCCGGTGAGGAAGCTCACTGAAGGGAAGGGCCTTGGGCTTGGTGCATTCTAGCCTGATGGGACTGGTCATCTAGACTAGGGCCCCCTTCTAGTCCTGGAACTCTATAGGCATTCATACAGGTCCCTATAATTTGCTGCCCTAAATCCTCCCAGGAACAAGAGGGGTATAAATAAATAAGTTTGCATTAGAACCTGGACAACTGAGAAACTTGTGCTGATTTGTTATCCTGTAGCAGGAATGGTAATTAAGCGTCATTCATAACTCTTTTTGATACTAATGGCCACCTAGAATGTGACCTTGAGAAGCATTTTGAGTAAGGGCTCTGGGGCAAAAAAGCTTGATGACTGATTAATGATGTCTGCCAAGAACAGTAAAAAGGAGAATTTGCAGCTGTGCAAAGATGAAATCACTACATATTCTATTAGTAAAAATTTCTCTTGAAGTCGTTTCATTGTTAGATTTGACTGTAACAGAAAGCCTCCAATAATAGCGACTTAAAGAAGATAAATGTGTTTTTTTTTCTCACACATGAAAGTCTGGGTACGGTCGGGCACGGTGGCTCATGCCTGTAATCCCAGCCCTTCGGAAGGCTGAGGTGGGCGGATCACCTGAGGTCAGGAGTTTGAGACCAGCCTGGCCAACATGGTGAAACCCTGTCTCAAAAAAAAAAAAATTAGCCAGGCGTGGTGGTGCATGCCTGTAATCCCAGCTACTCGAGAGCCTGAGGCAGGAGGATTGCTTGAACCCAGGAGGCAGAGGTTGCGGTGAGCCAAGATCGCACTATTGCACTCCAGCCTGGGCAACAAGAGTGAGACTCCATCTCAAAAAAAAAAAAAGTCTGGGTACAAGCCCAAGGAGGGCATGGCTCTCCAAAATCACAGATAAAGGTCACCTAGGCTCCTTTATCTAGAGGCAGTTTCAATCCTATTCTTCAAGATGATGGCACCTCTATTCCAGGCAGCAGGATAGAGAGAAGGATGTTTAAAGGATAACTTTTTTTGAGATGAAGTCTCGCTCTTGTCCCCCAGGCTGGAGTGCAATGGTGCGATCTCAGCTCACTGCAACCTCCGCCTCCCAGGTTCAAGCGATTCTCCTGCCTCAGCCTCCTGAGTAGCTGGGATTACAGGTGCCTACCACCATGCCCGGCTAATTTTTGTATTTTTAGTAGAGACGGGGTTTCACCATGTTGGCCAGGCTGGTCTTGAACTCCTGACCTCAGGTGATCCACCCGCCTCGGCCTCCCAAAGTGCTGGGATTACAGGCGTGAACCACCGCGCCCAGCCAAAGGATAACTTTTTAAAAAGATGAACTCTTGACTATGAAACAAATATTATCTTTGCACATGGCAAAGATTTTATTTAACTAATTAATTAATGAGGGAACCAGTAAGATGTTATAGCTGGTTCAAAGAAGGACTAAATATATATACACATAGATGCCACCAAGAATGCTGAGGTGAGCCTATAATTAGCTGCACAATGAACGAATATTCCACTGCAATGTTAACTTCATCTCCATTGGACATCATTTGCAATGTTTTGGGGAGGACAGGGTCTCACCCTGTTGCCCAGGCTGGAGTACAGTGGCAGAATCTCGGCTCATTGCAGCCTCCACTTCCCAGGCTCAAGTGATCCTCCTGCCTCAGCCTCCTAAGTAGCTGGGACTACAGGCATGCACCATCATGCTTAGCTAATATTTTTTATTATTTTGTAGAGACAAAATCTAACTTTGTTGCCTAGGCTTGCAATTTTATAGTAGGGCACATTCGTATTATTAACAGTATTTGTTCACTCACAGAATGATAAAATGGCTCCAAGACAATGAAAGTCTGAGATAACACAGAAGTGTCCTCTAGACTCGATACCCAATCATCATTTTTGTCCATTTCAAAGTCTTTCACAATTTTTCCTGACGAGGTGATAATGGAGAGTGTTAAGGGAGTATATTTGCTTTCTCTTACGGAAAGTTCCTGAAAACTGTCACATATACATTTGTTTGTATCCTATGGCGAGATTTAGTCACATGGTCACACCTAGTTACAAGGGAGGTTGGGGAATGTGTTCTTTATAAAATTCTGTTGTACAGGAGAAGGGGAATACAGATATTGCCAGGAACTAGCAGCCTCAGCCTCAGCCATCATCTCTAGTTCCTGCTGTAGCATTGCTCTTAATAGCAAGCAATGAGAGGCCACCAAGGGTCCATCAGATAATCTGTGGTATGTCCATGCAATGGAACATTATGTAGCCACTCAAAGAAGGAGGCAGCTGCCTAAGTACTGTTAGAATGGTCTCCAAGATACAGCGTTCAGTGAAAATAAGCATGCAGGAGAGTGTGTATAACAGAGTACTGTTTGAGCTGGAAAAAAATTATGAATATGTTTGTGAATCCATAGATTCTTATTAAAGGAATAATAGAAAGGACGAATGGTCTCTGGATGACTAGGGGCCAGACAAAAGAGGGAGGCTGACTCACCCTGCGTTGTAATTTTTCTTATTCTTTTTGAATTTGTACCATGTTCATGTTACCTATTATCAATAGGATAAAATAAAAGTCACCATCTATGTATGGCTCTAAAAAACACTGAAGTTGATCTGAGGCCGGGAAAAGGGTAATGTTTATAAATAGTTTCAAGATGTTCCCCAATTATGGGGAGAAGTGGGAACCTTGGAGAAACTGGAACCCTAGAATAAGAACAGATGATAGGGAGTCATCCCACTGCATATCTTTCTGAGATTCTTGAATTTCAAACCACTTGGATTTAATATTATTTTAAAGCCTTAAAATATTTTTAATATTAAATAAAAATTGTAAAATTATGCTAGCTGTTATAGATGTTTATACCTCCATGCGTACACACAGACACACACACCCCTCCCATGTATTTATTTACTCATTAATCCATTCATTCATTCTTGCTAGGGGATTCCACCGCAGGGGAATACTCTTGGCACTGTCTGTAGTCATCTCTTCTTAAGTGGGAAGAAGAGGGAACCAAGAGTTAAGAAACCTGGGTTTTAGCCTCAGCTCAACCCTGATGAGCAGTATGACTTTGGGTGAGTCACCCCACCTCTCTGAGTAAAGATCTGCATCTGTGAAACAGGCTTCACTACACTTGTTCTACTTACCTAACAGGATCATTTTCAAGATTTATGTTTGGAGGGGAGGTAATTTGTCAGCACTTGTGAAAAATGTAAAGCATCGCTCAAATGTAAGGGATTATTATGGCCCATGGAGTGAGAAGCCACAGATCTTGTACGGGAAATTCTATCCTAGGCAGCAGAAAGGCTGTTTGAAACATGAAGCCTAAGGAGGGAACTGTTGAACTGTTACCCAGCAAAACAAGTACTTACGGAGCATTGGTGTGAGTCAAGCCCTGTGCAGGGGATCCCATAGAAGGCAGCAGAATGTGATGGTGAAGACAAGAAACTCCAGGAGTGCTGGCTTCCCATCTTACATTCTGTGTGCCCTTGGGCCCTTCTGTGTCTCAGTGACCTCCTCTGTGCAGTGGGAGTAATATTAGTATCCACTTCACAAGCTTGTGATGAGGATTAAATTAGCTAACAGACGTAAAACACTTATTACGCCCGTGCCTGGCCCATAGTATTAGTAAATGCTGTGAAATGGTAACAGTGGTATCTACTTTAGTAGGTTAGGACCCTTAAATGTGCTGTTGATTTTAAAGCACCCGGCAGGGACTGGATCCCATAGCAGTAGTGGTGGTGGTAAGAATAGAAGTAGAATTGATAGCATTGTTCTCTGCTCTTGCATCACTTAAAATCTAGTTGAGGAAAGACTCATGTGAAACAACACACATTAGCAAAAATAATAGTCCGCCAGGAAAATGTTTATATATGGAGTGGACATGTTTGAATTTTTTAAAGCTTTGACAGGTTAAGAAGTACCTTAAAGTTTTTAGCTTGGCTGTGAAAAACACAAAAGACACGAATTGGAAGAAAATGGCTATTGAAAATTCTATCTCTGGGGTTTCCTGGCCCCGCTGGCGGCCCAGGAATGAGCTTTGTTTGGGATGGAGAGAATCCGCTTTTGGCATCCAGTTCCAGGAGGCAAAACTGCAGGGAATTCTGCATGATCTCATCCAGTGCGCTAATCACCAGCCAGGAAGCCATTACACCTTCCTGAGGCACTTATCTAACTGGATTCAGAAGTGCAGCTGCCTCCAAGGGCCTGGGATGGGCTATTTGGCTTCATTCTGCGGGGACCTTGTTGGCCATGGGTCATTTTCAAAAGAAGGGCCTTGAAATGACTCCCTGACTGCATTAGCAGGAAAGGGCATGCTGGGGTTAATGGCTAGAGGCAGATCCCTCTTCCTCAGTGACTCAGTGTGAAGCAGATGCAGTGCTAAGGAAGGGGCTTATTCCTGAGCAGAGAGGAGACAGGAGTGCAGACGGGGGCTGTAGTTTGTTATCCCCTTTCCTTCTGGCCACGTGCCCAGCTCCCTGGCAGACACCATGTGGGACATGAGAGTTGAGAGCTGGAAGGAACCTTGGGAGACAACCCTCGTCTTTCACAAAAGAGAAAATTGAGGTCCAGAGAGGTGCAAGGAGGTCACCCAGCGACTTGAATCAAGCCACTTCCAGCATACAGGACTTCAGAGCCCAGGCCCTGGAGGCCAGGCAGTACAGCAAGAAAAAAGAACACAGACAGACCGAGCAGGGTCTAAATTGTGGCCTGTTGTGAATTCTCCTCTGTGAAATGGAAATGACCCAGTGGAGCATTTGTCAGGAATCGTTGAGCTGATGTAAAGTGCCCAACACAGCCCACAGGGCATGTGTTCCAGATTGCATCTGTTCTCTTCTGTTACGGTATAAATACAGCTGAGATTAGCTGAATACTTGTGAAAGCTAAACCTCCAAGACACGTGCAGTAAATTCATAAGTGAGTATCATCAGTGTATAATCAACATGAATCTCATAAATTGACCTTACCAAGGTGGGCAGGACATCAGAGAAGCCCCCACCTCCGGTCCCCCCTCCCCCTCCCGCACAGAGGGGAATGATGCTGAGAAAAAGAGGGATTTGGCTAGGTGAGTTTCAAACTGGAATAGTGAAGAGGGTGACTACTCTCCTGCCACTGTGATGAGTCTTGCCATGACCGGGACCAAAGTGTGACTTTGGTGCCAGGTTGAGAAAAATTTTGAAGCCAGAGCTATAGATTGGAAGTGGCAAACTTGACGGATTTGATCAGTGCAGCCCATCAAGAATGATAAGGAGCCATTTTCCTAGAGAATCTCAGACCTGAGTAATTGGATGCCCCGATACCCTTGCCTCGCAGCCAAGGGTCGTCGGGGGCTCTGCAGAAGTGCTCCCTGCCTGGAAGGCAGTGGTTTGCTGATTGCAGCTGGAGGTCAGAGCCTTACCTCTGTCCTGATCTCTGGTTTCATCCCTGGCAACACTGCTGGGGGCTGAGTTCACTCCTCCTCCAGAGGGATTTTAGAAATCTTTTATGCTGAAAACCAGGAAGGCAAATAAAACTCATGGACAAAATATGTACTTGTACATGGAAAAGGAGGGATGGGATACTCCCTCATCACCACCGATCTGGAAGAAAACGAGGAGCACCAATTCTCCTGGGGTCTGTGCTATTCGGGGGTGTGAGCCAGGCATCTTGATTCTTTTAGACCTCAGGCACATTCAGGTTGGGTGCCAAGAATATTTGGTGCAACAGAGTTGCTGACATGTCCTAGCTCTGGACAGTGTCTTGTAGAGTACTTCATCCTCTCTGGAGGGAGGAGGGAGGGGAGTTTTCATAGCACCTTAGCCACAGGCTGCAGTTGTCCTGATGAGCCCTTATTAGGAGAAGAGACCCAAGAAGGGTCCCGTGCTTTGGAGGCTGTGGCAATGTGACTTCTCCAAAAACCAACAAGGTGTTGGTTTGGGTGTTCTCTAAGTTCCTTTCTGCTCCAAAGCTCCATGTTCCTGGTTGGAGATGGCTTCAGCTCACTCATTTACAGCAGGAGATCAGAGGTCTCTGTTCCCACCCTGTGTGATAGAATTAAGCATCCTCCCCATGGGAGAATTACCCTGTGGCATAATTTAGTCCCCAAGCCAGAACCTCATTACCATTTAAGAAGGCACTAATCTCATAAGAGGATTATGCAGGAAATTTGATACACCAGTTACCCCCCTTCTTTGGTCTCTCTTCAGTGGTTCAGGGTCAAGAAAATAATTTTTTTTTACAATGTTTATCCAGAAATAATTTGACAAAGTGTTAGTTCTAGAACCTAAAGAAAGCAGTATGTTCTTTGAGCTGCAAGTGTAGCAGGCAGTGATGCCAGAGGATTCTGAATCCTTTGTTCTCCTCAGAAGCTGAGGGGGTGCATTCCCAGACTGCCCCAGCCTACGCCATTCTCTCCCCTGATTGTGTCCTACATTCCCCTATTCTTAGTTTGCAATTGGTTGTCTCCTGTCAGGTTCCAATCCCTAGGTGCTTTGTCTTTTTCTTCCTCGGTCCCCTCCATTAGATCTCAGTAAACAAGTGCCCAAGAAGCACTTCCTGACCAGTCACTTTGCAGTGGAAGATAGCCTAAGTACAAATCCCTCAGGCAAATGTAAACAACCAGGTGTTTGTAGCCAGACTCCATGCAGGGAGATGTTTTATGGATAGAATATCCCAGCAACTATACTACTTTCTATATCTTATTTGTAAGGAATAACTAGGGAGGTTGTTGAGGAATGACATGGATCTAGAGTGGAAAATCACTACTTCTAGTAACTCCTCCTTTTAGAACTAGTAGATTCTAGTTCTGCCTCAGCTGCCTTCCAGTTAGGTGACCTTG
Source organism: Homo sapiens (assembly GCF_000001405.40). Lineage (NCBI taxonomy): Eukaryota > Metazoa > Chordata > Mammalia > Primates > Hominidae > Homo > Homo sapiens. The sequence goes on from NC_000002.12 coordinate 45,815,854, forward strand.
GGTGTCATCCTCAAGTCCCAGTTTCTCACCTGTTAAGTGGGAGCACTGGTATCCATTCCACAAATCCCATGCCAGCCCTGGGCTGAAGAGTGTGAATGCCAAGAGCTACAAATGAGAAGCCAAGAGTGTTGATGGTACCTTTATGGCGATTAATGCAAGACACATCCCAAGTACATTTGGGGCTCTCATTTAACCATTTTCTCTTGGCCTGTAAAGAGTACTGGAAAGGCACAACTTTACTTATGCTTGTATTTATTTATCTGTTTGCTTTTTATCACAGCTACCAAAATCCCTACAGTCATCAAGGCCTGGCACTGCGTCATACAGAAGTTTCATGTGTGGACTTTCCCAGTGAGAGTGATTTCAGGATCTGCTTGAGGGGCTTTACTTACCTCTTTGCTGGGCTCAGCCCTGCTATGAATATAGAAGGAGAATTCATCCTAGATGACCAGGCTGAATGATATTTGTTCACTACCCCCTGGAGTGTCACGAGGTTTAAAGTTTTTGGAGTGTCCTGGTGCTCCGGAGCTGGGAAAGCCATCAGTGATTGTTTTTCCTGGGGATGAGACAGCATGGGCTTCATCCCTACAGTGCAGGGGTGGATAACTTGGCACCTCACCATCCCTAACACCCAGAGGTGCCTTTTTGTGTCAACTAGGGAGCTGGCAATCTAGCACTGGCCAGACTCCAGACTTCTTGTGAAACTCCTGGATTTTGTTTGTTTTGTTTTCTTTCCTTAGCCTTAGATTCATGCCATATTTTTATGATCATTATGCCAGGGCTTTGTCTTTGGAGCAATCTTCCTTTCCTCTGTGCACTCTCTTGCACAGCCTATTCCTGTACCAGGGTATCCCCAGCGCCACCCTGCATGGCCCTAGCCCCATGGATCAGATGGCCCCTTCCCAGCCTTCTCACTGCCCTGTTACCTCCTCGATATTCCTGTCCATCCTCCCTCCCCCTAATTGTTAGAGGTGAGCTGGCCCTAGGTGTGAACAAGGGGATCGGCTTAATTCCTTTTGGTACAGCTCTTTTAAAGAGACCCCCTGCTCGGGGGTTTTGTGAGGATGAAATGATTAAAAACATGTTTTCTATAATTACCATTGTGAACTTATAATAACAGTAGGTGTTACTAAACATCCACAGAGACACAGAACATTGGGGACAAAGAGATCGTTGTGTAAAGAAATGACTCAAATTATATACTGTAAGTAGAGTGTGTGTGTGTGTGTGTGTGTGTGTGTGTGTGTGTGTGTGTGTTGTGGGTAGGGACATGCCCCAGGGGGAGCGACCTCTTTTGGGCAACGCTTTGCAGCCCTGCCTGCAACCCTAGGCCTTGTCATGATAGCAGCAGCTCATTTCTTATTGAGCTTTGCAGTTGATGTGTAATCAGGCTTCACAGTTTATCAAGTACCAACTTTCAAATATCTTACTTATTTTTACTTTATCTATATTTTTAGAAGTTTAAATCAGGGTAGTCCTGTTTAATTATACAAACTCATCATCAGCTTCAAAGTTAAGTCTTATCATGAATCAAATACTTTCTTTAAAAAAACTTTCCGGCTGGGCGCGGTGGCTCACGCTTGTAATCCCATCACTTTGGGAGGCTGAGGAGGGCGAATCACGAGGTCAGGAGATCGAGACCATCCTGGCTAACACGGTGAAACCCCGTCTCTAATAAAAATACAAAAAAATCAGCCGGGCATGGTGGTGGGCGCCTGTAGTCCCAGCTACTCAGGAGGCTGAGGCAGGAGAATGGCGTGAACCCGGAAAGCGGAGCTTGCAGTGAGCCGAGATCACGCCACTGCACTCCAGCCTGGGCAACAGAGCGAGACTCTGTCTCAAAAAACAAAAAAAAAACTTTCCAATCCTGAGATTCTGCTGACACCGAGGCTTTGCTAGGTTCAGTGGCCTGTCTGCAGTCACCCTATAGATGGGTGACAATGAAGCTGGGAGTGGAATCCTGCCTTTTAAGGCAAATCTGGGTCTCTCTCTCTGCCTGCCCTCTGAAGGTGAGAGGAGCCACGTGGGCATCTCACTGCCTGCTCTCAAAGTGTCTGGGCAAGCTACAGGCCGAGTTTCCTCCAGCTTCAGTAACCATCAGACCAGGCTCAGTCTCCCTGGAGTTTGTCCTTCTCAGCCCCGGAGCTGAGCAGAGTTTAAATCACTTCGATCCTTAGAGTATGACCTGAGACAAGAGGGTAGCACATTTGTGATTCTGTGACTTTTTCTCCTTCATGGGATAGGCAAGGGGAATTTCATAATCATTTTACACAATCAATTGGTCCATAAGGTAAAATGTATCATGTGCCACATAGAAATTTAAGTTCTGTTTTTGTTTTTACTTTTTGGCATTCACAAGACATGTTTTGGTACATCAAAAGGTTCATTCCAAATATTTGGGACTGAAGATGTAAACAAAAAATCAATCTTGTGACTTGTAGATTTCTATCTTTTTTGGCTTCAGAAGATGGATGAACTGGCTGCCCCACACCCCTCTGGATTTGAAACTTGACTTTCCTCTGAGCCATAAGGATAACATTTATGAGATCAATACCCCACCGGAAGTTTTAGCAAAGGAAGAATAAACTACCCTGGGTCTCAATCATCCTAACAGATGTTTGCTTAGGAAGGACGGGACTTGGGTGGGCAAGTCTCTCAGAAACTGTGCTATTAAATGAGAACATCTAAAGGGTTCAACTTACACTTTGAGATTCAACCCTTCTACCCTCCTTTCATCCTCAGTTTTTCCCATCTGCCTTATCTCCTTCCTAGGCCAGCCCTTTGAGCTGGCAGTTTGAATTCAGAAGAACAGAAAACTCAAAGGAGCCTCTGGCTTCGGGGGAGAGTGACCACAGCAGTTTTAACACGAGGAGGTGGAGACCTGTTTTTGATCATTTTAATACCTTGTTTTCTCCTTTGCCCTGCCGCAGCACTCACCATGGCTGTTTCCAAAACATGGATAATGACGAAAACCTATGCAAACACTCTTGCATTTGCCACCGAGTGTATCTAATAGCTTGCAAGAATCCAGGGTGTTTGCTGAGGGAAGAAAGGAAGTACAGCCCAGTATGAAGGCTTTGAATGCTCAGATGGAGATGTGATGTTTGAAGTGTTAGAGGCACTAAAAGGAGGTAGGGAGGAAAAAGGATTTGGGGCGTGGAGCCTCCTGAGACAGGAAGCTTGGTATTGAGAGTGAGGCATTTGCTCTTCTCCCTAAACAAAGCAGAGAGGAGTAGGTATATTAATAACCAGGGAGATGCTGCTGCTGATGCTGATGGTAAATATTTACTCTGTCAGGCATAGTTTCTATGCATTTTATATAAATTAACTCATCAGATCCTCACAACAATTCTGTGAGGGAGGTACTTTGTCCCCACTTTGCAGATCAAGAGTGAGGCACACAAGGAATAATGGGTTTGCCCAAGGTCACACAGCTGCTAAGTGATGCCTGAGCCCAGGCAGTCTGGCTCCCAATCCCATGTGGTACCCATCTTGCTCTTGTCTTGAGAACCCATCTGGCTCAGAATGCTGCCTTTCCTCTGGGGCTGTCAGGGAGAACACCACGTTTATGAGTCAAGGTCCATAGCATGGACCCAAGAGGACACATTGTCCTCAGTTGCAGCTGAGTGGCCGTTCTGTCCCTCCAAGGCTCAAGGCTGTGGTTTCAGGGATGATTCTCTTCCACCTTGCTCCCTGCCAAACTGACTGGTTGTTCCTTCTGGTTTTTCACGTTCCTGGGCCTGGGGACAGTCCAGGTGATTGGATGGAAGCACACACATACTACAGATGGGATGTGGGAGGTGAAAGGACTGAGGCCAGCCTGGATGACACTGTATAGCAAGCTGTGGTGTGAAACTGTTCAACTCAAAGCCTTGAGAGCCATCGACTAGAGCTTTGAAACCCATGGTGGTGCTCTGGGAAGTGTGGAATGTAAAGCAATCATATTCATTTTTCATATAAAGCTTCAGACAAAGCTGTCTGGGTAAATGAAGAACAATAGTAAGACTACAGTGAAGCAACAATACAGGGAAACAATCGCATCAAGCTGGTTTGGGGCTGTGTCATTGCACAGCCCACTGTATTCCTAATGTATGGATCTGGGGTGGCTGTTTCTTTGAAAAGCAACAGTGAGTTTAAGGGGTGTTGGGAGTAATCACTGCTGTGGGGATTGCAGTACTTTTACAGGACTGAGATGAGCTCAGAGCAAAATAAAGGAGGATGTTTTAAGTGGGTTGGACTGAAGGGGCGAATCCTCAATGGGATTTTCCAGACGAAGGTAATGGAAACATCACGGCGCATCAGCTTTTCTTGGTGTTACATCATTCAACCAACAAGAGTTTATTAAGCACCTTTTAAGTGCCCAGAAATGTTCTATGTGCTCCTGGAACACATAGAACACTGCCAGGCACTTGAGAAACATGTGGGGAGAGGGTAATCTCCAGGGACCAGCAAGAAGGATACGGGTGTGGACCTGCCTGGTGGGGAACTCCAGGATCGAGAGGGTAATAGATTCGAGGTGGAAGTAGGCCTGAAAATGTAGGTAGATTTTATTTGGAGGGGGAGAGGGGGAGTTTGGGAGGAATGAACTGTGCTAAGGAAGGGCAGAATGAGAAAGGCCTGGCATAGTAGGAGGGCAATATGGCTGAGGCATAAGGGGGTGGGAGACAGTTGGGAATTTCAGGGCTGGGTTTTGAAGGATGTTAAATGTCAGCAAGAGAAATGACTCGTGACAGCAGGAATCACAGAGTTGAAGATTTTTTAACTTTGCTATTTGGAAGTGAGGTCCTTAGGAGGCCTTTTGTCCTTGAGTCTTGTTTCCCGACACAAATGCAATTGAAGTTTTCAAACTGAAAGCTTCTCTGTCTTCATTTGTTGTTCTCGATCATTCCCAACTTTCTGTTTGGTGCATGGTTGTTGCAGATTTTTGCATTGTCCCTGCAAGAGTTTACAGTTGAGGCCCCAAGAGATTGTCCTGGGTCATGTTGACCTTAGTGGCAGAAGCAAGGCAAGACACCTGGCCTTCTGTCTCCCCACCCCCTTCCCACCCCCCAGCATGGCAACAAACTGCAATCTTATGAGGTTCTAGCTCTAGCTCCCTCACATCCAGAAAACTTGTTTGGGTCTGGCGACAAATCACCTTATACAAGAGATTACACAGCCAGCATATTTGAGCCCCAAGGGTCAGGGGAGCCAAGCCTGGGGTAGGGAGGTGGAGGAGGCTCTTGGTTCAGGACTTCCAAGGCTAGTCTGGGATAATTCACCCCTTCAAGCCTCTTGTACCCTATCTCACAGGCTGTGGGCATACTTCCTTTTTGTAATATTTAGAAGTTGGTGATTGATGGAAAGGAGGGACAGCATTTAAAAATATTATTTATGTCTAGAGTTACTTTACTCAACATTGAATATTTACAAGTGGAGGTAATTATCTCCCCTAAGTTAGAGTTTCTAAGGGAAGAGACAGACCACCATAGCCTGGAGTGGACACAAGCAACAAATGTGAATTGAGCAGCCTCTAAATGTAGGACCCTTTGCTGGGCCCAGGAGGATGGTGGGGGTGGAGGTATAGAGCAGGCCACACCTCTGAAGGGCTACCTGTGGAACCTACCTGGGGACTAGTAGTACAGGTGAGAAGAGAGTTCCTGACAACCCAGTTGACCCTCAATGCCCAAGGGGTGTCTCAGAGGGAGACTGCTGGAGGAAGGATTGAGGAGTCAGGATGTGCCCTAGGAAAGAAGGTATTTGGAGCCCAGCATGAGGCTGATTTGGGGACTGGCATGTGTCGGGGGACTTGGGCAGGATGGTGGCCAGGGGAGCCCGGCCTGAGCATTGGGCACTGGTGGTGGTAAATAAGGTATGATTGGAATGCAGGCCACAGTACAGAAGTGGGTTGCAGTGTTGTGGAAATGAATGTCACCCTGGGGACAGAGGGAAGGCTTGGGCAAGAAGTGTCCCGATGGCAGCTGTATTGTAGATCAGCTAATTGAGATTCTATCTGCTGGGTGGATTCATGCTGAGGAGAGTAAGGGAAGACCTAGGAGCTGTCAGGCTAGAGGCTGAGGATTGGCACCAGGGACGAGAATGGAACCGAAGGGTGGGCACAGCAGCTTACAGTGAAGGGCTTGAGGGGGCTTAGTGACTGAGGAGCTCTGAGGTGCGGGGCGTGGGAGGACCTGTAGCCGGCTTCGGCTGAAGGGCCTGGGAGAGCAGGGTGCAGAATGTTCTGGCACCTGTCCAGGGTACTCTGTTTCTGAGTCATTTGTGTGTACCTTTTCAGAAATGGTTGTGTAATGTCCACACATATCAGTTTTTGTAGATATCAAATTTGTGTGTGTACAAAGGCACACAGAGACAGGGAAGCTAAATGTTCCTGTCACCTCCAAAAGGGAGAATGGTAATTTTGTATTTTGTAGTTTAGGGAAGGCCCCATGGCATTTTAACAGCAGCCGATTTACGGAGGATGAAACTTGAGCCAGCCCGGGAGAAAAGTGCTGTGGGCTCTTGGGAGAAATGAGAAAGCAGCCCACATTGTGTACCCACAAGCAACCCCAGCAGATGAGGTCAGCGCCTGGGGGTGCAAACCCTCTGGGGTGGCCCAGGTCCTGCCTGCAGGGTCGTGGCTGTCTGCAGATGTGTCTGTTGCTGGATGTGGACACAAGGGTAACTGCCAGCCATCCCCAAGTCTGCACAGTCACTCTCTTCCTTGTGCCTGGGCTGGGGTGCCCTGTAATGACTCTGGGCATAGAGAGCTTTGTGCCATGGGATTTGCACTTTCCACCTGGGTAACTAAGAACAGCTTGGCAATTTAAGTGGTGGTTGGGGTGCCTTTGGAGGTGCTGTGGGGCAAGACGTCCGAATCCGTGTCACTCACTGAGTGAGTTCCATCATTGCTAAGACTTTTCTATAGATTTCTCTTTTCTGCCTTAGTTAGGAGTGCTTGCTTTTTAACCTTCTGTCTCTGTAAGGAGAGTTGCTTCTTAACTTTTTATTTCAGTAATGATTCCCTTATGCAAAACTCTCATTAGTAATTACCCTTCTCTCCCACTGTAGGGTATACGATTGGTATGGGATGGCCAAAATATAATCACAGATAAGTGATGGATCTATTTCATTTTTTGATTGGGTTCTGTTAGTCACTGCCTTGTCATTAATTCCTGTTAAACCCCCACTCCCACCCCAATTGACCAGGTGCCATGCTAGGCCCAGGGGAAACAAAGAGGTATGGACTCTGTCCCCAAGGAGCCTGGGCTCCTACTGAAGTTGTTCCTTGCTGTCAAGCCGTGTGCTCCAGGAAACTTGTCAAGGAATGAAATGGACTCCACTAGGGCTTTGAATATTGGGATAGATTCCCAGGCCTGGGATTCTTAAGGCTTGAGAAGTTTGTCCTCGAGGACCACAGCCTTCCTGCTACTTCAAACGACACACCTGGATCTATGAGAGTTATCAGCAGTAACGTTGAGCCTCTGCTCTTTCTGGATGAAAAGGAACTGGAATTGGTTGGAAAATATTTCACCCCTAGTAGCTGAGCTGTTGAATTACTTTCGCAGACAGGCTATTGAAACTTTTGGATCTCATTAAATCAGGAAACCTGCCATTCACTGACAGATTAATGAATTAAAGAATCAGAGAGTGACTTGACTTTCAAGGAAAGTAAGTGGTGGATTTTCTTCTACTTGACTAATTGGGTACCAGGGGATGTGTTACACTCCAGATAGTCACTCCACAGCAAGAAAGTCGGGGGTAGGGAGCAGAAAGGAAGCCAGGAGTGGGCCATGGTGGCAGGCACTCCCAACTTCTTGGTTTAAATGCCACCAGTAGGCATCCTAGGAGAGCAGCTTCCATCTGCCTGGGACAGAGAGCTTCCAGTGTTCCATACCTGTGCCTCTGGCTGATTTCCCAGGTTGTTCCCTGGGCCCAGTTCCACCTCTGAGGGCATGTCCAGCTTTGCTGCTGGCAGCCACAGAGGCATCTGAGAGGCATGTGCTCTGGACAACTGGGTCTGTTCCGTGCTGGCAGAGCTTTCGCAGAGGCCTGCCCAGAGGCTCGCAGCTCCTGGGAGGAGCAAGGATATGGCGTCTGGCTCAGCTGAGATGGACTGGGCATTGCACTCACAGGATGTGCTCACTGGCTCACTGGCTTTCCTTGGCACTGCAGGGAGGTTGGCAGGCTTATGTCACACACCCTGCAGGCTGCTGCAGTTCCATCCTGTGTAGTGCTGACTGCACTCCCAGCTTTCTATGAGGGCACAGCCCAGCATGGCTGTATGCAAGTTTACTATGTTTGTTGGTGGAGAGGTAATCTTGAGGCAATCAAAGAGAATCAGGGATAATTTGCAGGCTTCAGCAGGACTGTTCTGTTGTTAACACAATTAGTTCCATTAATCCTCTCCAATCATCTAAGGTAAACAGACAGCCTTTGAAGTCAGGGCAAACATCTTTATGAAGAAAGGAAAGGATGAAGTGATCAACTCCTTTCTTTCCAAAGCCCTTACCATTGTGAATCCTGAACAAAACATTAAAAGCACCACCACCTGCTATATCCACACAGGAGGACCAGGGAAGCAGCTCGGGGAGTCTCTTAAGCGGGGCGTGTTGTGTCCCCAGCAGGGCATTGGGTTGGACTGGTGGGGAGGACTCCCTTCCCCAATTGAGCTCTTCAAGAAAGCCTAGAATTAGCCTTTGGATAACAGTCCGGTTGGGCTACTTAAGTTGACCATTTCCTCCCTCCCTCCCTCCGTCCCTCCCTCCCTCATTTCCTCCCTTCTTTTTCTCCTCCTTTTCTTTTTATTTTATTATGGAAAATTTCAAACATATTCAAAAATAGAGCAGAATAATGGACCCTCATGCCTCTACCACCCAGTTTCAATAGTTGTGACCCATGAGCAATTTTCCAGTTGGTATTTAATGATCGCCACCCCTCCCTTTATGTGAGTTTTCTGATTTGTTGTGTGTTGCTTATCTGTTTATGAATGAAGGGGGAAATTCTAATGGAGATTTCCTGTCTCTTCTTTCTCTTCTCCCTTAGAAGTTGAATGGGCCAACAATTTTGGTTGATGTGGAGGTTTTCTGGGCCAAGAAAGCTGCAGTCAGGGCAGGAGACGGGGTTGGAGAGGTTGGGTGGTGGGAACCGGGAAAAGGTTCTGCTGAACGTGGGTTCGCCTGGTGGGGTACATGGATTGAGAAATGAGACTGCCTTTTTGTTTAGATTTCAGCAAATTTGCCAACTCCACATTACTTTTTTCCTCCGGGGATGAATGTAGAACTAGTAGCCTTCATAACAACAGCTATGCCAGTGTCATCTTTGCCTGGCCTTGGTTCTAATCCTCTTACTCCCTTTTCTGTGTCTCACCTTAAAACAGGAGCTGCACCTTGTGGGGAACTTGTGGCTCTGCAGCCTAAGTAAGAGAGCACCTTGGGCAATAGGTTTAGGCACTAGCCACGGTTTTCCTGCAACAGGCCTGGGACTTGGGGGGGCCCTGCTGCAGCCCCCACCAGTGTATCTTGACAGAATTTCGGAGCTAAGGTGTTTAGCGGTGAGGGGTGGGACACCAAACTGTGTTAGAGCAACAGCAGCAGGCAGATAGGTTTCTTAGCAACAGGAAATGCCATTATGCCAACTTGAAACATTAGTTCAGTTTTCCTACTTTTTTTTTCCCCACCACACAAACCTCACTTTGCAAAAAGTGCAGACAGTTAGTTCAGTGGTGCATGAAATCAATGTTACACCTGATTTAATAAAAACTACAGTATGCAGCTGGGCCCAGTAGCTTGCTCCTATAATCCCAGCGCTTTGGGAGGCCAAGAGAGGAGGATCGCTTGAAGCCAGGAGTTCGAGACCAGCCTGGGTAACGTAGCGAGACCCTATCTCTACAAAGTATGTTAAAAAAAATTAGCCAGGCATGGTGGCATGCACCTGTAGTCCCAGCTACTTGGGAGGCTGAGGCAGGAAGATCACTTGAGCCCAGGAGTTAGAAGCTGCAGTGAGCTATGATCATACCACTGCTTTCCAGCCTGGGCAACAGAGCAAGATCCTATTTCAAAAACAAAAACATACCCCACAGTGTATATTTGGCAGGGACGGGGGGATGGGGGGATGATAGACTTAGGTTTTTTTGCCATCTCTTTAGAAGATATACAGAAAGTTAACAGAAGCAGGGCTTTTATAAGTCATGTGTCTGTGAAGAGGGTGCATGTTTGGTGGTGATGGTATGGAAGGAGAGAAGTCAAAGTAGACCCCACCCAGGGCAGTAGAAGTCAGGCCTTTGCATTTTCAGACACCGGAGCAGATCCTCCTCACCCTCCTGGTCTCAATGTGTTGGAGGGCTCCAGGGTCAGTCCTCATTCCTCTAGTTTCATGGCTCAAACTACAGATCCATATCTTTTATCCAAAATGCTTAGGGCTAGATTTGTTTAGAAATAAAGCATTTGGGGGAATTTTAGAAGGTTAATATAGTAAATATTCTGTATGTTACATGACATTCCCACTAGATTCTGGGGCAGGTCTTTGTGATCAAACAAATAATATTTCTATATCACAAATGTACAAATATTCACATGAAGTAGAATAAACATAGACAGCAAATAGCCTTATGTCATTTTGGGTTAGGTTTTATTGCTGAATAATTTTGACCCAAACTTCAATAAAACTTTTAGTTTTTAGAGCTGTGGCTGTCAGGATTGTGGGTCACAGATTGTGGGTCAGTGCCATCTATCTGCTGCCAACTACCAAATTCAGGTCTTAAGCTTGGACCTTCCCCCCGAACTTCAGATCTGTAGATGCAGCTGTCCCCGGCTGTCTCACAGATGTCTCCGACATGGCCAGTGCAAACCTGCTCCTGTTCACCCCACCCACCCTGTTCTGATCACCGTCTTCTGTTCAGCCAAGGGCAGCTCCATGTTTAGGTCAGGCCAGAAGTCTCCATGCAATCCCTGCCTCCCCTCCTTATCTCACACACTACGTGCAATCCCGCAGCAAATCCTTTTGGCTCTATCTTCAAATTACATTCAGAATCTGACCAATTCCCATCACCTCCACTACCACCACCCCTTCCCAGCCACCATCATCACTTGTCTGGACTATTGCCATAGGCTCCTAAGTTGCCTTCCTGCGTCCTCATGGGTGCCTGAAGTTTATTCTCCATGCAGCCACCTTTTAAAGTGTGAGTCACAGCATCTCACTGCTCTGCAGTCTCTCCTCTGGCTTCCCATCTCACTCACGGCCAAAGCCAAAGCACGTGCCAGGCCCTGGCTCTCTGACCTCATCTCCAACTGCCCTCCACACTCTGCTCCAGTCACACCCGTCTGCTTCAACTACTGGCAAAGACCAAGTCTTCCCCTACCTCCATGCCTTTGCATCTGCTCCTCTCTCTGCACCAGTCGGGCTGGCTTTTTCGATGATCAGGGCTTTCCTGGATCAAAGATGATACAATTCTTACGTGTGTTTGACCAAAATATCATATGGAAATCTAATATCTAGGATAGAAGATCATAAATGAAGGATCTATTCTGACATTCAGAGCTTGAACAGTTTTCAGATCCTTTCTGCTGTGTGCTTCAGGAAATATCTTCCCTTGTGGTTCAGATCGTGGTGTGGGCTTGAGCATATGTGAGTCTCATTTGTTGTCCAGCTGTATGAGCCGGAATTGTTCATTTTTAAAGGCCTGGACTTCATAAATCATGTAGAAAACAAGCACAGATGTATAAGGAGAGTTGCCCATTTTCAGAGAATAGATAGTCCGTGCTTCCATATATAATTTGTACTTCAAAACTTATGTATTACTTAGTTACAGAATAAAAGCCAGTTGGACAGTTTAGTGCACCATTAGATTACATGTTAAGGCAGGTTCTATCCCAGAAAACAGAAAATCATGTCCTCCTTCTTATTTACATCTTGTTCATTGTTTTGATATAAAATCTAAAAGTCTTAAAAATTTGATTTATACCTTCAAAATTCAACACAGAGTCAACTGATTAATATTGGATTAAAGGGAAATGTCACTGACTTTGACATACCTAATAAATTCTGTTTTACTTTATGTTATATAAATTTGAGACTTATGCTTCGTTTCCTTAGAGCACCAGCATTTTTCTTTTTTTCTTTTTTCCTGTCTTATAAAGAACTCGAGACAAATAGGAGAATATATTCCAGCAGATTCCTGTACATACAAAGATAGTGACTCTGAATAGCTGGATGATAGGCACTGTATGGTCATATCATAGCAGAAATGTTTGCCCATTCCTGATCAATGAAGTCTGCTGTTATGACAGTTTGTTACATGAAAGGTAGTTAAAAGGTAACATTGTCTGGAATATAAAAAATGTGGACTGCCTCACCTCACAAAAGTGGAGGAACACCATCATATAGAGGAGATTCGATCAAAGCAAAGGATTTTTCAATTAGATTAAAAATCTGTTGAAAACTCTATTGATAATCCCAACTACTCGGGAAGCTGAGGCAGGAGAATTGCTTGAAGCCAGGAGGCGGAGGTTGCAGTGAGCCAAGGTAGCACCACTGCTCTCGAGTCTGGGCAACAGAGCGAGACTCCGTCTCAAAAAAATAAAATAAAAATCTATTGAGCTATTGAAGCTTTTCCTTAATATGTTCAAACTGTATCCAACTAAGAAATACACTTGACTACTTACCACTCAGAATTGGTGATTATGATAGAGTAGTGCTATAATTATTTGACCAGGAAATTATACTTTTCAAGATATATGAAAATTTAAAATAATTTGTCTCATTTTTAATTTGTACCTTAAAGAACTGAAAATCAGGATGACTGAGTTTCTTTTCTTTTCTTTTTTTCAGCTGTAGGCAATTTACTCAGGTACTTTAATGGATTGTTTAACCTCATTATGCCTCAGTTTCCTTACCTATAAATGAGAGGAGTGAACTACATAATGTTCTTAAAGCAAAAAATTACTTATTTTTAACAAAAAAGCTATAGTAGAAGGTAGAAGAAAAGTAGAAAGTTGAGAAACTATAGATACTTAAAAAGAAAAAAATTATTCCACTATTCCACAAACACCTTTTTCTTTAGCATATGTACCTACCACATACTTATTTTAGTTTTACAAAATTGGATCATAGAATATATGTTCCTTTATAATCTCATTTTCTCCCATTGAATACAATATTGTGAATATCTTTGCATGTTATTACATATAATTCAACAAGTTTTTTTTTTCATGATGGCATGGTAGCTAATGGTTTGAATATGCTACAATTTATTTAAATAATTTTATTATTATTGAACAATTGGTTTCTAATATTACACTCTTAAAAATTCTGTAATGATTATTCTTATAGTTAAATCTTTTCACATATGTGTGATTTGAGATAAATTCCCAGAAGTGGAATTGCAAGATTAAAGGATTTTTGTCATGTAAGGCCAAAACATTCTTTATAAATTTTGTGTCAATTTACATTTCGTCGGCAGCGTATAATAGTGTTTGTTTCTTCCCCATTCTCATAAGTACTGCATAATAGTACTTCAGATGACATATTTTGGAGCTTCTATTCAAGGTGGTCCTGGAGAAAATGAGTTTTGGGGTTTTTGTTTGGGTTTGGTTTTGCCTGCTTAAGACCCCATATAAATTACAGAAAAGGAGAAAAGGGGGAAGTCTGTATTAACCAAGTGGGCAGAAAGAGGCCATCATCAAACTATTTCAGAGAATTTCTGGGAGATGAAAGTAGAAGGTGGGGTGGCAGCTAATGAAGCAGAATAGAGAACTCTGGAGCTAGAGCCCAGAACATGTGCAGAGGGCACAGGAACCTAGCATAGAGCAGCTTCTCTGCAGGACCCTAAAGGGCTCCAGGCTTGGACACTGTACTTACCCCAGGTAAAAACAAGTGACCTTTGGAAAGTCTGTATGTGGAACCATATGCTCCCCACTGTCACTATGGAAGGGCCTAACTTTCACATAAAAAATTGGAAGGCTCGGCCGGGCGCGGTGGCTCACGCCTGTAATCCCAGCACTTTGGGAGGCCGAGGCGGGCGGATCACGAGGTCAGGAGATCGAGACCATCCTGGCTAACACGGTGAAACCCCGTCTCTACTAAAAATACAAAAAATTAGCCGGGCGTGGTAGCGGGCGCCTGTAGTCCCAGCTACTCGGGAGGCTGAGGCAGGAGAATGGCGTGAACCTGGGAGGCGGAGCTTGCAGTGAGCCGAGATCGCGCCACTGCACTCCAGCCTGGGCGACAGAGCGAGACTCCGTCTCAAAAAAAAAAAAAAAAAAAAAAAAATTGGAAGGCTCTTTGAAAAAGAAATAGTATAATGGTTTGGGGAGAACTAGCAAAGCATTGTGGGTATTACTCTCCAGAAGAAACCAATTTCTCATTCAGGGACCCATGCTCTAATGGCCAGATCCCACCATCTAACCCTATGGCACATGGGGCTGCAATTCTTAGAAATATGCTGCATTCATAAACAAAAACAAACGAGAGAGAGAGAGAGAGAGAGAGAAATGAGAAAACAGGAAGGCACTGCCTGTACATGAGAAAGGCATTATGAATAAATAGGAAGGCATTTCTGGAAACTCAAGATATTGTCAGAAAATTTCAGAGGAAGAATTATAAAGTCAAGGAAATCTCCTAGACTATGGAATAAAAAGATAAAAGAAATGGATATATATATGTATCACATAGTAAGAGACATAAGGATCATTCCTACTGGTCCAACATCTGAATAAGAGGAGTTTCAGAAAGAAAATGAAGAAGAGGCCCATGACAAAGAACAAATAGAAGAGTATCTCCCACAAATTCAGTTTCATTTAGGACAATGAATCCCAAAAGACACCCTGAGACATATCACTGTGGCATTTTAGAATACTAGGATAAAGAAGACCCAAAAACTTCCACAAAGTGAAAACAACGTCACCTATTAAACAACAGTAATCTGGCTGACATCAGAGTCCATTGACAATATTGATGTTAGAAGAAAGTTCTGATAGATTATGATCTTTTTAAAACCTAGAATTCTATATCCAGCTAAACTATCAATTATGTGTGAGAACAGGCATGAAAGATTTCTGATTACTATTTCAATCAGAATGTACTGTCCTAGCAAAAACAAGGGAATAACTCAGAATAAGGAAGATAATGGATTTCCAAGACAGTGGCTGCACCCAGCAGAACAGTGAGGAGATATGCAGTGCTACAGTTGTGCAGCAGACCAGAGAGCGTCAGCTCAGATCAGGGAGAATAGGACAGTGGGGTGTCCTGATAGGTACACCCTCCGAGAAAAGAATGCTGGGAAGACTCAAAGATCTGAGAAAGGCAATTGGTAGACTGTAAGATGAAGAATCCATTTGAATTAGATGCTAGGTATATTAGCCATTGAGTGGCATGTGAATTGTTACATTGGGCCCATGGGAAAGAAGGTGTATGTAACACCATTTACAAAGTCATAATAAGGAAAGACGATTAGTTTTCAGATTTTAGAACTAATGTATACACAAAACATGGAAATTAACTATGGTTAGAGAACAGAATGTCAGTGTTGTCAACCTTGATAGGTTAAGAGTAAAGACAAAAATTTCAGAGGTGGCTGGGATGGAGGGTGGCAGGCAGAGGATGGGGAATGCTGGAAGCACTAATGTCCTCTGGGTACAATGTGGAGGGTCAAGGGATATATTCTCTACAGTTGATGGCATAAGAAATTGGCATTTTAGGTGTGTGAGTTTTTTTGTAGTTGTAGAGAACAGAGAATAAACAGAATTTGTGATGTATAACTTTTGTGGAGGGGCAAAAGAGGAGGGAAGTGGTAAGTAAACTGAATCCTCTTCTATCATAGCAGCAAGGTAAGAGAATGTCTAAAATAAGAAATCAGGAAATTGAGGCATACACATTTTATTTAGGGACGCAGCAGTGACCACCAGAGAAACCTATATAAAAATTACTAAAATTGGTCCCTCTGAGGAGTTATGGGGCAGAGGACTGTTGCTTCTCATGACAAGCAGACATGTAGCTTTTGGTTTCTTAAAACTGAACACATCACAGTACTTACTTTTGGCTATATTTTAATAAATAAATAACACAAAAATATATAACCCAAATGAAACTTTGACTAATTTGATAAGCAAAAGAAAAGAAAAAAGATCTTATCCTTTATTTTATTTTTGTATGTATATTTAAACTAAATGATTTTTAAGGCATTTCTGACTCCTAAATTTCATGCTTTTATAGTTTTTTATAAAACTGTTCTTTTTCTCACAGGACATGGTTCCAACTAAACAATGAAAAGCAATGGCAAATAAGACTGGTATACAGAGTATTATGATGCAGGAATATTCCCCGGAGAGCAATTATTCCCCAAAGTTGGGCATCCTGCGTCACATTTGTATGTCATTGTCTGAGCCTCTCGGCTATTTTGCTGTGGGTTTAGTGTACCTTACAACTATGAGCTCCAGGAGGACAATGAAGGAGCATTACTCTCATTGCTCTTGTGTCCAAGGAGCAACTTTTTTTTTTTTTTTTTGAGACAGAGTCTCACTCTGTTGCCCAGGCTGGAGTGCAGGGAGGCAATTTTGGCTCACTGCAACCTCCGGCTCTTGGGTTCAAGTGATTCTTCTGCCTCAGCCTCCCTAGTAGCTGGGACTACAGGTGCACTCCACCATGCCCAGCTAATTTTTGTATTTTTAGTAGAGATGGGGTTTCGCCATATTGGCCAAGCTGGTCTTGAACTCCTGACCTCGTGATCCGCCCACCTCAGCCTCCCAAAGTGCTGGGATTACAGGCGTGAGCCACCGCACCCGGCCAAGGAGCAACTTTTTATCATTCATGCAGTATGGGCTCCATGACAGCTCACAACGTGTTCTTTCTACAGATCTCCCAGAGCTCAGGCTGTCTGTGGGGCAGCCTGCCAGGCCTCAAGGTACCTATTGGAAGCATTGGGTCTCCACTTGGAGAACCCGGCTTTAACGCACACTCCTCTTCTGCAAATTGTGAGGATGCGCGCAAGTTATTTAAATTCCTAAGCCTCAGTTTTGTCACCCATCAAATGGTTAAGAACAACAATATTGCCTTCTTCACATAGGTAACACATGTAGAGTATTCAATAAAGGGTGCTTATGAGAGTTGTGATTATTAGTATTCATAACATAGTCTCTCTTTTGAAGAACTCAGAAAGATGGAAACAAATGATCGTGTCTTGGCTTTCAAAGGGAGTCAAGAACTGAATATCAGCCCGGTGTGGTGGCTCATGCCTGTAATCCCAGCACTTTGGGAGGCCGAGGTGGAAGGATCTCTTGAGGGCAGGAGTTCAAGACCAGCCTGGGCAACATGGCAAAAAAAAAAAAAAAGAAAAGAAAAGAAAGAAAAAATAACTGAATATTTTTTGTGAGCAGCCATTGATAAAAGTTCTATTAGGTTGTGATACTACAGGGACAGAAAATTTCCTGATATGAAGATAATTTTTCTGGTTACAAATTCCTGAGTTCCTGACCGAGCTTGCCTCTGTTTCACATGGATTCATTCAGTTCCACTTAGAGTCTTTATTGAATACCTATCTCAATCCCAGCCCTGAATCAAGAGCTGTGGAATCCTCAAAAGAAAGACATGGCTTAGCAGGAGAGGTGCTCACAGTCTAGGTGGGAAATAGCAATCATAATGACCTGGCAGCTAATATTTACAGGAAGTTGTGTGCCAGACAGTTTCAAGTGCTCCACCATCTCCTCGAATCCTCCCAACACTCTGAAGCAGGTCCTGCTGACATTCAACTTGTAAGATGAGGAAATCAAAATAAGCACCACAGAGCTTTAAACAGGCAGAACTGGGATTGGAACCCGGGTAGGCTAGCTTCAAAACCTTTACTTTCAATCTCTGAGATATATTGACTTAGTGTAAGAAATAGGAAATGTAAGATAAAGCACACACATTCAAATATACCTAGTGATAGGGACCATTGCAAATCAAAATGCAAAATGTGAAATGCAAAGTGCAGATCGGCAGTGGATTATCTGCTTCAGAATGCTTGGGTAGGTGGCTACATTTCTGCTATTAGTGCTCACCTACCTCTTCTTAGGATATACAGTCATGTACTGCCATTTCTCTCAAAGTAGACAGGCAGACTGTGCTGTGAGCAGATGATGCTCTGTACCCTTACACACTCTCCACATTAGTTTAGGCACTTTTGGATGTTTTCTCAGCTCAAGAAAGCATTTATGTATACATAGAGTTATTCGTTTTTAGCTACCTCTGTCATCAGAGGGAGCCAGCTCTCTGGGGCCATTTCTGAGCCTGCTAAAAAAGAGGAAGTAGGTGCTAACTTGAGCCTACTCCATTTGTGGTGTGTTGAGAGCTAAGATCTGTAACGTGGGCCTCTGGTCCAGCCAACAAGAGTTTCACAAGAAGATAATGGCTGCTGCTAACTTGGTTCCCAGTGACCTGGCTACGGGTGATGAGAATGCAGTGTTTCAGCCAGTTTTGAGGGGTGTTTATTTAAGGTGTGTCTGGCAACTGAAGCAAGCTGTAGTCTGGGGGATTGGAGATTATAAACAGCCAGTGCAGTGAAAAGGGACATTTTATTTTTTTAAATGGGTAGTAACTTAAATTTTTAACAAGTTAGCTCAGAACACAATTTTGTAAATGGGCGTAGAATAAAGAATAAGGCCTCCTTTCCTGATTTCTGGTTTGCTCCTCCTGTCATGTCCATCTCTTGAGTCAGCTCTTGCCTTTTGCTGATTAAGACTCCTTCTGGAGATAAGGACGTATGTGCAGATCACGTGTGCGCATGTGTGTATGTGTGTGTGTGTGTGTGTGTGTACACCCACATGCTCCCCCATTGTATTCACACAGCAACACAACATCATGAACTTACGGTGTGTTGCTTTATCCCCCCTCCACTTAATGTATCACAGAGCTAGTTCCCTATCAGTTGGTACATTTAGATCTTTTTCAGTCTTTTTTAGGACTCGCATGGTGATCTACCATATGATGTACCATAATTTATTTAAGCAGTCTCCTATTCATGGACATTTAGGTCATTAAGTTCATTAAAAGGCTTTCTATAACATTTGGTCTAATTATCTTGTTTTATATATGAGGAAGTTCAGATCCACAAACACACAGACAGATTTAAATAATTCAGCAGACTCTCAAACCTACATTTTGGATGTGTTTATCTTGCTATTATTGTATTTTGATCACAGGAGACAGGAGAAGGTGGCTCAGCTGTGTGCCTGTGAGTGTGTTTGCACACGTGGGTGGGTGTGTGAATGTGCACGCCTACACAGGTAGGTGTACATTATGTTGTTTCACAGATGTGCTGTTGAAAAACTCTGAATGAGTCCTTTTATTTTTAAAAATGGAATATGAAATTTTAAATGCTCCGAGGGTGGGAATAGGATTTGTTATTTAAAGGAAACTTGTGGAGGAATCCTTATGCGAAATAAATCGTTTTTTTCCATTTTTAAAAACTGCTTCATTGAGGTATAATTTACATACAATTAAGTGCATTCATTTTAAGTGTAGGCTTGATTTGTCCCACCCAATGTCTACATTCATGGAGCAGCCACCACAATCAGGATAGAGAAAACTCCCGTCACCCAGGACGTTCCCCTGTGTCTCCTGGCATTCACTGGCCACTTCCAGCTCCAGGGAATCACAGATGTGCTTTTTTGTTATTGTAGGTTTGTTTTGCCCGTTCTAGAACATCGTAGAAGTGGAATGCTATGGTATATACTCTTTAATGTTTGGCTTCTTTCACATAGCATCCATGTTGTTGCATGTATCGGTAGTATATTTGTTTTTTTTTTTTTTTTTAAGAGACAGGATCTCACCTAGGCTGGAGTGCAGTTGTGAAATCATAGCTCACTGCAGCCTCAAACTCCCAGGTTCAAGCCATTCTCCTGCCTCAGCCTCCCAAGTACCTGGGACTGTAGGCATGCACCACCATGCTCAGCTATTTTTTTTTCTTATTTTTTGTAGAGAGAAGGTCTCAGTATGTTGTACAGGCTGGTCTTGAACTCCTGGCTTGAAGCGATCCTCCTGCCTCAGCTTCCCAAAGTGTTGGGATTACAGGGGTGAGCCACCGTGCCCGGTCCTCATTCTTTTTTATTGCTAAGTAACATTCCATTACATGGATGTAGCATGGTTTGCTTATTCATTTACCTGTTGTTGGACATTTGGGACATTTCCAGTTTTGGGCTGTTAGGAATGAAGCTGCTGTGAACATTTCTGTATAGTAGATGGCTTCCCCAGTAAATCATCTCCACAACTCAGCGTACAGATCCAGTTTTTTAATATATTGAAGTAGTATAAGCTAAGGCCATGCATTCAATAAGCCAACATGTAGAAATCTGTATTGAATCCCTCCCATGTGCGGGACAGACAGGGTCCTGCTTTGCAGGGATGTACACTGAAGCCTGCATGTCTTTGCACTGCAGTGGAAGCTGTTTGAGAAAAACGATCTGCCCCTCCCCTTATTTTATGAAAGTAAGTGCTATTATAAGCCCATTAACAGAATAGAATCTTGAACATATTTGATTACATGTGTACTCTCTGCTTTTTGACCAGTCACTGCACACTACCAATAGAGCAAGTAGCAAATTTTACCCCAAATGAAGAGTCTTTAATTAGCTGCTAACTTCAAAATCAGCACCCCGCAGCTGCTGCTGAGTTGCTCATTGTATTGCCTCAATGCTTTCTGCTTTCCAAATGCAGAGCTGGGAGGACACCTGCTGCCTGAATGTCCCCTGCTCTGTCCAGCTGGCCTCTCCCATGCCAGGTGGGTCTGGGGATGGTAGTGTGCCTGCGGTGCCTCCAGGGGAGAGGGGGCATCAGTGAAGGGGTACAGGACTTGGGCAGTGGGCCCCCTGCTTTGGGAACCAGTCCCCCAGTCTTCTGTCCTGATGGTTCCCCGTCTGCCTCCTCCTTTCTCACTCTCCACCCTCCTCCAAGTAAAAAAGAAAAAGAC
Organism: Homo sapiens; assembly: GCF_000001405.40. Taxonomy (NCBI): domain Eukaryota; kingdom Metazoa; phylum Chordata; class Mammalia; order Primates; family Hominidae; genus Homo; species Homo sapiens. The sequence goes on from NC_000002.12 coordinate 45,836,768, forward strand.
ACAGCAGTAGATTATCTAGGACCTTACTGGTGGAACAAGGGCAGTGCAAGCCTTCCCTTGTCCTTCTCATCCTTTCTGGATTCATCTTTTTCAGACCCTGTCCCTGTTGCCCTTTTGCCTCTCTCCACGCCTTTGTGCCTGACAGCAGATGGGAAGGGAAGTGAAACTCGAATTGGGCCTGTGTGACCTTTGTGGGCTGTCCCAAGGAAAGGTTTGCTTAGACATCTCAGGCAAAAGTTGAACCTATGGTTAGGAAGCTTGACTTTGTATATTAGACCTCCCTTCCCTTGAAGCCAATAACCCCCAACATGTAGGTGTACAGATAACCTGTGGATCACGGGGGGCTGACAGCAGCACATCAGCCAGCAGCCTGGAGATCAGCATAGGTGGAGTCCTCTTGATTTTGCTGTTGTGGTTGTCAGAACTCCTGCTGGGCAGGTGTGGTGTCGAGGAAGAAACATGAGACTGAGAAACAGGAGTTGAGGGAGCAAGTTCTTTTATTTTTTTAAGACGGAGTCTTGCTCTGTTGCCTAGGCTGGAGTGCAGTGGTGCGATCTTGCCTCACTGCAGCCTCCGCCTCCCAGGTTCAAGCGATTCTCCTGCCTCAGTCTCCAGAATAGCTGGGACTACAGGTGCATGCCTCCACACCCAGCTAATTTTTATATTTTTAGTAGAGACGGAGTTTCACCATACTGGCCAGGGTGGTGTCAAACTCCTCACCTCAAGTGGTCCACCTGCCTCAGTCTACTAAAGTGCTGGGATTATAGGCATGAGCCACCACGCCCAGTCTAGGGAGCACGTTCTGATTCTGCCAGTCCGGCTCCAGGGGTCTCATGCACAGACATAGGTGTGAATGGCACCTCCTGGGGTTGTGCAGCTGGTGTGATCTCACTAGCACACTGCATGATATAATGGCCACCTATCTTCCTTAACCCCAGCTTTCTCAGATTCTCAACAGCACTAATAATACTGTTACCACGCCTGTAATCCCAGCACTCTGTGAGGCTGAGGTGGGAGGAAGGTTTGGGCCCAGGAGTTTCAGGCTGCAGCCATGACGGCACCACTTCACTCCAGCCTGGGGCACAGAGCGAGACTCTGTCTCAAAAATTTTTTTTGAAAATAACAAAACTCGCTACCTTACAGATTAATTGTGAGAAATGAATAAATGAATGCGTATGAGGGGCTTTGTAAACGGCTGAGCACCACCCCAAAAAAGTCCCTAACTTTTGGCTTTTCTAAGATTGCCTTTTTAGGGCTTGATGTGGGTTGGGCTCTTCCCCATTGCCAAGTTCCTAATTCACATGAGAGGCACTCTCATTGCTGCCCAGACCTCCCCTCAGAGCACCATGGGGTGGTCAAGGTGTCTGAGGTATTGCTGTGCCTTCCAGGTCTGCCTGGGGAAGCCAGTGACACCTGAAAAGGGGAATGAGCCCACTCTGGGGACGGGAGGGTTGAAGGAAGGAGACTGCACCTCGGACTGGATTGTCAGAGGAGGCTCAGTTGGCCAGGCAGGGCTGGGGTTGTGAGCATGACTTGCAAGCTCTGTTGACCTCTCCTCTGTGCCCCAGGCTGACCTGGGTGAGAATTCTGGCTGAAAGCTCTCTAAGCCTGTTTTTTCATCAGAAAAGTAGAGAATATTGCTGTCTCACAGGAGATTAGATGAACTAATGCAGGTAAGGTGCCAACATGGCGTCAGAGGCACAGTAGGTGTCATTGCCCTTCTTTCATGAGTACCACACGTCCTCCCGATGCCCCCGAATACCCTGGGTATAGCCCTTCCTGCCCCGGGTTTCCCCCAGAAAGGGTGCATACAATACTCTTACCTTGGATTTTAAAGTACAATACTCTTACCTTAGTTAAAAAAAAATGTTTTCAGAGACAGGATCTCACTTGTCACCCAGACTGCAGTGCAGTGGCGCATTGCAGCCTGGATCTCCTGGGCTCAAGCAATCCTCCTGCCTCTGCCTCCCAAGTAGCTGGGACTACAGCTGCCTGCCACCACACCTGACCTTTAGCTCTTTATTTGATATTCACAACAACACTGTAAAGTCATCAAATGTCCTGGAATTACATGTAACAATACCAACTTTGTTGAGGAAAGTTTGTTATAGTAGAAATAACATTGGACTAAGAAGCAGAAGACTTGCCTTTTTCATGATAACTGCACCAATGATGACTATTTTATGCCGGTGCCTTTGCTAAGCACTGTGCATAGATTATCTCATTTAATCTCACAGCAGCCCCATTTCACTGACAAGCAGGCTGAGGCATACAGAGGGTAGCTGCTTGCTTCAGGCCACAAGGCCGCTAAGTTTGCTCTTACCCACCACGTGCAGAGTGTCTCCTGGGTGCTTAGTTAAAAAAAAAATTTTTTTTTTTAACTAAGGTAAGGTGCCAAGTGCTTTGCATGTATGTTTCATGGAATTTTCATGACAACCCATTTCACGGATGAAGAGGCTGAGAGGCTCAGGAAGAGTAAATAATTGCCTGAGGTCACTCAGCTGATAAAGGACAAAATGGATTCTGCCCTGATTTGACACCAAAGTCTGTGTTTGTCTCCCCCAGTTTGACTGCCTTGCTTCTGGCCCGTGCTGGAGGGGTAGCCAAGGCACCGTAGTGTGAAAGAGAATCATAGTCAAAGAAAATAGAAATAGTAGCTGGGAAGATGTGTTAAGTTGGGATATGAGGTCCAAGGAGGTTTGATAAATTAGGTTGCATCTGGGAGAACTGGGAGGAGCCTGGTGCAAAGAAGAGGCTCAGAACTAACCCTGGGAATGGCTGGGAGGAGGTAGCGAGTCTGCTTTTGTGTCACGCCAGCTGCCTGGTGCCAATGCAGACTGACAGCTTGCAGGGTTGTGCAGGGCTGGGCACTTACATTGCATCATTATCTGGACCATGTAATCGTGAGCAGAATTTATGATTAAACTAATTCAGCGGTGAAGTTGTGCCACACTCTTCACCATCTTTTATACTTGGTGACCCCTCCAGTCGTTGAAGACCCACCACCTTGGATGGATTCTCAGAGCTTCCTCGCTTGGCTAGCTGGGGCTTGGCTGGCGATCTGCGGCCATCTGCTCATGCTGCAAAGCTCTTTGTTGCTTTTGGCATGTTTAATAGCTTAATTTCTATTTTTCTGTTTGGAAATGCAGTTCACCAGCACGGAGGCTGCAGTGGGTGCTAAAATGCTTTCTGATTGCTATCTTGAATGTTAATATCCGAATACATTTTATCATAAATGACCTGTCCTCCCTGCCACGAGTTCTCACTCCCCTTTTGCAAAGATGGGCATGGTGCCTGCCTTTGGATAGGCCCCGAAGCCCATCTCATTCCTTTGCTCTCTCCCTCCCTGCTTTACACAGATAGCATTGTACTTTGCCAATAAAGTCCACAGTCGTGGGAAATCTTTGAGTTGGAGGATATGAGAAAGAGTTTCATTTTGCCGGCAGGGTTTAATAGGGATGATCTAATCTCTAAAAGGCATACATTATTTAAATTCCATGCTTTTAGGCAAGAGGGCCCCTGATATTTTTGACTTTTGTCAGGGAGAAGATTCTGGTTTGGCTCTATTCAGCAGAGCCGACTGTTGGTTTTCCTGTTTGTCATTCGCTGCAGGGGCTGGTGAGGGTCAGCACTAGTGGTGAGAATTCTGGAGAACATTTTCTTTACCCAGAAACTTAAAATCATGGACTCTTGGGGAGAAAGGAATGAGAAAAGGCAGCATGCGGAATTACCAGTTTGTTATTTGGTTCCCATCTGGATTTAAAACCGAAGATCCCAAACTCAGGTGAGCAGCTCCCCCGGGGTGCCCAGGGGGCAATGCAGGCCTGCTCGTGGCACTCCCTCACTCCTGTGCCGACGGAGCACCTCAGCTATCACCAGGGGCCTCTCCCACGAGGCACTGAAGAGTCTTGTGGGTGAAAATGAAATTTTGAGGGAAACCTTAAGCTCTCTCAACCATTAGAGGCTGAGTCAGGCAACAAGATGGGGTCAGGAGTGACTCTGGGAGCCTCCTGGATTGTGTGTGGGGTGAGACGTTGGGAGAGTTTGGAGAACACCATTCCAGCTGGTCGCTTTGTCTCATGGGGACATGTGGTGCTCATGGTATAGCTGCCTCATCTTTCCTCTACCCTTTTTCAAATGTCATTTTAGTAGAGATGACATGCCTGCCTTCCTTCCTGGGGACAGAGCCTTGGGAGGGTGAATGTTCCCAGAATAGACTCTGGAAGTTCTGAACACAGAGCCTTTTCCCACCTCCACGAGTGTGTGCTGGGTGTTTCCTAAGAGACAGTGAGCTACGAACTAGGGATGCAAATCTGGTTATCATACTTTCTGTCTATCAGGACAGAGAGGTAGATGGACAATGTATTACAACTTAATAGGAGCTGTATTAGTCAGTGTTCTCTAGAGGGACAGAATCAATAGGATATATGTATATATGAAGGGGAGTTTATTAGGAGAATTGACTCACACGATCACAAGGTGAAGTCCCACAATAGGCCGTCTGCACGCTGAGGAGCAAGGAAGCCAGTCCGTGTCCGAAAACCTGAAAAGTAGGAAAGCCGACAGGGCAGCCTTCAGTATGTGGCTGAAGGCCCAAGAGCCCCTGGCAAACCACTGGTGTAAGTCCAAGAGTCCAAAAGCTGAAAAACTTGGGGTCTGATGTTTGAGGGCAAAAAGCATCCAGCACAAGAGAAAGATGAAGGCTGGAAAACTCAGCAAGCCTAGTCTTTCAAACTTCTTCTGCCTGCTTTATTCTAGCCACGCTGGCAGCTGATTAGATGGTGCCCACCCAGATTGAGAATGGATCTGCCTCTCCCAGTCCACTGGCTCAAATATTAATCTCCTTTGGCAGCACCCTCACAGACACACCCAGTAACAATGCTTTGCATCCTTCAGTCCAATCAAGTTGACACTCAATATTAACCATCGCAGGAGCCATGAGTAAGATGTGTCTGGTGTATTGTGGGAACACAGATGAGGGGCTAATTAATTCTGACTGGGCATATCTGGATAGATTTCAGAGAGGAGGTGATAATTGACCTTGACTTTGAAGGAGGAGGAGATATCCACTAGACTGACTGTTCTGAAGTAATTCTTGCTAAATGCTTGCCTGCTCTTTGCTGGGGACAGTGAAAAAGGAAAAGGAGGGGGATAGTGGTTCCTGCCCTCAAGATATTCACAGCTTGTTGGGGAGAGAGCCTGGCACTATGAACCAATGAAAGCTCTGTGTAGACAGATGGGATTGTGGAGGCGGAGAGGCTAGCAGGGGGACTTGGTGATCCAGGGTTTCCAGAGTTACTACTCTCTTATAGAGAGAACACAGTTTCTGTAAGGATAGTTCAGTCCTTGCAAAGATGTCTTTAACTACAAGAGGCCCAGCCCTCTGGCTTTTGTCTCACCCAATTATTTCACCACCTTGTCTCTGTATATTATAAGTAGTTAGCTGGATTTGAGGTGGGGAGGGAGGAAGTGAGGGTGCCTGTGCTGTTTCTTACGCCTTGCATACCTTCCCTTCCCTCTTCCCTTCCGTCTTCTACACTGATTTCAGGTTCGTCAGATACTTTATCAGTTCTTCTCTGTCCTTCATCATTAAGCTGGATTCAGCATTGTTCCCCATTTTTTAACTCCACAATGAGATGATAAACGCCATAAAAGCAGGAGTAGTGTCTTCCTGCTTCTCTTATTTCCCCTGGGAGCAGTTTCTGTGGTATAAAGAACATGGGTTTCTCAAGACAGGCTTGGCATTGAATCTCAGCATTACCACTTACCTTGGAATTTGGGCACAATTTCCATATCTGTAAAATGGGATAACATAGGGCTTTCTCAACCTCAACATCATTGATGACATTTGGGGCTGAATGATTCTTTGTTGCGAGGGGTCATCCTGTGCACTGTAGAATGTTTAATGGTATCTCTGGCCTCCACCCACTAGCTGCCAGAAGCAGCACTCTCTCTCTCTCCAATCATGGCAAAACTGCCTCCAGATGTTTGCCAAGCATCCCCTGTGTAGCAAAATTGCCCCCAGTTGAGAACCACTGGGATGGTGCTACCTATGGGGTATGCATCAGTCCTCCCAGGTCTGCATCTCACCTAGCACTCAACACATTGTAGGTTGGTGAATTACATGGAGCTGTGTCTCTAGGTTTTAGCAGTTTGGGGTAGAAATGTTGTGGAACTCTTAGGTTGCCCACACAATGCACTAACAGAGTCACTGTCATTTTCTTAATTGCAGATTGATCTGGAGCCAGAAGGAAGAGTGTATGTGATCATCGATCTCTCAGGGTCGTCGGGTGAAGGTAGGAGAGCGTGACTTCTCATCCCTGTTTTCTTCCATTGGCCCTTTGCCTTCTGGGTCTCTTCTTTCCCCCCCTTGGCCGGAACACATTATAGTGACATTTAATTAATTGGCATCCTTTAAAGGAAAAGGTTATTTTGAAGATGCTTACGCCTGTGTACCAAAAGGGACCAGCCATCTGTTAACTTTGGTGGAGCAGAGGGAAGATTTTGGACTTACCAAGTGAGGCCAATAAAACGGGCGTTTTTGCACGCTGTGTGCAAGGCAGGCTTCAGTGGCAGGGCAGCCTCTCCCAGGAGGCTTGCGTGGGGTTTGTGTGTGTGTGGTGGGAAGGAAGTAAAACCAGTTGGTCTAACGGCATCCAGAAATGAAACGAATAAGGTGACAAACTTCAGAATCTTCTTTAGAGCTTTGATAGAAGTGGGACTTCTTTTACCAGTTCTTTACACAGACAAAAGCTCTGCTCTTAAAGAGAAATAATGGGGTGAGGGAACATCTGCTCCCCACTGACTGATTAGATGGCGTATTACACCCTCTTCCTCTTACACCCTCTTCTTTCAATCCTTTCTTTGCTCACTTAACTACACTTAAGACCTTTGAAGGGTTTGCTGGGTGTTGAGGACTGAGCAGTCAAGGGAAGAAGGGAAGCCTAGAAAATAAAACCTTATCCAAACAGGAACAAGGAGATAACAACCAACTTAAGCTCTAAGAAAGATTTGGAATTCGGACTGAAATGTAGTTATTGTGGCCTTCTTTTCTCTCCTACTCCTCCATCTGTGGGCAGGGGGACAGAACAGTTGGCTTTAATGCCATGGCAGGGATATTGGAAGACCATGTGTAGTTCCTCTTGGCAGTGAGAAACAAACAGTGTTTGGGGACTGTGTCCCAAAAGGAAAAATGGACACTCAGCTCTCTCAGCTCTCCTGCCTGGAACACTTGGGCCTTTCACAACATCTCCCCAGAATACTGGGGATCACAAGCTCAAAGTCACAATCCCACACACAGTCTCTAGTTTAAGGCTCAGTGATAGAAGGAAGGATTACATATTCAGTTAGTCAAATGATGTGCTTGACAGTGGTGCCTGATGATTTCCATTCAGCTAATTTATCACCCAATCTCAACAGGTATTCGGAAGAATTCAATAATTGTGTGTATATGGGGATTATAATAGAATTAGGCCCTCTTTTAATAGATCCCAATTATTTGGCATAGGTTTAAAACTTTAAACAGCCTTCCAAAATTGGTTGCTTACATTTCCTGCTCTTTATTGCAATTACATTTTGGCATTTCCAACTTCCCTTCTCTGCTCTCAGCTCTGAACTGCCCAGAATAGAACCTGTTGTAGAAGATTTGAGGATTTAACAATATTTCACATGAAATATTTAAGACCTACAAAAGGGCATAAAGACAAATTAAATGAGCACCAGTGTGCCCACCGCCCCAATTAAGAATTAGAGCAAGCAGTGAGGTGAAGCCTTGTCCTTGCTTTTAACATAGAAAGTGATCCAAATTCACCAGACTTGACTTAAGGTTTTGCAGTGTGGCCTCCTGATTCTAGACACTGGCGAAACATTTGATGGGCAAAATCAATCCCCTTTTTTCCTTACATAATCTGTGTGCAATATGATAATTAATTAAATATGTATTTCCTGTGCCAAGATGCTGAGCAACCAATGGGAGGCTGGGACTATTTTCTCTTTCTTTGAAAAGATAAATGACTTGCAAAATTATAGAAGACATCCTTTTTTACATTAGAGGGAAAGGAGATGGACAAATGAATGAATAAATAAATCAGAAGCAATTGATTTTTTTCTGCTTGCTTCTACAGCTTATTGCATGTGAATAGCCAAAGCAATTTTCACTGGGCTAAATTCTGAGTCTATTTTTTAAATCTCTTTCATCTAAAGAAAATAGAGTTTACTTTAGAAATGCTGACACATGCCAGAGTCTGAAAAGTGCTAGCATGTGTTGCTCTGAAGAAAAGAAGACATTTTTCTACTTTTTTTTTTTTTTTTTTAAATTGCTGTTCTTGGACTTGGGATCCTTTCTTTCGATGGTGGGTAGGACTTTCAATAATCCGTTCTGAGAAGCTGCTCTTGTTGTTTGTGTTATACACATCTGTTCTCCCAGTCCTGTTGCTGGGACTGTGAGGGTTCCTAGCCTGGAGGGGGTTTTGGAAGAGTTGAGAGGGCAAGGGGAGGCCCTAGAGAATGAGAAACCACAACATTTCATACCTAAACCACGTGAGATGGGTCTGGGGTGAAGCAAGTTGTCACAACCACCCTCCTGGATTTACAGACTGTGGACTAAGTATTTTTTTTTTTTTTTTTAGTGAAAATACCTAACTCTGCATTCTGTGAAAGGGAGAGAGTTGAAATGAGGCACAGCTGAAGTTTCACCACTCCATTATTCTGCCATCAAGCATCCCTTCAGCTCCCATCTCTCAAATGCTGCAGCCCCATCAATGGAAAAAAATACATTCATGGGAATTGCACAAAGTTTACAACACATGCAAATTCCAAGGAGCTCAGAGAGAGGTGTGGGGGTGAGATGGTGTGACTACACCCCCTTCTTCTAGGATGCGCCGAAGGATTCTTTTTCTTGCTCATATGCTGTTAGAAAGCCTGGGCGTTTACGTCTGCTGGAGCTGGAGCTAATGTGATTTCTAACTGTCTAATAAAATTCCACTGCTTGCATGTCCTGTGCAGTTCACTATAGTGGAATCTGGCCAGTGTGTGTTTTGGCTAAACCAGCCATCCTAACCCCAGATGTAAGGGGGTCAGGCTAGATGACAGTTAAGGTCATTTCCGGCCATGTGATTTTATCCTTTGGTACAATTTGAATAGACATCTGTCAGAGCTCGTGGCTGAGGGCTGGCTAATATGTACAGAAAAAAGGAGTTGCAAGAAATGGACTCGTTTGGTGCTAGGTATGGTGCTAGGCACTTTACCTACATTATACCAAGTAGCAAACCTGCTCAAAATGCTCTTATGGGAAGCTCCAGTCTCAGTCCATGTTTTACTTGCATCGTAAGTAATAATCACAGGGGGTTCTGGTAAGGGTGGCTCTCCAGGCTCTCCAGATGCTTAAATCAAAGCACAATTAGCCCAGGTAACAGAGGCATAAACAGCAATGTAATTCTCACCTGTGCAAATGATGGTTTCCTGCTGTGCCCATTTGTTAGTATTTCTTCCCTTCATATGATGTAATTTGCATATTATTTCTTATTCTTTCTAATAATGTGGCAATGCCCCATGATTCACAGGCTTACCGATGAGAGACGGTCGGCGCCTGACCTGGGGACTGATAGGTTCTTCTTCCCATGCCTTGCACCTAGGTGTCATGCTCACCTGGGAGAGTTCTTCAGCATCTAAACCAACAACAGCAATAACAAGTAGGCCCATTGGTATGTTTGGATCACCAAACTGTTTCTCCAACAAAATACAGAGGATACAAAGGAATAGGAATGATTTTTGCAACACGTACCTCACAAATGATGCAGATAAGTCAAGTTCTGGAGGGATTGCATATTGTGGAAGCAGAAGAGCAGGGAACAGGAGGCACCCTGTTTCTTTCTGCAGCCACAGGCTGAAAGGGGTCAGTCTTCTCTGTGGGACTCAACAGATAGAGGAGAAAGAGCACAGCCTTAGGAGTCCTTCAGACCTGGATTGAAATCCTGGCTCTAGTGTTTAGTAGCTTAGAGCCTCAGATTTCTCACCCACAACACAGGGATAATGGTTCCTATGGTAGGTGCTAGGCCAGGATTGTCATAAGAACAGTGCTTTGGTACAGTGCCCTCGCATGTAAGAGATGATCAGTAAATATCATGAAGCCTTGGAGACCTGAGGGCAGAGAGGTTGGCATAGCTCTACCCAGTGCCCTTGAAGAAGCATCTGGCAGGCTATTCAGGGAAACTGTTCAAGGACAGGTTTCTGACGCTGGGGTGGGACATGTTCACAAGGGCCAAGAACAGAGCCAGGTACCAAAGAGGCGACTTAACAGAGTAATCTATCTGGCAGGGACTGTGCGATTGCTTTCTGCACAGTTCAGGCCTTGCCTCAGTTTTGCCTATTGTCACTCCATTTATTCCTTATCCTCTCCCAAGTAAAGTAATTCCTGGAAGGACATTCTCTAGCATCCCTGAGCCACTCATTTGCATTCCGTGGCCCTTAATGCTAGAGGCTTCTCCTTGTCAGAGCCTGGGCTTGTCCCATCCCTGCTTAGTGTGGACCATAGCATGTGGTCCCCATCCTCTCACCAGCCCTTGGGTAAAAGGCCTTTAAATATTTGAAGACAGTTTTTCAATATCTCTTTTTTCAGGCTGAATCAATCAAATCCCTTAACCTTTCAGAAGGGATATTTTAGAAATCTTAACTCAACTTTGCAACCTCTTCTGGACTTTTTTCAAGTTGCACAGGCAGACGTGATCAAACCAGCTTCGCTTGGTTCTGAAATAATAACATGTGTGTAGAGCTCTTAGCTTTACCAAGTGCCCAGCAGTATTACCTCCATGTGGGAGATGGTGAAATTGAGAGGTCAGATGATGTGCTCCAGGCCAAAAGGTTGATTATGAGACCCTGCTGGGTCCAGACCCCAGGCCACAATCCAGGTCCTGCTTCCATTCATGGCCCCAGTAATGAGTTTGCCACATGGCAGTGATTCCCCACTCCACCCCTGGTTCGATCTTTTTATTTTAGTTCTCTTCTTCAGAAAGCTTTTTATAGAAATATAAAGCCAAAGTTCTTAGCTTTGAATCCAAAGGTGACCAGAGTCTCCTTCATAAATAAGCAGATCCCTTTTCCACTGTGTTAGAAATAAAAGCTCTTTTGGTCCGAGCTCAAGGTTGGATCCTTCTCAGGTTGTCTGTAATGTGGATCCATGGCTAAGTCTTGGTCTGAAACTAGACCTGACTCAAATCCCAGCAGGTTAATAATTCTTCCTACTGACCTGCCCTCCTTGCTAGAGATGTTAGTTTTGTATGTGAAGACTCTGAGTCCATAGCAGGCATTAGAGCAGTACCTCCAGGGCTGAAATCAAAGTGAAAGGGGTTTTTCTCTTGAAACTCTGTCTTAGCCAGTGGGCAGGATACATATCGACGGGTTCTCTCAGATTCAAGCCCCACTGGAGCTTCAATTCATAAGAATTTTACCTCTTTTCTTCTAAATTCTACGTTAATAATCCAATGTCTTCTAGTTAGTAGAAAATTAAAAAGAACCATTCATTCAAATGACCAATAGTTAGCAATTCATTTTTTTTTTCTTTTTTTGAGACGGAGTCTTGCTCTGTCGCCCAGGCTGGAGTGTGGCAGCAGGATCTCGGCTTACTGCAACCTTTGCCTCCTGGGTTCAAGTGATTATCCTGCCTCAGCCTCCTGAGTAGCTGGGACTACAGGCATGCACCACCATGCCTGGTTAATTTTTGTATTTTTAGTAGAGACAGGGTTTTGCCATGTTGGCCAGGCTGGTCTCGAACTCCTGACTTCATGTGACCCACCCACCTCGGCCTCCCAAAGTGCTGGGATTACAGGTGTGAGTCACTGCATCCAGGCTACCAGTGCATTTCAACAAATGTGCCCAGCTTTGTGTCTGTGCTGGGTTTGGGGAATGGAGAGTGGAGAAGGAAGTAGAAAATGGGAGATGGCATTCACAAGAAGTGTAAAACCCCTTTGCCTTCAAGGAGCTTGCAATTCAATTAGGCACCCTAGACTTGCAGGATGAAAGCATTAGAGAACAATGCAAAGCATTGTGTGTTTGATTAGGTGTTACCAAGAGTTCTCCAAGTAGGAATAAGTCGGGACCAGAATAACCCAGGAAAACTTCAAGAAAGAGGCAAGGCTTGGGTTGGAAAGGAAAGGATAGGCAGGCTGGATTGGCAGGGAAGAAGTGGAGAGACCATTGTGAGTGGAGGGAATCATGTCATCATTATCAAAGACAGCTTTGAAGCTCTTATTTTCGGGGATGGCTGGATAGACAGGATAAGTTAAATAGATGCAGTGTGAGCTCTCTAGGAGCATCCAAACAAAGGCAGTCGTCAGTATTGCAGGCAGAAATTTTCATGCTATGCAAGCAAGAAAATGAAATGCCTTAAATGTTTAAACTGTCTGAAGATTGAAGGCAGTTCCTTCTGGGTGTGACTTCTGGGTCAAGTCTTTCTCTCACCATGACCTACAATGGGAAGGAGTGTTCTAGGTCAAGTTTGGTCAAGTCTGGGACACTGGGCAGAGCACATTTTACAACTATGACACTGAGGCATTTAGAAGATCAAGCCCAGGTACAGGCATCCCATCGTGGTCTTTGTGGTCTCTTTTCTCGCTTAGCAACCTCATAGAGTCCCATAGCAATCCTTCTGCCATCCTCAGCATTCTCTTCCTCTCCATCCTTTCAAAAGTGCCCCAAAATCAAGCCCAGATACTCCCACGCTTTCTCTTTTCAAATTCTCTTCAGTCTTTAATAAGAAATGTCACTTGAGAGGTTAAGGAGAGCCTCCAGCTTCCCAAACAGGGGACCTCAAAGCCAGACACCAGCTCCAAGGTGCTGATCAGGCTCCCTCACATGTTGTGCCTTACGCAATAAGATCCTGATCCTGTTCACCACACAGACTCCCTAGACATGCATGGACATGTCAAATCCCCTGGCAGTGCACGGAGCCCAGAAAACAACAAAATAACAAAATCCAGATGTTCAACAACATTGATCTTACAATATGCACCCCACGTTACCACACCCCACCCCGGCATAACTTCTTCCTGTGGCTGATTCTCAGACCCAGGGAGCAAGCCTCTGTGTCTTGGGATTTTTGGCTCTATTTTTGGTCCTGATGGAATAAATTCTTGTTCCCAGAAGTGACTATATGCACCAGATGAGACCAAGGGGATCAGCTGGAAAACAGTGAGCACCAAGCCCCCATCAAGGAGTTTATAATGTCACAAAGAGACATCGCTAAGATGCTTGATGAGACATAAGCCAAGAAACCCTCATTTCCTTCCAAATAGCCTCTAGATGCACAGCAGTGCCTCTGAAATGAATCACCCATGGTTAACAACGCCAAATGCCAACCATTAGCAGATGAGAAACAGAACTGAATCTTGAGTGTTTGGAGAGCAGAGCTCTTTTGATCACAACTAGAGCCTCCTTCCCCTCTGCCATTACAGGAGCGTAGATATATATTTCCTTTTGACTGGTGTGCCTGTCTTACCAATAAAATAATTGAAGGAAGAATAGTTACAGTGAAGAAATAAGCTTATTGGAAAGGTGGATTTCTAATAGATCCTTGGTCAAGAAGTGGGTCCCACATGACCTCTAGTTCTATCTCCGTTGTCTTGCTGTGTATCATTTCTGTGTCCTATAAAGAAGATTGTTTCTGGAAATTCCTGTTTGCAGCTGAGATCATACTGGCCCAAAATGGGTTCTAATTTAATCATTTATTGTTGTTGATGTCTTCATGATTTGGCTTAAAAGAAAGGGTATTTCCATTCATTTAACCTAATTTAGAGTTGTCTGTCTTTCAGGACCTATTACTTTATTCTTTTATCCAGTTGAAAATGGCCAGTGCTAACAGTTTTATTGATTTTCCTTATTACCTAGCTTTGTTGAAACATGCATGTTTTCACAAGCAAGTGCATTCACCATTTTTAATCGAGCTGTTGACACTGGGGCTTTTATCTTCCTCCTTTATTTAAACCTTTGGTGTGAGCTCATAGGGGCCAGTGTAGGGGTGTACATGTGCCCAAGTGCACACAGGTGAGAATGAGTGTCTCTGAATCACCTATTCTGTCTCCCCCTCATCCTCCATTTCTTCAGTTGGAAGCATCATTTATTTGCTTATCTAATATATACGAGGCCCTGGGGATGTAGAGCTAATGAACACAGTGCCTGCTGTCAGGAAGCTCATGCTCTGCTAGAAGGAGGCAAGCAATAGACCAGTAAGCATCATCGTGTGCTTTAGCTGTTGGGTAGCTACTGGTAGGGCAGGGTGCTGTGGGACCACCAAGGAGCCTCCCTTCTGTTTGCAGGCTCTGCTGTGAGTAGGCAGTCAGTAAATGACAGCCACAAACACTTCCACGTGATCACTGATCCACATGGCAACCCTGAAATGCAGGTACCAACAGTTATCCTCTTTCCTTGGTTGAGGAAATAGTGCCACGGCCCACTGAAGATTCATTTGAACAGGAGATAAAATAAAGAGGGACTAGTATTTGATTGACCACAATTTGAACTTTTCAGGAAGACATGTGATGTATACATTGACTCATTCAACCTATGGCTGTTAGGCACTTTCTGTATGCTAGTTACTCTTCTCAGAACTGGGGGCACAGAAGTGAATAATAGAAACAGAAATTCCTGCCCTCATGGGGCTTACATTCAAGTGGATATGCTTGTGTGTGTTTGGGAGGGGTATGTGTGTGTGTTTGCAGGTTGTCTATGCAAGGATACACAGCAGATTGAGAACAGTGGCTGTCTCTGGGGAAAGGAAAGGGAAAATTTGGAAAGGATGAGACATTTCTTGTCAAGCTTATTATTTTGTTTTTCTTTCCCATGTATGTGCATGAGCTATTAATTTTTTTATTACTTAGAAATTGTGAAAAAAAATTGAATTATATAGAAATGTGACCATTCCCATTCACAGAGTGACTTGCCCATGGCCAGAGGCTACAAGAGGCTCCAGCAAACCCTGCCAGAGAGGAGTGACTCACTGAATCCACAGACCACGTCTAATGGCAGGGAACTCCACAAAGAATGCTCTCCGTTCATTTATTGCTTGATAGACACCTCTAATGTATAAAGGGCTATGTTGAAATTTAGGATTCCCTCGGGCTATGCCTGTCACCGAGGACTGAGTGCTCCTGCCATGGAGAGGCAGGTGGGCCAGGTGGCCTGGGCTCCCGCAAAATGGGTGAGGCAAGACCCCCTCAGAGCAGTAACTCCAGGAACCACTTGCCTCCACCTGCCAGCCCTGCCTGCACCTCGCTGGACAGACAATCCCACTGTGGCGTTTCTGATGGCAGCATTTTCCGGCATTTAGCCTCCGCTGGTACTTGTCCCAAACTTGGTCATCTCCCCAGACAGAGTGCTTTCATTAGCTCTGCCCTTCTACCCAGCTAAGTAGGGCAAGTCAGCTGCCGATGGTCATACCTACTTTCCAAACATTCAAGTTTGTGTGTTTCCTGATATTGAAAATAGTGGTGATGTTTAGTTCAAAGGGAGAAATGTTCTCTGCAACAAAAACCCGTGACCTCTACTATTAGCCAAGTGTGAATTTGTTTTAAACTGTTTAAAACAGTTAACTCAAGGGAAGTTAAATTTACTTTCAGGTGTATCCATCTGTTATTGGGTTCTGCATTGTAGTTCCTGCTCCATAATTAGTTAATTACTTGATTGACCGATTCATTCAACAGATGTAAACTGAGAGTCTATTGCCTGCGCAGGCACCATGCTAAGAGCTAAACAAACAAAGATGAAAAAGACATAGGTCCTGCCCTCTAGGAGCTCTCAAGCCAGGAGATGTCCAGCAACAAGTCATTTACTCTACTTGGGTCCCACTGGCCTGCTCTGTACACGGAGAGGGGTGATACTCAGGGCTTCTTCTAGCTCTATAGTTCTGAGTCAAAACCAAGAGAGGTTTGCATACAGCTGGGCACCTGGAAGGGGGAAGTGGGAGATAATAAAAATGTTCAAGCCAGATCTCAATGCAGAAATTATTTTATTTAAGTCTAAATGGATCTGCCAGGTAGGTTTTATCATCCCTCTTTTACATATTGGAAAAGTGAGGCTTGAAGAGCTTAAGAATGTGAATTGCCTGGAAAACCTGTAAAAATGGAGATTCTGACTCAGGCAGCCCAGGATGGGGGCTGAGATTCTGCATTGCTAACCAGCTCCCAGGAGATGTCTGTGCTGCTGGTCCCTGAACCGCACTTGGAGTAGCAGGAGACTGGAAGCCTTGAGATATTCCGCCTCTGAACCATGCTGAGCAGGCACCAGTTCCTACTTGATGGAAAACTAAGAAGGAAATGTGCAGATTTTTCTTTCTCGAGTCCCGATCACTTAGTCCTTCTCAAAATCAATGCCTTTGAATCCTTTTCTGTTTGGAATCTTCTCCCTCCCCATTCTCCTTTCTTATGGGGAAAGGAGTTGAGAAGGCATCAGTGTTGTTAGAGAGCTGGGAAATGCCCAGGCCTTGGTTTTTTCATTCTGGCTTTCATAGTTTGCAGTTTCCATTCTGAGAAGGTCAAAATGGACAACATCAGTGTTCTTCCAAGATGAGAACAAGAAGCAATTATACCAGGAAAACAAAGCACTAAGTAACCCTTTTAAAAGCAACCAGTCAGGATATTGAATTTTTTGTTTTTGTGTTTGTTTTTCTATAAATATCCTGAAGTATTGAGTGGTGCCTGAATTTGATCCCACTGTGCTAATTTTTTCCTGGTTCCTGGGGCTTTAATTAAAATAACTCACCCAGGGACCTTGCTAGAACTTACCTCTATGTGATCTCCCCTGAGGTAGGCAGGTCGCACCTGCTTTTTATGGAAGGGGAAATGCAGAGTTCTGGATTAGGTGCTGCGTACACAGTAGGGGCATAATTTTTACTTGCTGGATAAATGAATGCATGACTAAATGAAAATAACAGGAAAAACTGTCACTTCTAAAGGAAACTACTGAGATAAACAAGGTGTTTGGCCTGACTTTGCTTTGGATAATCGGTTCTTTCATATTCCACTGTACAATCAATTTCATGAGTGGGCATGGATCTGAATGTTTAAGCTTACTGTATCGGATACTTACTAGGGACTTTCCAATGCCACTCAGGGCCCGCATGCACACCAAGTCCTCAGTTATAAAACCCTGTCCTCTCCCTGTTTATTTAGCTACTTCTTTATTCTCAAGTTTGCCACCTCCTGGGAGCCTTCCCACACACGGGCCCATCCCACCAGCATTCCCCTGGTTCATGACACTGGATTTGCCCCCCACACTCCTCTGTGTCTTTCTATACAACCATGTACTCACATATTTATATTGTACCTATAATTGGAGTCCAGGTTGTGCCCTGCTTGCCCCATCTAAGGGCACAAGTCATTCAAGGGCAGAGGTTCCTGTACTGGTCCAGAACTGAGACCTGGCCCGGTGCAGTGTGGCTCCCTGTTGGCCTTGCAATGTGGCATTGCTGAGCCGGGAGCACCATCCTACCATTCTGACTACACAAAACAAGTATGGGGACAAGGACTGTCCCTGTACTTGGGGCCTCTTGGTCCAGTGGGGAACCAGACCTAGAGACAGATCACCAAAACCCAGTGTGAAACAGGTTACCATAGGGAGGCATGGATTAAGTCTATGAGGGTCTTGCTTATTCCAGGGCCTCAATAGCCCTGGGCACAAGACCCCCAACTGGCTACGCTGAATTAGCATTAGGTGGCATCATGATGAGGTATAGTGGGAGGAATCCTTGTATTAAAATAAGAAGCTTGGATTCTGTTCCTAGCTGCTACTAACCAGCCTATTGAAGGTAAACAAATCGTTGGGTATTTCTGACCTTCAACAGGATTGCAAGGAAAGCATTAAGAGGCGATGGTTAAGCCAATGCTCAGGATTTTGAATTCTCAGATTGAAGACTTTCCGAATACGGGCGTGAGTCCATGAGAAAGTTTCCTAATCTCTCCTTACACTTACCACCAGGGAGCCAGACCCAATTATTCTTGGCCAAAGAACAGGAGCCTTAATATTAATAGTAGATGAGACCTGGTAGGTGTCTTAGAAACTTAAAATGTGGCCAAGTGGAATAGAGAGAGAACTTATTCTGTGGCTCCTCTTGCAGCTTTGGGATGACAAGGGTTACAAGGAGTTATAGGGAGGCAGATTTCAGCTTAGTTTAATGTATGGAAAAAGTCTCCAATAAGCAGAGCTCACCAGCAGTTAAATATACTCAAACAGTAAGTAGGGAGCTCTCCATCTCTGGAGGTATTCAAGGAGAGACCAAATGAGCATTTTGAAATATCGTAGAACAAATTTATATATTAGCTAGAGGGCTGTATTGGATAATTGCAGTTCTTTTTTCTGGTTTTGATGAACCAGTGTTTCCATTTGTTCTATTACAAGACTGTTCTTCTAATGATCTTTTGTAAGATCTGGATGTGACAAGTAACTTCCATAAATATATACAAGTGGAGGCTGATAAGGCAGTGTTTATTTTACTTTTTAAAAATCCAAGGCTTACACTGTAAGAAGGTAGAGAAAAAGAGTGTATGAAATAAAGGAAAAGGGAAAAAGTTGGATCTTAGCAGGTATTTACAGAATGCTTAAAAATCTTACAAATTTAGGCAAAAATGGAAATGTTAAAATTTGAACCTTGTTCCCAAAGAACTAGGGAAGCTCCCTATTTGAATGAACCCCCAATTGTGTGAACCCTTCCTAAGAAGAGTTTTTAGAAGTGAAAAAGTCTGTAACATCAGGATTTGCTCCTTAATGTCTCTCTCGTGTAGCTGCACATGTGGAGTTTGTTAAAACACAGTGCATCGGTGTGTGTCTGGGAACAGGTCCATCTGGGAGAAAGGGAAATGGCAACACAAGCCCTTGACTTTAGGGGAAACATCCTTTCATCGTGCTTGCTTGTGTGTCCTGTGAAGTAAGGATTTTCTCCTCAAACTTAGGAGTTTTGTCTGGAAGCCACAGGAGTAGAAAGAGACTGAGGTTTCTTTGAGAAGAATTTAGCTTCTTAACTTGAGAAGGGGTTTTGTTTTGGGTAGAAAGCTTCTCACTGCAGTGGGTGATGTATTGCCATAAATGGGCTGAACAATGTTTTGCCCCTGTGAGGAGGGGCACAATAAGGCTGTTGACTGCTGCCCCTAACACTGACCTACCTTCTGTCTTTGCTTGAGATTTTGCCTTCAGGGTTTTCATGATGATGATGGTTTGAAGTCTCCGTGTGCATTAAAAGGCGAACCCTCCCTTCCCTCAACAAACAAAAACAAAACCCTTATAGAAAGATGGAATCCTAAGCCTTTCTTTCTTTTAAAAAAATTTTTTTAAAAAATTATAATCGATACATAATAATTGCATGTATTTCTGGGATACAATGTATTGTGTATATTTCTGGGGTTTCAATGCATGTGTACATAGTATAGTGATCAACTCAAGGCAATTACCATATCCCCCTCTCTAAACATTTATCATTTGTTTGTTTCTTTTTCTTTTTTTTTGAGATAGAGTCTTACTCTGTCACCCAGGCTGGAGTGCAGTGGCACAGTCTCCGCTCACTGCAGCCTCTGCCTCTCAGGTTCGAGTAATTCTCGTGCCTCAGCCTCCCGAGTAGCTGGGATTACAGGCATCTGCCACCACACCCGGTTAACTTTTATATTTTTGGTAGAGACGGATTTTCACCATGTTGGTCAGGCTAGTCTCGAACTCCTGACCTCAAGTGATCCACCCACCTCGGCCTCCCAGAGTTCTTGGATTACAGGCGTGAGCCATGTGCCTGGCGCATTTATCATTTCTTCCTGTTAATAGCATTCAAGGTTCTCTCTTCTAGCTCTCTTGATATATACGACACATTGTTATTTGCTGTAGTCATGCTACTGTATAATAGAACAGGAAAACTTATTCTTCCTGTCTAACTGTAACTTTGTACCCATCGACCAACTTCCCTCCATCCCCCCTGACTTCTATTTTCCCCAGCCTCTGGTAGCCACTATTTTACTCTCTTCTTCTATGAGATCAACTTTTTAAGATTCCACCTATGAGTGAGATCATGCAGTGTTTGTCTTTCTGTGCCTGGCTTATTTCACTTAACATAATGTGCTCCAGGTTCATCATGTTGCTGCAAGTGACAGGATTTCATTATGTTTTATGGCTGAATAATATTCCATTGTGCTGATGTACCACATTTTCTTTGTCCATTCATCATCAGATGGGAATTTAGGTTGATTCCATATCTTGGCTGTTGTGAATAGTGCTGCAGTAAATGTGAGTGTGCAGATGTCTCTTTGACATTTGATTTCATTTCTTTTGGATATATACCCAGTAGTGGGATTGCTGGATCATATGGTAGTTCTATTTTAATTTTGTGAAGAGCTTTTGTACTGCTTTCCATAGTGGCTGTACTAATAAAGGACCAACTGCTAGGTTTGTAGGCAGCTGGTTCCCTAAGTTGCACGTGATGCTTTCTAAAAATGCTTCTGGAAGTCAAAGGAGTGAAAGTTGAATAATTCAGTTGAACATTATTATGGAGGATTCCATTACCAGAAAACTAAAATGCATTACAAAATCCCCTCACTATGTCTCATTGTTCAGAAACAATTTCTGGTAATATTTCCAGCAGTTTGTTCTTTAAGAGAGTTTTTAAAAAATGTTCACGTGATCATCTGGGCAGCCTGTCAACCTGCTTAAGTTCTGGAAGGGCCCAGCTGAGGCTAAAGCTTTGACGATGTGCCCTATTAGCCTCTATACTCTGAAGTAGATCTATCGCTCTCATCACAAGGGCCAACATTTTAATTTTTTTCTAATTCATTGTTTCGATGGATTGATTGGTTTGTTTATTTATTTATTTTGGAGATGAGGTCTTGCTGTGTTGCCCATACTGGTCTTGAACTCCTGAGCTCAAGCAATCTGCCTGCCTTGGCCTCCCAAAGTGCTGGGATTACAGGCATGAGCCACCACACCCAGCATTTTGATTTTTTTTTTTTAAAGGGTAGGAGGCAATAAAGTATTCAAATAATTGTACAAACTCTTTAGGATCTAAGCTCTATCGGGGCAGGGACTGTGTTTATTTTCATCTCTGCTGTACCTTCATGACCTAAAACAGTGCCAGGATACAGTAGTCCTTAGGAAATATTTGTTAAATGATTAAGGAATGGCCGTTGTAAATGGTGCCAGGTAAAAATGGCAAAGCTGTGGAGGTGGCTGAGTTGCTTGGCTGGCAGAAAGCATCCTGTGACACGTGACCGCCAGCTGACGGCTGAGCGTCCACGTGTGGCCTGTGTGCTGTTTGAAGGCTGAAGGGATGAAAATCAAGAACTGCCTGTAATAGGTGGGTTTGAGTCACCAGGGTCATTGGCAGAGTGGCTGGAGCTTAGAAGACAGACTTCACCTGCTTAATTACAGATGTTGCTCAGGCCACTCAACCTCTCCCTGCCTGTAACGATGGCCCTTCTAGCCGCGACACTACCAGGCCAACTAGAAACACCTGGCTCTGCCTGGAGAAGAACCTATTTTGCTTTTATTTTTAATTTTTTTAAACATAAATCAAACCAGCGTCTTTTGGATTTAACATTCACTTCCTGTACTGCATGAGGCCTTCGTCAGCCTTCTTTGTTTTAGAAATGATGGGGTTTTTTTTTGACTTAAGAAAAAAATACCCTCTGTGATTTGTTTCCCTTGAATCAATCTGTCTTTTGGACTTAATTTAAATCAGACTTACCCTCCCTCCCTTCCACTATTTTTATGCTGAACTTATATTGTATATCATGGGTCATATGTCCCTATGATCCAGCTTTAAAATAAGTGTATGGCCAGTGCCTTTCAGCCCCTGGGCACCCTTCACTGACTTTGTCTTTGCCATTTTTTCCCCCAATGGGGGAAAGATTTTGTAAATATCTTAAATTTTGTATTATTTTCTTGCATTTCTTTATGATTTTAGCACCTAAATGTATGCTTTCCCAAGTAATGTATTGTTTTGTTTTACCTGCTTTTGAGCTTTACTTAAATAGTATCAGGCCGGGTGCGGTGGCTCATACCTGTAATCCCAGCACTTTGGGAGGCCAAGGCGGGCGGATCACTTGAGGTCAGGAGTTTGAGACCAGCCTGGCCAACATGGTGAAACCCCACCTCTACTAAAAATACAAAAATTAGCCGGGCATGGTGGTGGGTGCCTGTAATCCCAGCTACTTGGGAGGCTGAGGCGGGAGAATCACTTGAACCCAGGAGGCAGAGGTTACAGTGAGCCAAGGTCAGGGCGTTGTATTCCAGCCTGGGCAACAGAGCAGGACTCCATCTCTAAATAAATAAATAAATAAATAAATAAATAAATAAATAAATAAATAAATAAAATAGTATCATCCTATGTTTCATTCAACATTCTACTTTTGAGATTCATCCATATTGATGTGTGTGTGGCTGCAGTTCGTTTTTTTATTGCTGTATATTATTCCATTATATTAATATATCAAAATTAATTTATCCATTCTTCTATTCCTAGACGTTGGGATTACTTTCAAGTTTTTTCTATTAAGGACAATAGTATATTATGGGGGTGTCCTTGTATCTATCTATAGTTTCTCTAGATTATTTACCCAGGCATGGTAAATGATGGTTCAACAGATACGTGCACATTCGGCTTTGCTAGGTAATAAGTTGTTTTCCAAAGTGATTTTACCAGTTGATGCCGCCACCAGACATGTTTGCAATATCCAATTGTTTTTTATCTTCATGAATATTTGGTATTATCAGACTTTTAAGTTTCTACCAGTATGGTGGGTGATATGCCATTATAGTTTTAATTTATATTTATCTGATTATTCGTGATGTTGAGAATCTTTTTATGTGTTTTTGACCTTTCCTCAAAAATGTCTGTTCACTCCCTTAGTGCATTTTTCTGTTGTTTTTGTCTATTTCTTAGTGCTTCAGAGGCAGTCATGTATTGCAATATCTTCCCCTCATTTGTAGATAATCTTTTCATTCTATGGTTATCTGATACATAGATATCCAAAGAATGAAACTTGGTGGATCTTGAACAAATCATGTCACATATCTGGGCTTCCAAATATGTTTCTGCTTGGGCCAATGAGTATACTGATGCATTCTCACCCTGCTAACTCAATAGGTGGCAGTGGCAAAATGAGCTGATGTGCATGAAAGCTCATTTTGAAAGTGAAGCACCACACACTTGTATAATGTAGAAAGTCTAGTTTTCTTTCTATCGTCCTACTGCCTCCATTTTTATACATAATATACTTCCTGGAAATCTTTTTTGTTACTGGAGCTGCTTTTATTTCATTGTACTTTTAGTGCCTTATTAAACTAGTATCAGTTTGTTTACTAATTATCCGTTTGCCCCTCTAGAATGTAAGCTCCCGAGGACAAGAATCTTATCTAAGTTGTTTATCATTGTATCCCCAGCAAGCTGGAATAGTGCCTGGCATACAGTACCTGCTCAGTAAGTATTTGTTTAATGAATGACTGAATCAGAGGTGTTAATAGTAGCCATGTTATCATTGCCACGTAATCACCCAAATGCTGTGTTTAGGGGTTGCTCCTTGTTCAGATAACTTGCAAACTTACATAGTGTACTGATCCATGTAACTCTGGCCTTCTCCTTTTCAGAGAGGATGGGTGGAGTCAGAGGAAGGGAATTGTGCCTTTGGGAGCTGAGGTTTTAGACTTGTAGCTGGGGCCCCCTGATGGGCTGGCACTCCTCTGAAGGCAGATTTCTAGGGTGAGAACAGAATTTCCCAGGCCATTTTCTTTGCCCTTCTGTATGGTTGCTGTCAAGTTTACTGCTTTTTCAAACCCTGTTAGCTTTTGCTTTGTTACTATAGGAACAAGAGCTGGTAGTCTGGGGGAAA
Source organism: Homo sapiens (assembly GCF_000001405.40). NCBI lineage: Eukaryota > Metazoa > Chordata > Mammalia > Primates > Hominidae > Homo > Homo sapiens. The sequence goes on from NC_000002.12 coordinate 45,860,608, forward strand.
TATATGTGCATGTGAGTGCTGGGGAGGGGGTGTAGTGGCTGTGGTGGCTGTGGACTGAAGGGAGTGAGGACAGCAGAAGATGTTCACCGCTGAAGTCTCTCTGGGGGCCCTGCCCACTTTGGCCAGTGCTCTCTTCAGAGAGTTTTTGACTTTGCATGGTACACTCTTGGGGAACAGGCATCCCTTTGTAGATCTGCAGCACTCTCCTGGCACCCATCCAGTCCTTCAGTGGAACATCTGGAAAGCCTCGGCCCCTCCCCATGCCAAAGCCACTGAGCCCTGGAGACAGAGATCAATGACCTCTTCTTTGCTGCTCCTTAACCCGTGTCCCAGACAAGTGTTTTTCTGGGAACCAGTGAATAACGCAGATCTTTGATGCCAGCGCTTGTGTGCTGTTGCAGTAACACTTTCACTTTTGATGATAGGGTGGGGGCAGAGGAAGGGCCTCGGTAGGGAGAGCAACGAGAATTTGGCTTTTCAGGAAATCAGAACTCAAGTGGGGAGGCTTGCTTCCTACTCACTGGTTTTCTGGCTGGGAAAACAGCAGGCTGAGCCATTGCCTGATGTGAATGCTCCTTCGTGCTGGGGCTGGTATTAGGGGTAGGGGTGGGCTTGAGGCTAGAGACTAATTTGGTTCTAACCTCCACAGGCAATCCTTGTAACTCCTGGGAGATAATGCTGAAAAAGTGCATGGTGATTTTTCATGCATGTAGTTTATAACACACTGAGTTATGCTGAACACAGTGAAAAGAACTTACGATATATAATAGATTGGGGGTAAATATGCTATGTAATTACCTGCTCTGCAGTAATGTTTTACAACCCATGTATTAGGTTGCATATCTAACAGTTATCAAAAATATATACATTATATATACATACAATAGCAAAAAAATATAGAGTAGAAATGCCCTTAGCCCATTCTTCAATAAATACCTCTTCGCATGAGGCTTCAGGTCCCCAAGACTGGCTTATTTTCAGTGTTACTAAAATAAATTTTCTTTTATTCTCCCTTCTCTCTTGCACATTGTAGGTACTCACTAAATGCCATTTGAACTGTTGGCGAGAATGAAACTAGAGTTTTCCTTGACCCAGAAACTGCTGTAGGTTTACTTCACTGATGAACCTGCCTAGGTAGTGCACAAAGTGCCAGGTCAAAACAGCAGAATATTGAAGGCAAGGTAAATGTTTACAGCTGAAGGGCACTGGTAACTCCTATAATGGAGTAATTAACAACCATTATAAAGTTTTAGGTTTATTTTTATATATTAATGAAGAGAGGTTTTGAAAATAAATGGTTAAGTAAAAAAAGTAAGTTGGAATAGTAGCTATACTGTGATCCCATTTGTGTGAAAATGAGGAAAGAAACACAAAAACATACGCCAGCATAGTGTACACACACACAAATTTACCTCTGAAAAGTGGAGATGGGGACCAAGGGACTTATGCTCCCCACGTAGCCTTTTAACTCATTAACATTTTTGCTGTGAGTTTATATGTATGTAAAACAATAACTGCCCTGGAGAATGGTCTTAGGTACTACCCCGCCACCCTAGTGTAACCTTTCTTCTTGTATACACACACACACACACACACACACACACACACACACACACACACAGTATTTCAAATCTGTTACTCTGAATTCTTCATTGTGTTCCTTCCTGGTTTACCAGGACTACTTCCATTTCCCTCCAACAGTCTGCCTCCTCCTCATCCGTCCAGGTCTCACCACCTCCATGTCACCTCCTGGATCCCTCTCCAGTGGAACTTGGCCTTCTTTGAAGAGCCACAGAACTTCCTGGTCATACCACCTAGTGGTGCATTAGGCCGGAGATTGTTCCATCTTTTTTCTTGGTGTCAGCTCCTCTAACCAGACTGTCAGAAGTGAGCATGGTACTGTGTACAAGAATGCATCAGGCATTGCCTACCTGTGCAGTCAGAGGGGTAGGGGATTCTTTGGCTGGATCTTCTGGTTTTCTGTGTCCCTGGAGCTGGGCTCAGTCACTAACTTCTGCACTTCTGGGAAACCAATTGCCAAGTTACCCTACAGATCACGGGAACCAGGTCACAATGCGCAGGGCTTTGGGGATTGCTAGGACTCAGAGCAGGCAGCTTATTACCAAAAGTCAGCTCTATTCTGCTCCCCAAGGCTGTGTGTGTTTATATGTGTGTGGTGTGTGTACATACATGCATGCAAATGTGTACACACATGCACCCATAATCACCTGCGCAGGGTGCCCCTAGGCTCAAAGCTTCGCAGGGGCTGCATTCACATTGAAAACTTAGGGACCCTGTGCCCCAGATCAGGGCCTTCTGGCTGAGATCCATTTTGAAAAACAGCCTTACTCACTCTCTAATCTACTCCCTGGTGTCTCCACCCCCTCTACTTGCTGTGGCCCCACTGCTGGAGGAGAAGAGAGCAGTTGGGGACAATATGTGTGGTTTGAGGGACTGGGGGGTTGTGGGAGAGGGAAGCTGAACCCACAGTTTGTCCTGTTAGTGTGTGCTTGCGGTTCCTGGAAGTTGGGTATGCAGAATTAGGCTACTCATTTCCTGGCAGCTCATAGCCTCCAGTCTAGACCCTACTGTCTAGGGTCTAGGATACTTTGGTAGGAAGATCTTGACTCTTCAGGAAAATGGAAGGTCTCAGGGCCACCCACTGTGTTGCCTATATAATGTAGCCCTTGGTATCTCCTACATAAAGGTAGGAAAACTCTTTTGTACCCTCAAAGGGCTTAAAATTTAGTCTTAGAGACAGGCTTGTCTGCAAACACAATACCAGGGTAAAATAGCACTTGCAAAGTCCCAAAGGCTGCTCCGTGATGAATCAGGACCCCAAACAGCTCTACCTGCAAGGGCCAGAGTGGTGCCTGCCTTCCCTCCCTCCCTTCTTCTTGCCCTACCTTCCTTGTTTGTTAGGTGCTCACGGGCCAACCCTGGGGATGCAAAGAGGAGTCACAGGCAGTCCCTACTCTCAAGGAGTTCATGTTTTAGTAGTAGAAATAGGCGTTTAAGCAGAGTAAGTGCAATCCAGTGCCACAGATTTAGGAGCTCATTCTGTTCAGGATGCATTGAGGCTTAACAGATGACCTGGCCAGCTCTTCCTGGCTCGGAATACGGCTTGCAAGCAGAGATGGCTCTTTTTTGCTAGGGGGAGGACAAGTGGTCATGATAGCAGGCTTCATCTGGGTGTGTAGGAGATGAGCTCTCAGGGTGGGAAGGGCTAAGCTAGACAGTAGGGACGGGAATGGTGCGCCTGGCTGCACTGGAGAGTCTAAAAGGGGGCATTGCATCCTGCTGGGCAGCAGACGGCCCAATTCAAAGGCCATAGAGGTTGCAAGTCTGACCCTGCCATTGGTGTCCTAGACTAGCTCTCACTTTTCCAGGTTTCAATTTCCTTGTTTGTAGAATGGCAATAGTAAAACTGCCCTTCCTACAGCTACTTTTTTGTAGAGGAGGAATCTGAGGCTCTGGTTTAACTGGTTGGAGAGAATGCCAGGATTCAGCCTGGGTGTGAATCCTTCTACCCCTCAAAGAGCGTCATTCTGCTCTCTCTGGCTGCTCCCCACAGCAGAATGGATACCCTCAACATCAGTCCCATTGGCCTAGGGGGCCTCAATCTTCTGATATTGCATGCAAAATTTTCTGTACGTTCTGGGAACGCATTTTAAGGGACGAAGGTTCATGGCTTTGCTCCAGCTCTCAGAAGAAGGCAAGACCTCAGAAAGCCTAACAATAACTGCCCTGGAGAATGGTCTTAAGTCCTACCACACCACCCTCATGTAACCTTTCTTCTTATCCTTCAACATTTTTAGGAACAATAGACTGTCCTAAGTAGTTATTTTTCACTTGAAAGAAACATAAAACATTGTAATAGAAATATTTTTTTAATGTAAACATAATTGCCTTCTTAATGTACTGAGAATGAACTGAATGAACACAACTTAAGGGCTTAATGTCTTACACATTTTTATGAACATCGGTTATTGGTTTGTGCTCTTCTGAAGAGTATAGGGAGCATAGGATTTATTCCCATACCAAGGGATCCCAGGTTGCTTGCTTTCTTCTTTAATTCCTCCCCAACCATTCCTATGGATTATAAAGAGATATTTCATGTATAATTGTTTGCGTGGGAGCCCGAGGATGACTTCAGCTTCTCTTTTGAGGTAGAGTACTTGCTTTCATAATCATCTCTTGCTGCTTGGAGCTCTGGATTCATAGCAATATGGAGCTGTGTTTCAGGCTTCAGAGCAGGGGGCCTCGAACTTGAGAATACATCAACATCACCTGCAGGGCCAGTTACAGCTTGCTGGGCTCCACCTTCACAATTTCTGATTCTGGCGTTCTGGGGTGAAGCCGAAAATTTACATTCCTAAGTTCTCAGGTAACCTGAGACCTCTGGTCGTAAGACCAAGTTTTGAGAAGCTCTGTTTTAGAGTAGGACATCTCAAACTTTATTGTCCATATAAGTTACCTGGGGAACTTGTTAAAATGCGGATTCTGAATCAGAAAATCTGGGGTGGTGCCTGAGATTCTGCTTTTCTAACCAGCTCCTAGGCGATGCCAGTTCTGCTAGTCTGTGGAACAGGCTTTATGTAGAAAGACTTGAAAGCAGTGATTCTCAACCCTCTTTAATCAATTGGAATTCTCAACCTATTTTAATCACATGAGGAACTTGTGGCAAAAGGAGGAGGAGGAGGAGAAAAAAAGAGTCATACCCCCAAATAGATGATAAATCAGAATCTCAGAGGGTAGGGCTTGGACATAGGTATAGCTCCCCAGGTGATTTGAATGTGCACTCAAGGTTGAGAATATCTCTCTTAAGGTTGTGTGGCTGCTGGAAAGTCTGTCCTCTAAATAAATGGAGGATCGTAGTCTTGAATAGTGCTATGTGTTGAATATGTCCCCTCCAAAATTCAGATGTTGTGCATGTGATAGTATTAAGCGCTGGGGTTTTGAAGAGATTATTAAGCCGTGAGAGAGACTCGCTTGTGAATGAAAAGAAGGACCTTGTAACAGAAGCTCCATCAGCATTCAGCCTGCTTGCCTTTCCAACATGTGAGGCTGCTGTGCTTCTCCCCTGTGGAGTCTCACAATATTGGAAGCAGAGAGCAGCCCTCATCAAACAACTGAACCTGCCAGTGCCCTGATCTTGGACTTCTCAGCCTGCAGAACTCTGAGAAAATAAGTTTCTTCTTCTTCTTCTTTTTTTTTTTTTTTTTTTTGAGACGAGTTCTCACTCTGTCATCCAGGCAGGAGTGCAGTGATACAATTAAAATTCACTGCAGCCTCAACCTCACAGGCTCAAGTGATCCTACTGCTTCAGCCTCCCAAGTAGCTGAGACCACAGGTGCATGCCACCACACCCAGCTGATTTATCTTCATATTTTGTAGAGACACAGTTTCCCTGTGTTGCCCAGGCTGGTCTCGAACTTCTGGGGTTGAGAGACCCTCTCTCCTCAACCTCCCAAAGTGCTGGGATTACAGGCATGAGCCACCGTGCCCAGCAGTTCGTTTTCTTTATAAATTACCCAGTCCCAGATATTTTGTTACAGCAGCACAAATGGGCTAAAACAGCAGTTCATTGCTTTCCACCTGGGGTTTTACATGTGAATCATCTGGAAGGCTTTAAAAGATATGGGTGAGATAATATGTCTGGGATTTTCTTTTTATTTATTTAATTAATTAATTAATTGATTTTTATTTATTTATTTTGAGATGGAATCTCGCTCTGTTACCGAGGCTGGAATGCAGTGGCACGATCTCAGCTCACTGCAAGCTCCCGCTCCTGGGTTCATGCCATTCTCCTGCCTCAGCCTCCCGAGTAGCTGGGACTACAGGCGCCGGCCACCATGCCTGGCTAATTTTTTGTATTTTTAGTAGAGACGGGGTTTCACCGTGTTAGCCAGGATGGTCTTGATCTCCAGACCTCGTGATCCACCCGCCTTGGCCTACCAAAGTGCTGGAATTACAGGCATGAGCCACCACGCCCTGCCTGGGATTTTCTTCAGACTAACAATGGCGGGGAAGCAGGCGACGGTGTTAATCTGCGTTGTTCAGGATGTAGCCACTAGCCACCTGTGGCTATTTACGTTAATTAAAACTTAAAAAATTAAATTCAGTTCCCCTGTGACACCAGCCACATTTCAAGTGCTCAATAGTCAACATGCGTCCAGGGGCTGCCATACTGCACAGTGCAGATCTAGCACATTTACATCATTGTGGAAAATTCTATTGGCCAGCACTGGCACATGAAATAACATTGGCTATGCGTTAATAATTGTTGAAGCTGGGTGATTGGAGCTCTTGGGGTTCATTATCCTTTATTGTCTACCTTCATATGTCTTTAACTTTTACCATGATAGACTATTTAAAAAAGATGCACAGGTCCCACTCCAGACCAGCTAAATCAGAATCCTTAGGGGTGGGGTCCAGGCCTCTGTTGTTTCAGCAGCTCCCCAAGGTGCCTCTAACATGTAGTCAGAGTTGAGCCTCACTGGGCTGAATAGGTGTGCTGAAGAATGATTGTCCTGCTTGCCTCTCAGACGTGTAGCAAAATCCAGACAGAAAAACAGTAGAAAAGGCATTGGAAAGTGTCAAGCACCAAATGCACCTAAGAGGTTTGTTGCTTTTTCTTGTTCTGAGCCTTGCTACTGAGGCCTTGGAATAGGGTCGCCAGGATTAGCAAACAAAAACCTGGGAGGCACAATTAAATTCGAACTTGAGACAAACTGAATAATTTTTAAACTTTTAAAGTATAAGTATATTCCATGCAAGATTTGGGATATAAGTAAATATACTACAAGGTTATTTGTATTTTACCTGGCAACCCTATGTTGGAGCCTCCTTCCCTGCTGCAGCCAACAGGGGTAGAGGATCTGAGCTGCTTATTTGTAACTGAAAGTCCATGGGACTGCTTTTATTTGGGGGAATTTTTCTGTTAACTGTCATTATGAAAGTGATCACGATGAGAGATTCAGATTTATTTTTAAAATTCGGTGGAGGAATATCTCCTCATTGATTTAGATCTTTGATTTTTTTCATCAGAGGTTTTGTTTTCCTGCTATAGATTTTGCATATCTTTTGTTAGATTTATACCTGAGGGTTTTGTCTTTTTGGAGTGTGTGTGTGTGCACGTGTGTGCTAATGTGTTTTTAAGTTCAAATTTATTGCTGGCATATAGCAGTTGATTTTTGTATATTATCCTTGTGAAAGGAGCAAAAGACCTGATGGAGCTGTTGTTTGGGGGCCTTTCATCCTACCTCATCACTTCTGCAGGACAGCCCCTTGGGAAGCCCCCAGGTCACTTGTTTTGGGGCTCCTGAACGTCTCACTAGTTGGCCACAGGAAGTCCACTTGAAGTTTTTAAAAAGAGGGCGTATCATTGTTTTGATGCCTCATTCCCGCCAGGTTTTTCTATGGCCCCACATGGTCACAGCTTTTGAACTGCTTTTTGCTTTTTGGCTGCATTGTTCTCCGTGAGTGGTGGGTTCAGTCCTGGCTTCATACTGAAATATCTGCAAAGTTTTAAAAACAAACAAACAAACAAAAAACAAACAAACAAAAACACCCATGCCTGGTCTGGTTGGGGGGTGTAACGGAGCTTTTTTTTTTTTTTTTTTTTTTGTTCTCCAGGTGATTCTACAGCCCAGCTTGGGTTAAGAACATCTTCCCTAAAGTCTCAAACACCAAAATCCCCTTTCCTGTCCAAAAAAAAAAAAAAAAAAAAAAACTTTTTAGGGCAGTTAGTCCATCTTAGGTAAGGAAGGAAGGAAAACTGATTAAATGAATGTACACTAAGGTATAAGTAGTTGCTAGCCCAACTCTCCTGAGCCCCTTTTTCCCTCCTGCCACAGGCACCTGCCACCACGCCTGGCTAATTTTTGTATTTTTAGTAGAGACGGAGTTTCCCCATGTTGGCCAGGCTGGTCTTGAACTCCTGACCTCAGGTGATCTGCCCGCCTCAGCCTCCCAAAATACTGGGATTATAGGCGTGAGCCACCATGCCTGGCTGATTTTTGTCTTTTAAATAGCTGGTAGGGCTGGGCACAGTGGCTCATGCCTGTAATTCCAGCACTTTGGGAGGCAGGCCGAGGTGGGCGGATCGTCTGAGGTCAGGAGTTCAAGACCAGCCTGGCCAACATGGGGAAACCCCATCTCTACTAAAAATACAAAAAATAAAATAAAATAAAATAAAAATAACCAGGCATGGTGGTGCATGCCTGTAATCCCAGCTACTTGGGAGGCTGAGACAGAAGAATCTCTTGAATCTGGGAGGCAGAGGTTGCAGTGAGCCAAGATCGTGCCACTGCACTCCAGCCTGAGTGACAGAGCAACATCCTGTCTCAAAAAAAAAAAAAAAAGAAAAAAGAAAGAAAACGTAAATAAATAAGTAGCTGGTAGAATTTCCAGCTGTGTGGTTTAAGCTGCGTGGTCAGGCAAAGAAAAAAAGTTCATTTGGTGCATGGGTTTTCTTGACTTTCTAGGTTCTTTGTGATAGGTGATCTACTTTTTAGCTGAATTTAGGAGCTGATAGAAATATTTGAGAAACAATCTGTAAAATATTTGGCTAAATACTTCAAATTTAAAAATCAGTAACTTGATATTAATGACTGAAGATTCATGAATAGCTTTAGAAGAATGCAGCTTGTACTAAATGTTAGCCACTATTGTTATTATCCTTATGACCAAGATACTGTGCATTCCGGCCATATCTTCAGGGAAGAGAGGATTACATGAGGGAATCCATTCTCTGTCCTGGTTAAAACTGTTTGTGACACTGCTAGTAATCGCTCATAACAATGAAAGTCACAAAATATTGCTAACGATGGTAACAAACACAAAATCTACCATTTATTTAGCACCTATTACACGCCAGGCACTGTGCTGAGCCTTTCACACATGCTACCTGTTTTTTCCCCTCATAGCAACCCTATGTGAGGTAGGGACAACTCTTCTTCCTATTGTCCTGAGCATAGAGAGGTTGAGCTCACTAAGGGAGCACACCTAGTAAGCTGGCTTCAAATCCCCCTGGGCTGTCTGGCCCCAAGGTCTGTTACATTTTTCTTTTTGTTTTTGTTTTTGTTTCTCTCTCTCTTTTTTTTTTTTTTTTTTTGAGTTGGTGTCTCACTCTGTCACCCAGGCTGGAGTGCAGTGGCATGATCTAGGCTCACTGCAACGTCCACCTCCTGGGTTCAAGCAATTCTCCTGGCTCAGCCTCCCGAGTAGCTGGGACTACAGGTGCACGCCACCACGCCCAGCTAATTGTTGTATTTTTAGTAGAGACGGGGTTTCACCATATTGGCCAGGCTGGTCTTGAACTCCTGACCTCCTGGTCTGTCCACCTCGGCCTCCCAAAGTGCTGGGATTACAGGCAAGAGCCACTGCGCCCGGCCCCATTACATTTTTCTATGGAGGAGCTCGGTGACTGAGGATAAACTGCTCTCCTTCCTGGCCTGCAGTGTCCTTCCCTGCAAGCCAGGTCATTTGGATTTGCCTTCCCATCAGGCCCATTGCAGCTACCTCTGAAGGGCTCCTCACATCTGAGTCCTTTCTTTTAAACAGCCCTCAAGTATTACTCTACTCACTCTGGGGAGGAAAGTCAGGAGGACTGCTGGTTGACTAGGTTGCTAGAAATGCAGAACCCAAGACACAGAGTGCAATTCATGGAGTACTTGGGGTAAGGGGATCCTAGGAAAGGGGTCTGACCAGCCTTAAGGAGAAAGATCCTGTGTAGACTCAGCTATTAGCAGCACGCTCCAGTGTTTGTGTGCATGTTCGAGATGCTAACTTGTTTTAAAGGTATAACTGGGGGGAGAACCTCTTTATACTCAGTCATTGTATTTTAACATCAGCTATTGATTTGGGCACTTAAGTGATGTTCTTTAATGAAAGAATTCACATTCAGGGGTTTTGTTGTTGTTATCTCTATTTCTCTTGCTCTCTCATCAGCCATGCAGAGCAGAATTTCAGCCCATTTCTCTTGAGCATCATGGAATCAGTTTGGAAAGTAGGGAGATGTGTGAGGTAGTCAAGGGGGAAGAGCCTCGTGGTCAAGGGTGTAGTTTTTGGAGCCAGACACAGTTTGTTCAAATCCAGTTTCTATCGGTTACCTTAAGCCATGTCATCTTGGGCAGACTTCTTTAATGGTTCTAAATATGGATTTCCTCACTTGTGAGTGGGGGTGCTAATTCTCTCTCCTTCGCTTGTAGTGGTCAAACGAGGTGAGTAACGTACTGGGCACATAGTGAGCGCTTGGTGATGACAAAGACACTAGATGTTTGGAGGGAGTAAACCCCAGTGGAACCAATGGCACTCGGGGGGAATGGGCTCCCCAGAAGATGGTGAGTGAATGCCCAGTCCCAACCTGTGCCCAGAAGTTTTGGGGCAAACAGCGGGGCCTGGTTGTCAGGGATGTAGTGGAAGAGACCTCTCAAAGTAGTGGTTGCTCCAGGGACCCTGCAAATGCTTGTCTTCTAAAGTTCCAGGGTGTCCTAGTCCTTTCAGGACTGTGGTTGCATGTGGGGACTGAGAGAGAAGGCACATCTGTTAACCACAGAGATGGAAGCCCCCTTCCTCAGTGGGTGGCCTGGTCTGTTAGTCCCACCCTGTCAAGGGGAGTCTCATTTGTGTATGGCTCTGGCTTTGAGAGCATTTCATGCTCTCCCTGGTGAAAACAAACGGAAGGTCATGCAGGTTCACACGTGCAATTGCAGTTGGGGTCCAGGATATTCATCCAGAGGAAGATTTAAATGAATAAAATGCTTTACCTGTTGCGGATTATGTGCTCCAGGGAACCTGTGGTTAGATAATCTGGGGTCAGGGGTGAAGGGGGCTATAAATAGTTGCTCCGTGGCTTTGCTTTCTCTTGATGAAAATGCAAACTTGTTTTCTCAGCAGCAAGAGCAATAAAAATATCTTCAGAAGAGCTGTCTCTTTTCTTTTTCCCTGACTCGTTGAGAGCAGATGATTTAGAGGTATCTCTATAGGAGATTAAATGGGATTCAGGTAAACAGCTGAAGGGTTTACATGGGATTAAGTTTTACAAACCCCATCCTGAGGGTATTTTTCTTTGCAGAGATGAGGGTGCAAAGCAGCAGCTTTAGAAGCCAGAAGCCAGGTCAGCGGTAAGGATTTAAGGGAGGAGGACTGAACTTCTCCACAGTTCCCTCCTGAGACTGCCCCAGAGAGGAGAGACAGCCTTCTTTCCCCCCTGCCAGAACCTTCCCCTTACACACTGCGGAGTTTGATGTCTGGGGTCTGATGACGAAGTGGAGAAAGGAGGCAACCTGAGGAACTTGGAGCAGCTAGAGCAGAACTCCTGTCCCCATTCCACAAGTATACTGAGGACGGAGTTAGTGTGACAGTACCCTATGCCAGGCACCATGGGAGGCACTGGGGAGATAATGTGAACAACAGACAAAAAGCTCTGCCCTCATGGAACTTACATTCTGGTTGAGGAGATAGATTGCAGATACTTGAAAAGTCCTAGTTGTTAATAATTTATAACTGCTAAGGAGGGAAAAATTAAGCAAGAAAGGGTGATATGAACTGTAGGGGGTGGGGATGCTGGGATGTTAGGGGAACAGGGAGCCCTTTGCGTAACTCTGGAAGGAAACAAAGTCAGCCATGCAGGAATGAAAGAACATCACGTTGGGCAGAGAAAACAGCAAGTGCAAAGACCCTGCAAGCAAAGAAGTAGCCTGACTGGAACAGAGCATGAGGAGGCAAAGGGTGGAAACGAGGTCAGAGCGGCAGCAGAGAGCCAGCTCATGCAGGGCTTTGCAGATCAGTTAGGACTCTGACCTTGGCTCTGAATTAAAGCTGGAGTCGTAGGAGGGCTCTGTGCAGAGGAGTGGCCTGACCTGAGGTTTAACAGCATCATTCTGGCTGCTGTGTAAGAATGGGCAGCAAGGCAGAACCAGAGGTCAATTAAGAGCCACTGCCATGATCCAGGCCAGTGATGACAGTGGCCTGAATCAGCGTGGTGGGGATAAGAAGTAGTTAGGTTTTGGATATATTTGAGCGGGAGAGTGGAATCTTACTGACATGCCAGAAGTGGATTGGAGATAGAGAAGTCAAGGATGGCTCCAAGGTATTTGTTCTAAGCAACTGGAAGGACAGAGTTGGTGTTAACTGATATGGGCCAGACCTCAAGGGGCTGGGGCCATTTCAAATTTGAGATGTCTAGGAGATATCCAGATGTCTGGATAAATGGCTGTGGTGTTGGGGTGGGCATGGAGGGGCAGCGGCAGGCTGCAGATGTAAATTGAGTCATGGGTATGCAGGTTGTCTCTGGAGCTGTGTGCTCAAGGAGAGCATGACACCTGGGAGCTGGAAGGGTCCTTAGTGGCTGCCTGGCACAAATCCAGCATCTTCTGAAGGGGAAAGTCAACCACATGGAAACAAAGGGATATACATTGAGTCAGCTGGAAAGTCTGAACTAGAGCCCAGGTCTGCTAAGGGCCTACCCAGATATACTTCTTTAGAGTGTTTTAAACTGGAGCGATGGCTCTCACATATACACACTAGACTGTCTTAATATTGGACGGCCACTTCCTAGTCTTCCAGCCTAATTCCTGGAGTGAAGCTTAAGACAGTCCATGAACTGTCTGCCACTGGTCAGTAGAAAGGTAAAGCAGGAAGACCAGAAACTGAGCAAAAGCATTTAGAAATTCTCATGACAACTCCTAATTGCCGCAACATCCTAAGGCAACATCAGTAGACTTGTCTTGTTGAGCAGAGAATGGAAAAGTCTGGGTGTTGTTGATGTCACATGGTGGCTTGTTTGTGGTACAAGCTGCATACGAGTCAGGCGTACCAAGACCACATAGATAGTAGACTGCAAAAAAAAAAAAAAAAAAAAACAAAAAAACCTGAGTCCTTCACCACAGATAGGTTGAGAGGTATGGCCCCAGCATGGTGCCTTCTGAGATGAACCTTCAGCAAACACTTGTTAGACGTAAGTGTAGAATCCTGTATTCCTTTTTGTGTTTAAGATGCAGGTACTCCCCTTTGCCAAATGAAGTCAGCAGTTTACCTTTGCTCCTTTGGGCATCCCAGCTGCCTCCTCACTCCTCCCGGAGATCTTTGTCTCCACTCTCCCATGTTCCAGGAGACAGCTTGTCTCTTGCCTCAGTGTCGGTGTGTTCCCTGAGAGCAGTCCTCCCTGTGAGCCTCAACCTGTCTTAAAGTGTGAGCCCAGCAGTGTTTACCAGAGGATGCCTATAACCACCCACTCCGCCCCAAAAAAACCAACTGAGTCTCTTGTCTTGGCATTTCAGGCCAAGGAGGAGAGATATTTTGGTTTCACTTAGGCACTGAGCTATTTTAGAAAGAACAGGAGTTCTGGCAGGAGACAGATCTTGGACAGACGCCATTTACCTTTTTGAACATTTTCTCTGTAAAATGGGGCAGTGTTCCCCACCTCATAGCAATGTGAGGAGGGTTAGATGATATAGTGCTGTAAGGTGCCCACAAGGGCTGGTGCTGAAGAGATTGTCAACACAAGTTCTATGAAGTCACACCATGTAGGTAACTTTCTACTTATGAATCCAGACTTACCCCAAACTTCCATCTCTCACACACTCAATCAGAGGCCTATGTGGGAGTCCCTTTTCTCCTGGTTCCTCCCTTCATGGCCTTGTCTGCCTGCAGGAATATTTGGTCAACATGCTGGATCCCAAGTTGTTGAACCAGCTGCTGGTGAAGAAGGGAAGTGGCTGCAGGGGCTTCGTGATGACGCTGGCCTGCCCTGAACTTGTGCCTGTCCTCTGGCCTCCTGTCCGGCCATCCTCAGGCTGAGGGAGGAAAGAGGCTGCTGAGCCTGGAGTGAGCTGCCAGCTACCAAGAAGTCCCTCCCACATTTTGGCAGTGGCTCTCCCAACTTGGCAACTGGCTTAGAGGCAAGTGACAGCCTTCCCAGACTCCCTGCCTCCTTCTTGTCTCACTCTCTGGCTTGGGTCTTTAGAAGAGTCACATGGGGAGGGTGTGGCCATGGGGTGTGTCAAATATCCAGCTCAGGTGCACCACCTGTTTTATTTCACAACAGTGCCATCTTCATCCTAGCCTTCAGATTCTTAATTCCTGGTGATTGAAAAGCAGCTGGTGGCTTAGGAGTCCAACAAGATGCAGCCCACTGTTTCCAGAGAGGATTCTTGCTTCCTGCTTCCTGCTTGCTGCTGGCACTTGATCTCAGATTTCAGAATATGCCACCAAACAGCTAGCAGTGGGGATATTTGGGAATGAAGTGCCTTATTCTACTTGCCTAGTTCTGGCCTATTTTTATTTGGGGGTATAGCTTACGTCTATTTGGCCTACATTCCAATTAGGTAAGATTATCCTGTTTTTCTCATTACGGAAAGGGGAAATGTAGATGTCGACATACTAAATATGAAGAGTGTGTATGTGTAGATATACACATACCCACATTACACACATGCATGCAGGACCCCACCAGGTGCCTCCAGTCTCCACAGGTACCCTCAGATGCTACAGGAATAGAGGTTGTGAATGGTATGGGCATGAGTGACCCCTTTTAGGCAGTTCCAGGTGAGACTCGGAGTGAAAATATTGCAGTGCAGTCTGGGAGAAGAGAACCAAATGAATACTTTCTTGTAAATTAGTAGAGACCATTATACACTTGAACCCAAGGTTCAACCAGCAATGTTAATGGTAAAACTTCCACAGCATATCTGATCTGTGTTAGCATTTTCATCTATTGCCTTCAGGCATCACAATTTAAAGCCTGCTAATGCAATGTCCACAACCATACTGAAGACTCTTCAAGTTGGGACCTGTTCTGGTGTCACATGCTAAGGAGGATGTTGAAACATCAGAGTCCAGCTCTGGAGGGACCAGGAACAGGGGTCTGGAGGCTTTAACAGAGGAGAGTCTGTGGCAGAGACACCTTGCATGTATCAAGCCCTCTGGGCACTGATTTACACATATGGGAAAGGAGGCTTGTATAGAAGAGGGATTGAGTTTTTTGTTGTTGTTGTTGTTCTGCCTTGATCAGGAAGACAGTAAAGACCAGTTGGGGGTAAAATGTAAGCTCAAGATATTTTGCCACTACTAAACTGGCTGCTTTGTTGGGGTGGTGAGCTCCCATCCCTGGAAGTGTTCACACAAATGTCAACTAATCTTTCACCTAAAAGGGGCTCCAGCAGTGCTTGGGTGGTTGGACTAAATGAATTTGTAAACTCATCACAGACGTTTTAGAAAACAAATGATGGATCTCCTCCTACTTGAAGGTTCTGAGCACTTTTCCTAAAGTGCTAGGCAGATGTCCAGTCCTCAGAAAATGCTAAATAACTTTATTAATAGTGCAGATGACGGGTTTTAGAATTTCAAAGTTAAGCTGATTTCTGAAGAGGTTTAGCAGCAGTGGGAATAATCTTCTATGGGGGCTAAAAATCTACATCAGCTTCCCAGATTTTGGTCTCTCCATCTTGGGAGTGGAGAATAAGAATTCTCATTTCTTTGGACATTACTGAGTACCTGTATTTAAGATAATAAAATATTACAGTGGCTCTGGTCTCCCTGCTTCCATCTCCCCTTATTTCATTTTCTAAACAATCTTGCCTAAGTGGTTTTAAATGAAAATCTCGTCAAATCACTTCCTAGTGTAAAATCCTTCAGCATTTCCCCATCTGCAAACTATAAATCACAATTCTTTTATCAGAACACAAACCCTCTGTCATCTGGCTTCTCTGGTTCTTTCCAAGTCAACTCCAGCTTATCTTTGCCTCGCATTTCATACTCCAGCCACATCACTTCCCAATGATCCCAAATGTTCTTTATTATTTGTACTTAAAAGCACTAGCTCTTTGTATTTGTGTTTAAATTTATAGTCTTGCAACTTGTGGTCATACACGTTGTCTCCTGTGCCTCCTCCAATACTTTTCAACCATTTGGGGGTAAATCCCACTTTTTAATTTTTGCCTAACCCTGTATAGACTGGTCCAGCCTACCCTGCAGGCTTGATTTGGGCTATATTTCCCGTTAATCTTTACCCCTCACCACACTGATCTCCTGTCAGTTCAGCTTCCCCACTGCTGCGCCTTTGCAGTCACTCTCTCTTATGCCTGGATAGCTATCTTGGCCAGATTGACAGCTTCTCATTCTTTATATTTTACCTCATCTCTTATAAACAGCATACTGTTAGATTTAAAATCCAGTCTGACAATCTTTGTCTTTTAACTAGAGTATCTAGTCTATTTACATTTAATGTAATTACTGATATATTTGGGTGTGTAGCCTAATCTGGCTTTTTTTCTTAACTTTCTTGACTTCTTTTGAATTGAATTTAAATTGGTTTCTTCATTTACTAGTTTGAAACATGAGCATTCTTGTTATCCTTAGTGACTACTTTGGAAATTACCATTTAAGTATTTATGCCTACTTATAAAATTAAAGTTAACCAGAACTTTTACCTTGTTTCTGGATAATATAACCACCTTTTATTCTTGCATGGTTTTATTTGTTTGTTTGTTTGTTGCTAGTATAGGATTCTAAGTAGGGAGTTATTTCCTTTGAGCACCTTAAAGGTAACATTCCACTGTCTAGTATGGTTGCTGTTGAGAAGTTAGCTGTCAATCTGTTACTCTTTTAAAGATAAGGTCCCCTCACCCCATCTCTTTAAGATTTTTATTCTTGTCTTTTTGTATTTTAATAATAACATATTTAGGTATGGCTTCTTATTTTTTCTTAGAGTTCAGTGGACTTTTAAACTTACATATTATCTTTCAAAAGTTCGTTATCTCTTCTCTCTCTGGGATCCTGATTAAATATACTCCATCCTCTTACTCTTTCTTCTACGTTTTCTATCTTCTCCTGTATTTTCCATCTTTTTCTTTCCATAGTTTATTCTGAATAACTTCTGACTGATTAAGTCTCTTTCTGTACCTAGTGTGATATTAAACTGTTACATCGAGTTTTTAAATTATGGTACTTTTAGTTTTTAGAAGTTCTATTTGGTTCTCTATAAAATATTCTAGGTCACTATGTTTCCTGCTTCTAATATATTTCTAAACTTTAAAAAAAATTCTTTAATATAAGTGTGGCTATTTCATAGTCTGATAATGCCAACACCTGAAGTCTTTTGTTGTTCTTATGGTTTTCAGCTGGTTCTTGCTCATGGTTCCCTTTGAAACTGATCCAATAGCCCCACAGACTGTTCTTTTTGATTAACATAATTATTCACCCTTCTGGTCTTAAAGCTTGAACCTTACATTTGTTTTATCTGAGTTCCTTCCTCAGGAAAGGACCTTCACGCCTCTCAAAATATCAAAGAACAGGAACTTCACCGAATCACCACATCCAGACAATGAGATGCTGGACTCCTCATTCATCATGATTGCATCCTTGCCCTTCCTCAGTTCCTGTTTCTTGCACATTGTTGCTTTTCTTCCCTGCTATTATAAACCCTCAGTTTTAGTTGGTCAGGGAGATGGATTTGAGACTGAGCTCCCATCTCCTTGGCTGCAGCACCTGATTAAAGCCTATCTTCCCTGGCAATGCTCATCACCTCAGTCATTGGCTTGCCATGTGGCGAGCAGCAGAACCTAGACGAAACCCCTGGTGTTTCGGTAACACCTTGTTTCCTTGTAGACTTGGTTGTCTTTGGACTGGTTCATTGTGCTTGGAAATCTTATCTGGACCTGTTATGAAGGCATCCTCCTCTAGTGTTTGCATCTGCTTAGGTGCCTGGTAGTCCACAGCCACCTTATAACAAGTTTAGGGCTTGAATATCTCAAGTTACAAATCTACACAAAGGTTTATTTCCAGTCTACTCTTATCCTGAGTCTGGGCCTAGTATACTCAGGGGGGATGATCTTTCACTTGCGCCTCATCTTTGAGCGGGCTCTGATCTTTTTTATCTGTCTTCCTAATCTTAAAAAATCTTCCAAACTTTAGGGCAAAAGTGACTCCCTGGGTTCTCACTGTTATTCAATTTCCCTAGATCTTCACTACTATCTTGTCTGTATTTTACTGCGTTAAAGAAGATTTTTAACAATTTTTTCTAGCATTTTCAGGGGTTGTTATTTTTAGTGGTATAGTTGACTCAAATAACCTACTCTGCCATTGCCAGAGCTAGAGTTCTCACTTTTTTAAAACAGCAGAATAAAAAGCTTTAATACCAAAGACATAATAAAGAACAATCAATGAAATATGTTTAGCTTTAAAAGATGCACTTATTTTTCTGTCTGTTTCATTAGTGTTTGCTCCATTTCTCCTCATGCTGGCAATTGAAAAGCAAAGTTTGCTCTTGCTTTTTTAAAATCAACTTTCTCTCTGTGGATTTGCCTATTGTAGACATCTTTTTAAATTGACATAAAATAATTATGATAGGGACAGGACGCAGAGAAATTCTAGACGGAAAAGGGCTGGGTCCCTGGTAAGGGCCCCACCCTCAAGCCTGGAACTACGGCAAAAAGTGAGAACTTTACATCCTCGTTTTCCCACTCGAATGTTGCCT
Source organism: Homo sapiens (assembly GCF_000001405.40). Classification (NCBI taxonomy): domain Eukaryota; kingdom Metazoa; phylum Chordata; class Mammalia; order Primates; family Hominidae; genus Homo; species Homo sapiens. The sequence goes on from NC_000002.12 coordinate 45,879,089, forward strand.
TTTCCAAAGCACCCTGGCCCACCCTGCCCCTGCATCCTACACATAAAAACCCCAAGCTCCACTGGCAGAGAGCAGAGAAGGGGGAAAGAGAAGAAGCAGCTGAATGTCAGAGAGAAGCAGCTCGACTTCAGAGGGACGGCTTGATGGCGGGACTTCGAAGAAGAGTCCAGCCGAGGATGGCCAGACTTCAGGGGAAGAATACCTTCCTACTCCATCCCCTTTCCCGCTCCCCTTCCTGCTGAGAGCCACTTCCATTGGCAGTAAAATCCCCCACATTTACTATCCTTCAATTCATTCATGTGACCTGATTTTTTCCTGGACACTGGACAAGAGCTCAGGATACAGAAAGCTGTCACACTGACCGTCTCCCCTTGCAAAAAGGCAGAGGGTCCACTGAGCTATTAAACACTTAAGCTGTCCCCAGATGGCAAAGCTAAAAGAGCACTGCCTGTAACACATGACCTCTGGGGCTTCAGATGTTGCAGGTACTCTCCACTAGATGCTGCCACAGGGCCCGAGTGGAGTTTTGCTCCTGCTGGCACTCAAAAGCACTTGCTCTGGCTCATGAACCCTCTCACCTGCCTGCTCCCCCTCCCACGAGGAGTTGAGAGCTGTGGGCTGAGTAAGGGAGGCACTCCTGTCACGAGGCCGTGAAAGGGTCAAGGGAAATTTCCTGTTTCAATTACGCATATTCATAGGGTACTGGTGATGTTTTGATACATCTATTGTATAGTGATCAGATCAGGATAATTAGCATATCCACAATCTCAAACACTTATTTCTTTGTGTTGGGAATGTTAAATATCCTCCTCCTACCTATTTGAAATTATATATTAACTATATTAATTCTACAGTGGTGTAGAATACTAGAATTTACTCCTCTAACCTAGCTGTGATTTTGTATCCTTTAACAAATCTCTTCCAAAACCCTCTTTCCCTTACCCTTCCCAGTATCTAGCATCTTCTTTTCTACTTTTTACCTCTAGGAGATCAGCTTCTTTTAGCTTCCACATGAGTGAGAGCATGCAGTGTTTAACTTTTCTGCTCCTGGCTTATTTCACTTAGTGTCCTCCAGTTGCATTTACGTTGCTCTGCAAATGACAAGATTTCATTCTTTTTTATGGCTAAAGAGTGTTCCGTTATGTGTATGCACCACATTTTCTTTGTCCATTAATCTGTTATCAGACACCTTGGTTGATTCCATATCTTGGCCATTGTGTCTACTGCTGCAGTAAACCTGGGGAGGGGGATACAGATATCTCTTTGATATAATGGTTTTCTTTCCTTTGGATAAATGCCCATTAGTAGCATTGCTGGATTATACGGTAGCTCTATTTGTAGTGTGAGGAATGGAGGACTCACTTTGAATGTCACCTCTTACAAAGAGACTTGGCCGAGCCCAATCTTATCTTAGGTCTCCTTGTTTTACACTTTTATAACCCTATTTTTTTCTGCTTGGCATTTACCTCAATTTGTAATTTTATGTATATTTTTGATTAAGACAGTCTGTTTACTCCCTGGACAGCAGTGTAAAAGCAGGGAGTATATGTATACCAATGCCTCACACAGTGGCTAGTTCATAGTAGGTGCACGACAAATATCCGGCCTCTAGGAAAGAATGCAGCAGAGTATTTGTATGGGGATTGGCCAGATACCAAAGACTACTGTGGTTTGAATACAGTCTTATTAAGAAACACTACTTGTCACTTTCGTTATCATAGATCAGTAAGTACGAACTAGATATTAAGGACTCAGAACAGTTCTTTTAAGATTTCAGGGTGTAGGCCGGGCGCGGTGGCTCACGCCTGTAATCCCAGCACTTTGGGAGGCCGAGGCGGGCGGATCACGAGGTCAGGAGATCGAGACCATCCGGGCTAAAACGGTGAAACCCCGTCTCTACTAAAAATACAAAAAATTAGCTGGGCGTAGTGGCGGGCGCCTGTAGTCCCAGCTACTTGGGAGGCTGAGGCAGGAGAATGGCGTGAACCCGGGAGGCGGAGCTTGCAGTGAGCCGAGATCCCGCCACTGCACTCCAGCCTGGGCGACAGAGCGAGACTCCGTCTCAAAAAAAAAAAAAAAAAAAGATTTCAGGGTGTATTTGCCTTCAGAGCCTGCAGCTGGTATCTTAATGAGCCCACCTTCTCCTGCTCTGTAGTATCTGTCTGGAGAAGCAGAGCCATGAAATTAAGGCAATCCATATATAGAACATGCTGTGTCTAATTTAGTCTTCTACAGGCTGGAAAACAAAGGATGAGACAAGTGTTGCAATCCAGGTGGACACATCTTAAAACACTTAGATGGACACATTTTAAATGGAATTTCTAGGCCTCATTACCATTTTTGGATATAATGGTACTTAAATGTTATTTAAGTACCCAAGTCAGAAATTTATAAATATAGTGATTGCAGTTAAAATATTTTATATTCAAAGTGCTTCATAGGTCCTTAATATGCACTAAATCATATAAAAGCCAACTCTTACATAGTGCTTACTATTCCCCAAGAAGGATTTTAACTATGTGATGTTTATTCTCTTAATTATCTCAGCATCATTATGTGGTAGGTGCTATAGTCATCCCCATTTTTACAGATGAGGAAACTAAGACCCAGCACGATGGAATGACTTGCCTAAGTCACACAATATGAGGTAGAGCCAAGTTGCAAACTCAGCCCTTCTGGCTCTGTGTCCTTAATCTTACTCTTTACTATTGAGGGAACGAGATTGAATTTTAACTAGCTGCCCAAGGCTATCCAGGGCTCTGTGTAGTTGTGCAGGTTAGCTAGAAACTAGAAGCTCAGTGGTAGCTCGAAGACCCCTGGAGCATGTGGAGCTCTGTGTGTTGTCATGACAGTAGCCTAAGGAGACATTTCCTTGCCTTCCATTGGGTTTATGAGCTTTCCAAAGCGCTGATATGTCAGGTCTGACTGGCCAGGGGGGAAAGGTGTTTCTGTAGAAAGGCATAAACTAAGCATGAGTTAATATTTTAAAAGTTTAGAAATGAAATTAAGGTGTTATAATTGTTTTTTCTGCTTTGGTGACTTGTCTTACCTACATGTTTTCCTTCCGATATCATGATGTCATAGCTAATATGTGGCGACTGGGTTTCGAGTTTCAGGTTGAGGATGCCATGGTGATATACCTCCATGTAGAAGCTGTGAAGTTACAGCACCTTTGTTTTCATGTCAGTTGTCTTTTGATGCTGTCCTCCAAGACAGCTGCCGTATCTCTTGTAGCCATGTAGTTCTGCATGTGGGTTGCTATTAATATTTGTACACAAGCATCACACGTGGGTTAATGCAACATCCTTGCTCTGATGTCCGCAGTCTCATAGTAGTCTGAAGCCTCATTGGATGAGTTATTCTGTGGTACTGGGTCCTCCTCCATTGCTGGGATTGACAAATTCAAAGATGTCTTGGGGACATGAGTTCAACTACTCCAAAGAAAAATGATGTTTGGAAAATCATCACTGCAGAATAAACAGTTGTTGACTAGCTTTCTACTAGATGCTTTTCTTTATGGTGATATTTGAGTGTTTTTCTTTCCTGAGCTATTCAGAAAATTGGCTTATTCTCAATTACTCCTTGACCCTGGAGGCCCATCCACCAACGGAAGAGAAAGACGGAGAAGACAGGGAACAGAAAGGAGCCTGCCTTAAGAGCTGGAATCTGATTCCACTTGCCCCTTTGGGCCTGCACTCAACGTTTCTTAAATGTTCACGTGTTACCTCCGAGTCTGCCGATTCCAGGGAAGCTCTGGCTTCTGTCATCACCTCTGGCAGGACAAGCAAGCAGGCTCCCTGCAAAAGGACTTGGAAGCTAATAAAGCTGGCCGCTGCTTCGGAAATGCAAAGGCTTGACACGTGTTCATCTGGCAAAGCTGGACTGAAACCACACTCCCCGCAGCAATGAGTGGCGACGGCCAGTCGCTACTCAAATACTTGGCACTCTGGGCTTAAATTTTAGTTGGGTAAAAAATGGGAAAAAAGCCTTCTATCTTCAAATTCACATTGTAGTACTTCTTTGAGGTACTGACTCTCATTCCTGCAGCCAGCCATTCTGTATATTCATTCTGTGTGTTCACTGCATATCGATGCTGCCATTTGGGGACTTCCCTAAACAGATTGCTCTTGAATAGAGCCAAGTATGGATTTGGATTTTGTGGAGATTAACTGGTCACTGAGCTTGCATTGTCAGAAAACGGTAGTGTTGCAGCACAATCCAGGGAGGACTCTGAGGCGCCCTGCAGGGATGACCCTTGGCTGGCCCATAGTGTGGGTGAAGACCCGAGGGAAGCCCATTATAGCCCCTGCTGCTGGCTCAGCTGTGGCCAGTGTCTAATGGCCTTCGGGAGCCAACCACGGAGTCTGGAAGGCTCCTAGAGGTGAGTTCCCCGTCGTGCTGGGGGCACAGGCAGGGCAGAGCTACCCTTCTCCGCATGTGCCAGCCTAACAGGTCCCTCCCTCTTGCTCATCTGTGTGGGTTTTGCCTTTTTGGGGTGGGAGGCATTAAATGTATACTATAGTTCTTACACATTTACAGTTTTTATCATGCCTGTGTGGAGAGTGAGTCTGCACAACTACCATGCCATGCTACACTCCCTATATGATGTCAGTCAGTTCCTTAGGAAGAGGTTGTCCTCCCCGCCTGTCATGCTGGAAGGAAGGACAAATGGGGCTGGCATATCCTTTCTGCACAGCCACTGTGGGAACAGGGTATGGGTCACACACAGGCAGGAGAGTGTGTGGGAAACTCCCTTTTCTCTGCCTGGGGAGGGGCTTGGGCTTTGGGGAGAAGTCCTGGGAATCCTTGGAGCTTGCTTCCCACGTTGTCAATGCTTTGCAGAGCTGAGGTTTTTCCCTTACTGCAGAGTCGCTCAGAATCTTTGAGACTGCCCAAGGCCTTCTGGGGCACAGAGCTGGGTTTTTGGCAACTGCCTTGAGAGTGAGTGGCGTTGTGGACTGCCATCCAGCCCCTCCCTCCCTGTTACAGTTTTTAGAATACTTGTTTTTGCAAACAACCAGGACTGTTGTGAACATCTGTATCCTGAAACCAACACTGTTTCAGGTGGAGGGGAAAGTCTGGAGAGGCCTGGCATCTCAGCCAGGAGGTGGGGTGAGAGGGTTCTGAGTTCAGGTTCTGCCACTGGGCAAGTTACTCAACCTCTGAGTTCAGTTTCCTCCTTGATAAAATAGAAATGCTACTGTTGACTCACTTGTTGAAAGGATGCCTATGATAAAGTCTCCCTTTTATTGCTGGGTAAACCAAAACCAGAAGTGACCTGTCCAGGGTTCATAGTATGACGACAGGGTGGTGGTGAGGAAGGAGGCCTGGGTTCAAGACCAGATCTCCCTGTTCTGCAATCCTTGTGGTCTTAGGCAAGTCCTCCAATCTCTAAAGTCTCCATTTCTACGGAGGTAAAATGGGAGCAGTAACTGTGGCAGCAAGTGTCTTGTCTCGACACCTACGACAATGTTATAGGAATAAAGGGAGGCAGCACATGCCTTGTAAACTGCAAGGAATTTTGCAGCTGCAAAATGTTTCCACCTCTACAGCTTGTTGGTGACTGAGCCAGTCAACAATGAGCTCTTTAGAGTTCCTGGCCTGTGGGCTCTTAAAGTGATTTTTAAAACATGTTTTCATGGCTAGTTTTTCTTATGAAAGTAATACTTGCTCGTTGTAAAAACTTCAACCAGCACAGAGGGATGAAGAGCGAAAGACACCCTTTCTCCAACCAGTTCTATTCCCCAGAGGTGACTTCTGCTTACTTCTGTCTCCTTCTGGAAATTGTCTGCACCTGTGCATATACACACGGACACAGACACATGTCTGATTGTATAAGCTGCGTGTGATCTGTTATATGTGATCCATATATATATATATATATATATATATATATATATATATATATATATATTTGTTGTTGTTGTTGTTGTTTTACCAAGAGCTCAAGTGAAAATCCAGGTAGTTTTCAGTATTTTGATTACTAGAAACAATGCCACAGTGAGCAGAGGTATACTTTCTTATGACTTGGTCTCTCTGGATTTAAAACAAATGTTGAAAGCAGCTAGTGGCTCAGAGCTTTCAGAATTATCTTTTGCACTTGGCAGAATGAATCTTTCCCCAGAAAGAATTATGTTGTTAATACTGTGGTTTTCCACTGCTCCACCCAGTTAAATTTAATCACACCATGTGACTTCCAAATAAAATGATGTGTGTGTCTGGAGGGAAGGGACCTGACAAAGCTTCCTTTTTTTTATCGACCCTAGGGAACAGAGCAAAGCTCTCTTCAGAAGGCCTGGCTTTCAGAGACCTTCTGCCTGGGACATTTATATTCGCAGCCCATTCTCCAGTGTCCTTGGAGGAAGCTGCTGCTATTAATTGGGTTGGAGAGAGAGAGTGGCTATGTGTATTTTGATACATGTCTTCCTATACAAAACAAGCCTGGACCACTTCATTTAAAAAAGTTAATCTACATGAATTAATATATCTGTCTGATTGCCTCTGGTCTGGATGGCCATTTGGGCAGTGCATAATCGTAGCCCAGCCAAATTTCTCTGACTGTTGTTGACAACAGATAGGATTTAGTTCTCTAGCCAAAGCAAACACTTCATCCTAAAGTGAATTTTGGGGGTTAGGGCAACTCCTATGATTTCATATTGCAGTGTAAAATGGTTTCTCTTACAGTTAAAAACAAATCCACAAATTTGTGGGTTTTGGGTGCTTTGATTTTTGTTATTTTCCCAAAATGTTGTGTGTAGGATAATTTAAAAAGCAAAATCTTATTTTAAGTGCACGAGGGAGCCTCGGAGAAATCCCATGGAGTTGCTTTTTAACGAAGGCTCTTTTGACAATGTAAATCCAAGAATCAGGTGTGTAAAGAATGTTAGACCCACACCTCCCCAGAACGTGAATCTTTCCCACTGAACTCCCTGGTCAGTGTGGCCTCCTGCTCCTCCTCTTCCTCCTCAAGAGGCCTACCTGGGCTGTCTTGCCACTGACCCCACGTTTGCTGGCAGGTGGAACTCTTACCTGTCCGGGCCATGGGCTCTGGGCTTGCTTCACATGCTGGACCATTTCTGTTCTTGGCCTTAGAATGCATGGTGAAGTGCTTGCAGGACTGTCCTCAGCCCAGGGAGCTCTGGCTCCAGGTGACTCTCATTTCCTCTCTGTCAACTGTCCCAATTCCTAACCCACTCCCACTCTGAGCTCCGTAGCCTGTGTCTGGCTGCTGTCTGCTTTCCTGCCTGTTCTGTCTCTTCCTGAGAACCCCTGCCCATGACCGTCTGGCTATCTTAGAGCACACTATGAGATTGTGTGAAGAGGATTTGCTTAGAGGGGACTTGGCATTTTAATGCTAGCAGTAAAACAAACCTGCCATGCTGACTTCTATTGCATTAAAAAGTGAAGCAACAGGCTTGCTTAAACATAAACAGCAACAGTAAAAACCCAGAACTACCTAACTACATGGGCACAGGAAATAGTCCAGCCATCTTGGAGAATAGCACAAAAATACAGCTGACGTGATAACAGTAACCCTGCAATGAGTCTTGACAATGCTGAAGTCAAATGACTTTTTCAAACCTTTCTAATGCTTGGCTATAATCTAAAGGAAGCATTGCACTTCGAGTGCTGATTTTTTATGAAGCTCGTAAACCTTTTTCTTTAAATGCCAATGTGCTGAAAAGTTATGAGTATTAAAGACTTAGAAAGTGCCTTTAAAAGTGTGGGAAAAGGTCCCTCTTTTCTTGATTATGATTCTTGAATGCTAGTAATGATAGTAGTAGTAATAAATGTCATTCTTCACTAGAATAGTTTTTTCCAAAGACCTTTCGGGTCTACTCTCAAGTTCTTTCCTATCTTTGTGTGAGGTGGACGATGTCACTAGCCTCACGTGGCAGAACGGGGTCAGAAGCTCAGAGTTTAAGTAATATGGCCTGGAATTAGAACCCAGGAGTATTGCTCCTTCTTGTAAACTCTGATGCCTGGGTTTTTACATGGTGTCTATCTGTAATGGCTTATAACAGAGTTGCTCCTCCAGAAGTTTTAGCCTCGTTCCTGCTTGATAGGCAGGGCCTCCCATTGGGCCTGACCCAGGATACATGCTTGGTTGCAGAAAGTCAGCTTTGCAGGTTATACTCTCAGCATTTTGGCCACAGTCAACCGTGCAGAAGGCTTCCTACCTAGATGGACAATAGATAGCGATCTGTGTCTGAAATTCCACAGCCATCAAGATGAAACTGAGAAGCTAGATCATCCTTGCTGGAACACAGATTGAGTTAGGGTGTAGGTCGAGGTTCAGTTGTAGAAAGCAGAATATATCACAGCAAACAAGAGGAAGGGATTTATTATAAGGAATTAAATGGCTTATAGAACTATGAAGAGTTCTGAAGACAAAGGTCTCTAGGTGGCGGTTTCAGGAATAAGTACCCCGGAACCACACTACAGAACTAGACCACCAAGAAAGCTGTTGCCACTCCTACAGATGAAGCCACTTCTCCAGAACCACATTGCAACAGCCATGATTGAGAGGGTCCCACAATCAGGAAGCCATGACTTTTATGGTTCTAGAACCATGCCACATCAGCTATGATCAGCATCTGCAAATGATGTCCTGGTCCTGCCTCCTGGAACCCACAAAGTTGGTACCTGGATGCTGCAACATTGGCTAAAACTGTCATAGAAGAACCAGGTGCCTCTTGGACTTTGCTTGCTGAGCAAATGGCAGCTACTGCCAAAATGTGGTCTCTGCCTCACTTTGGCGTTCTAAATTTCACAAAAGCACATCTAACTGGCCCAACTGAAATCATATCTGGAACTGCAGCTGCAGGGACTTTGAGAGTTGGCTTTAGCTTCCCATCCTCTGCCCACATAGGAGAGGTGGGCACACTAGAAGGATAGAATGTATGCTGGAAGCCAATCCACTGTTATCTCCCATGATCTGTGATCATTAGAAATGGACCTAGATTTCCAGAGTCAGCAGATGAAAACAGAACTGAGGTTATAGCCAGAACATGGAATCGTTGTGAATATTTTGGGGAATGTGTGTGTGGATGATCCCAGATATAACAGATGGCAAAGAATTAAAAGTGGCAAAAGGCGCTGGGTTTGTCCTCTAGCTCCTGCTTAGCTCCTTTGAAACTTGTTAAGCTGTAGTTGCAACAGCCCAAGGAGTTCTGGAGAACTCTAGTCTCACTGTGTATTATTTGGGGAAACAATATGTTAAGAAGCTGTCTTAATTGCCAAGCCTTTACTATGCTAATGTTTGTTGTGAATCTCTAGATGTGGATACAGCATACAAGGGTTCCCCAAACATTTGGCCACTGGAAAGCCTCATGCCTCATCTTTAAAAAATGCAGAAGTAGTATTTCCCAACAGTCTTTTTTTTTTTTTTTTTTTTTTTTGAGCTGGAGTTTCATTCTTGTCACCCAGGCTGGACTGCAATGGCGCGATCTCCTGGGTTCAAGCAATTCTCCTGCCTCAGCCTCCCCAGTAGCTGGAATTACAGGTGCCTGCCACCATGCCTAGCTAATTTTTGTAATTTCAGTAGAGATGGGGGTTTCACCATGTTGGCCAGGCTGGTTTCGAACTCCTGGCCTCTGGTGATCCACCCGCTTTGGCCTCCCAAAGTGCTGGGATCATAAGTGTGAGCCATCGCACCTGGCCAGAAATACTCTTCCAAAGAGCAAGCCAGGGAGTACTGTGGAGAAAAGGCTTGTCTGATTTCCAGGGAGTTAACCTTTTCAATAGCCTCCATCAGGAATGTTTACTGTCAAGATGATAAGATTTCCTCAAGTACAGATGGTGCTCTGCCCTTCAAGGAGAATCAAAAGTGGGGAGACCTTGACCAGCAAAACCAGCCCGTGTGGGGTTCTCTCAGGAATTCAGATGGCCTGAGACTTATCCTGAGATACCCCCAAAGAGGTAACCTGTGATCATAATTAGAAATTACAACAAAATACTAATTATCTGTAGACCACATAGCATTTGGGTTGCTCTGTTATAGAAGCAGATGGTGTTACAGAGAAGGAACTGCATTTAGCTTAAGAAAAATAGGGGCAGCTGGGGCAGGAGCTCAGCGACTAAGAGTATACCGAGTTGGGGGAGGGAAACACGCTGTGGGGTGTGAGTGCAGGAGAGCTGACAGCTGCAGTGGTACCACGTGAAATGTATGGAGGGCGGGAGAAAGCCGACTCCACCTTATAAGGACTTGCAGCCAGGACAGCAAAGCCCTAGAGACAGTGATGAGAACTGCACCAGGCATAAATGGTCCATAAGCGCCCTCCAAAAACTGGATGATGCAGAAGAGGGTGAGAGGACACCTTCAACGATGAACTTGTGTCTTATAGCAAATCTCCCACTGATTTTGATTTTCTACATTAATACTTAACAGAGTTTGTCTGTGGCATGTGTGTGTCATTCTCAGGCAAATCCTTTTTGAAGTTTCTGCTTAAGTATTTAAATGCAGTACTGGCTGTTGGTGGGGTGGGGTGGGGTGGGGGAAGCCCTCAAATCTGAGTGTACACCTCTGCTTCTTAACACTAGGTGTGTTCCCATAGGAAGTCAGGCATGCCTTAAATAGACTTCCCAGGAATGGGAAATGGCAGCTGCAGAATTACAGAAGTTGTATCTGCAGAATTATGAGCGTGCTTGTGGCTCCCTCCATTTTTATGTGTTCTGATTTAGTGAGCTTGATATTCTGGGACTGATACCAGCTTCATATGTACACAAAGGTCACGCACTCCTCCTCCAGTTAACCACACAGATTAACATGTGGGCTGCAACTGCATGAGCCGTGCAGAGGATAGAGTCACTACCCCTTCGCTCTTCTGTGCTCTTTAGGCTCAAATCCTCAGTGGTCAGTCCCTTATTGAAGTGCCTTTTTTCCCTGAAAGCACTCTAGTAAATGGAGGTTTAGCATTATTACTGAATCCCAGCTTTTTCTAATACATGGAGCTCAGTGCTTACTGTCTGTTCCAGAGCAATTACTTATCACCATTACCGGAGATTTGAGTCCTCTCCCTTGGTGATTAGACTCTGAAGGATAGTCGTTTTAATTTTGGTAGTTATGATTTAATCTTTTCAAGCTTTTATTATGGACAATTTCAATATCAAAAGCAGAAAGAATAATGTAGTTCCCATGGACCTATTCCTAGCTTAGTTATTACCCATGGCCAGTCTTGCTTCATCTGTACTTGTACCCATTTCCTCTTTCCCTCGGATTATTTTGAAACTGTCATAGAAATACTTCAGTACATAGTACTCTCTGTTCCTTCTGTTTCTCAGTATCTTTTCAAAACTTTTGTGTGTGTGAGACAGAGTCTCACTCTGTCTCCCAGACTGGATTGCGGTGGTGTGATCTCGGCTCACTGCAACGGTCACCTCCCAGGTTCAAGCAATTCTCGTGCCTCAGCCTCCTGAGTAGCTGGTATTACAGGCGCCCACCACCACACCTGGCTAATTTTTATATTTTTAGTAGAGATGGGATTTTCACCATGGTGGCCAGGCTGGTCTCGAACTCCTGGCCTCAAGTGATCTGCCTGCCTCAGCCTCCCAAAGTGCTGGGATTACAGGTGTGAGCCACCACACCTGGTCTTTTCAAAACTTTCTAAACATCATAGTAATATGTACTTAACTCATGAGGGGCTTTTCAGATTTTTGCCTAGAATGAATAAATTCAGATAGCTCTACAAGTATATGGAGTGCCTACCCTGCACAAGGCACTATGCTGGTTGAGGGATGGGTTAAGGTCAGATTTTGTTGGATAGAGTGGAATTATGCAATGGAAGTGGATTTAGAAGATGTTAGGCCCCTGTCCTGACAGCACGCATGGTCTAGTTGGACCTTGGAATGTTGGCTAACAGAAAGGAACATAAGTTAGGTGCTCAATGAAGTCGCTTGCTTTGTCTGCTCAGCAGAGCTGGAGGCTGTGTCGTCTGAGTATTTGAAGATGAGGGCTTTTAGGAAGGGCGTAGATATTGGGTTGGGTTTGATATTGTGGTTAGTCAGTTGTCAGCCAGCAGTGGAAAGTGAAAGTGGCATGTGCTTGAGCAAAGCTGGCCTAATGGGATATAGATTTACCCGACACACACTGATAGCAAATAGATTGTCCTTACAGCCTTTACCAATATAGAACTTTGATACGTACCATTCTGTTTGCAGAAAGAGCGACCAGAAATGTGCAGCAGTCAGTAATGTACCCCCTAGGGTTGCTGTTCATTCTGACTCAAGGAACTTTTTGGAAGCCCATTGCATAACTAAAAAAGAAATGGGCAGTCTGGTGTATTGTTGGCAAAGCACACCCTGCCATGCCACAGGAAAGTCGGCCCAAGTTGTACCACAAAAGCTGCCACCATTGCTCCCATCCTGATGCTGGCTATCACTACTGAATGCCTTCTCTGGGACTGAATCCTAAACCATCCCTGTGTCCTTTTCACCCCGTCAAGTTTCCAAGTCCCAGGTAGGACTGTGTGATCAAGGTGGGCCACACACCTAAACAGTGGGAGGAAAATTGTGTTGGACTCCTTCGGCTTCTGTAGAAGACCTGGGGCTCTGCCTTCCATCAACAATCATGCAATGGGGATCTTCCGCACGTAGAGTGGGGGTTTCAGTGCTAAGCCTCCAAATGTCCGCTAGGCATATCACTGTTACCTTGGGCTGCTTCCTCTCCCTTCTTCTCAGTCACAAGGCCTTGGCCCTCCTTAAAAATGCCATGTGCACCTGTTGTTCTTGCTTTTCTATTCCCATAGCAACCACGCTAGCCCAGGTGCTCCTCACTGTCAGGTGCCTCAGAATCTCTTGTACAGACTTGCTGCTTTCAGTGGCTCCCGTCCCCACGTCTTCCTACACAGTGCTGCCGCAGCATTCCTGTTAAGCAAAACAACACGGTGGCTCAAATCTAATATCTTCCTGTTGGAAGGCAAAGGCCACCTGCTTACCTTGGCCCTGCTCTCCACAGTTGACACCTGGCTTCTGTTTCCAGCTTCTCTCCATGTAAGCAGGTCCCCAAATGCCCTGTACCTTACCATCTCCACGATTGCTTTTCAATGGTTCTGTTTTCCAGAAGGCTTGCCCGTCTCTCTGCCCAACAAAATCTGTTCCACTCAGGTTCTGCTGACCTCCCCAGAGAGAGGTGACAGCTTTTTTGAGCTCCCATGGCCCAAGTGTGCATTGCTCAGTAAGCCCTTTCATGTCCCATGCCTGTCCACTTAGATGGATGAAGCCACTGGACAGCATTCAGCTGTTCTTTGTATTTCTCTTATTGCTTAACACAGTGCTGGATGAACGGGGCTCACTAGGTATTTGATACTTTCTTTTTTTTTCATAAGAGAGCAGAAGAAAAAAATAACTAGGAACAGGAAAAGTGAAGTGCATAAATCATACGTTGAGTGTTGACAAGCTGAGGACTTGAGGACTCAGGCAAGCTGGAGTGAGGGAGGAGGGGGACAAGTGCCTTTGGAAAGGCAGTGTGGTTAAGTTTGTGCTCTGTTTGTGTTACAGACCAAATGGAGTTGCCTTGGTTGTATGCTTCCCAGGTGTACTGAGTGCCCACCTGGTTTTAAAGGCTGCCCTGGCGGTGGCCCAGAAGCAAATGTAGCATCGTTTGCCAGAGACTCAAGAATGTGTCTGTATAAATAAAAGTGAAAGTGGCATATGCTTGAGCAAAATTGGCCTAATGGGATATGGATTTACCCGACACACACTGATAGCAAATAGATTGTCCTTACAGCCTGCACCAGTATAGAACTTTGATATGTACCCTTCTGTTTGCAGAAAGAGCGACCAGAAATGTGCAGCAGTCAGTAATGTACCCCCCGGGGTTGCTGTTGATTGATGACTTCTCAAGGGCAGCATCTCCACGGGGCTCAGGGAATTCACCGTGAAAGTCAGCCTGGGCCTCCTGCCCACTTTCCCATTGCCTCATTCCGCTGCACAGAGAAGTGTTGAAAGGGGCTCTCCAAGATGGGCTGACTGTTTGCGACCCTCACAGAACCCTGCAGGCCATATTCACAGCAAAGTTCACATGCAGAAGAATGAGAAGGGAAAGTTAGGAAGGGTCAGAGCACATGCAGCGCTCAGTTGAGTAGTTTGGTGGAAAGAAGTGGCCTGTTCCTTCAGAGAACTTGGGGAGATTTGGTGATAGAAGGGCATGACCTGTGAAAATGACTGCAGTCCGGCAGGGTCAATGTGATGGACTCACAGGGAGAGGCTGTTCCTCAGGATCATCTCCCACAGCACAGCCTGGCTCATGTCTTTTCTTTTCTTTTCTTTTTTTTTTTTTTTTGAGATGAGGTCTCACCCTCTTGACCTCTTGCCCTCTCGCCCAAGCTGGAGTGCAGTGGCGCAATCTCGGCTCACTGCAACCTCTGCCTCCTGGGTTCAGGCAATTCTCCTGCCTCAGCCTCCTGAGTAGCTGGGATTACAGGCACCCGCCACCACACCCAGCTAATTTTTGTATTTTTAGCAGAGACAGAGTTTCACCATGTTGGCCAGGCTGGTCTCCTGACCTCAGGCAATCCGCCCGCCTCAGCCTCCCAAAGTGCTGGGATTACAGGCATGAGCCACCAAGCCCAGCCTGGCTCATGTCTTTCTGCTTGGGGCCTCCCCCAGTGCCCCGCTCTTCCCACCTCATGGGCCACTCTTATTTGCCCACTCATTGATCCCCCTGCAAATACTCACTTGAACTGCAGAGTTTTCTTAATGAACAGCCAGGCTTCCCAACTATGCGGTGAGCTCCTGAGGACCGGGGCTGGTCTGTTCTTTGTATGCTGGAGGGCTCTTTGCACTGTGCCAGGCAGCATATAGGAGGCCTCCTGGAGAGGCTGGGGCTCTATGGCCACAATCCTAGCCTCTCTGTTTCCGGGCAAGGGACTTCTAACTTAGGTCTCAGTTTGCCCATTTGTAAAATGGATATAAATGTACCCCAGATTAAAGAGGTAATGTGTAATGCCCCTGGGCATAGGAGGCACCCAAACACTGTCCTGATCCCTTCCATACCCTGCAGCCCATACACATTGTCGCACAGGGTTGGCACACATTAGGTGTTCAATAGTGCATGTCTGTTGACTAGTGGTAATGAGAGTTGTTGTGGTATCAGTTTTCGAAGATCTCTTAGAGCTGATTTTAGCCAGCAAGCACTCAGTAGCAGAATCACTGGGGGCGGGTTGGGGATAGGGAGTGATTAAGGAAACAGGTTGTTTAATAAAGGAGGATTGAGGAAACTGATTACTTTGAGCAATGAACACCTGGTTAATGCCAGGTAGCGACATCTTAAGGGAAAGGAAGTTGAGTCCAATAAGGAAGCCAATAAAAATCAAGAGGATAAACTTAAGATAGAGGGCAAACTAGATGGAATGCTCTGGGGAGTAGCGTCATTTAGTTAACACTGAAGAATCTCTTAAGATGACACATCTTTGCAGGGTGTGAAGGAAGGTGACCTTGGGCAAGTTACTTAGCTTACCTGAAATGTGGTTGTCTTCACTCTAGGATGAGGGTTGGTGATACATTTTCTGGAGTGGACGTGAGGATGTGTTGACGGTGCATGTGAAACATTCTCCATGATGCCTGGCACACACACACAGTAGTTCCCTTCCACTTCCTCTAAAGTAGAAGAAAGTTATGTGTTTTGCCTTTTGTGTTTTTCATTTGTTTGTTTGCGATGGAGTCTCACCATGTCGCCCAGGCTGGAGTGCAATGACGCGATCTTGGCTCACTGCAACCTCCGCCTCCTGGGTTCAAGCAATTCTCCTGCCCCAGCCTCCCGAGTAGTTGGGATTACAGGTGCCCACCACTGCGCCTGGCTAATTTTTGTATTTTTAGTAGAGACAGGGTTTTGCCATGTTGGCCAGGCTGGTCTCAAACTCCTGACCTCAGGCGATCTGTCTGTCTCAGCCTCCCAAAGTGCTGGGATTACAGGCATCAGCCCCTGTGCCCCCGTTCGTTTGTTTTGAGTGAACACATAAATGTCATCAATGATTCCGTCTCTACCTGGGTAAACTTCAGAACTTAAGCATTAGTTGTGAGCATTTGGCCACGTGGTAGGGAGAATGAAAAGGCGCCCAGGTGTCTCTTGAGAAAGGAAGGAAGTTTTTTTCAGGCGGAGTGGGTTGGATGAGGCACATGTTTCTAGACTACTCTCCATTTTATTTTCTCACTTCTGGCCACTGTCGGTTGTAGAGGTGCCCCTTCAGTACACACACAGCTACGGTAACAGTACCTCTCCATCCACAGTGACTTATATGGACTTAAGGGAGTTTCAGTCGGGGAAGAAAGTGGGACTTTTTCATTAAAACAAGACTCTGCTATACAATGAGGGGAGGCCTAACTGCCTCTCCGCACCCTGATGTCATCTGGCTGGTCCCTGGATGGTGGGGATACATGGTACAGCCACCCAAGGCATGGCAGCCATGTGGTGATTTAAAAAGGAATTAACTGTTAGGACACCAGGAAGTGCTCAATTAATTCTTCTTCAATTTGGTTAGAGGAAAAAAATGCTTTTCTGAGTTTATGCAAAATGATCATGTTTTATTCATTTGGTAGAAGTCACTCTAATGGCATGCAGGGTAGATGATGTCAGCTTTTCCATCTCAGCTGAATCAAATTGTACGGAGCCCTTAATCTCTGCTAGGGGCTGGGGCAATCCAGTGGAAAAGGATGGTCTCAATCTCAGTGCAGTAGGAAAGCAGGAATCAGCTCAGTGAGGCAGGAATCTACGCAGGTGCGCAGGTGTAGAGGAAGTGCTGTAGGGCCGCAGGGGTTGGGGCTGTGATAGAGAAGGGTGGAGGATGCAGGCAAGGGGCTCCCAGAGGAGTTGGTGTCTGGGCTGTGGCTGAAGTTCACCGTGTGACACTGTCCACGAGGAAGGCCTCAGATGAAGGAGGGCACTTCAGGTAGAGCGTGGGCACTGCACAATGGTTGTCCTGGATGCGCAGGAGTGGGGTGGTCATCCACAAATGAGTGTTGCTAACCTAGATGTTGCCCCTTTGAGGTGTAAGCATATCTGGGTCTTGGTCCTTCAACCTGGCTGTGTTGCCTTGTCCGAGTCAGTTAACCTCGCTCTTTGTAGGTTGATTAAATGGTCAGTTATCCCTGCCATGCCTAGAGTGGTCTGTGTGGGGTCTAAGGGAAGAAATTTGAAAGGCATGGACTCTTTGCTAAATTTTAGAGGTTGGGTTCTTGCTATGTTGCCTAGTCTGGCCTCGAACTCTGGAGCTCAGGTGACCTTCCACTTCCTGACTAGCAGACCATACCTGCTTGTGCCATTGCACCTAGATGAAAGTCATGGACTTTACGTGGCTGTGGCTGGGAGGGAGTTAAAAGAGTTTTTGCTCCATTCTGTCTCCTTGGAAATACTGTTCCCAAAGGATGTTGCAACCATCCACATGCCTGTTGCCTGTCCTTCCCACTTTTGCTTTTTTTCTGAACTTCTCTTTTCTGACTTTTATATACTAGGTTTACATATTCGAATCAAGAAACAGGTTTTTCTGGGAAATGTGCGTAAATACTTACAAGACAAAAGGCAATTTTGAGTCACTATACCTCTTATCAAAGTAGCGCAGTGCATGTATACTTTTATTGGAGTAGATTGCAGAGAAAACATATGCAGTTGGCAAATAATCCTGAGATTGAATATGCTCTCCTGAGTAACCAACAGTGACTTAGGTGCGCAGTAGAGCTTCATGTGTAGCCTTTGAAGCAAGGACATATGAGAAAATGACTGAGGGTACCGTGGCTCATGCCTGTAATCTCAATGCTTTGGGAGGCTGAGATGGGAGGATTGCTTGAGGCCAGAAGTTCAAGGCCAGCCTGGGGAACATAGCGAGACCCCATCTCAATAAAAATTTAAGAAGTTAGCTGAATATTTCCGCCTGTAGTCCTAGCTACTTGGGAGGCTGAGGTGAAAGGATCCCTTGAGCCCATGAGTTTGAGGCTGCAGTGAGCCGTGAGTGTGCCACCACACTCCAGCATGGGTGACAGAACAAGATCTTATCTCTTAAAAAAAGAAAATTACTATTAATAACTGCATTGGTAGTATTAAATATAACATAATATGAAATATCTAAAACTGTATTACACACATACTCAAATTATCTAGAAAACTTCACTCTTTAGTTCAGTAAGTATAGGCATGAATATATTTCATTCATCAGTCCATCTATCGGCCCGTCCATTCATGTAATCTTGGCCAGCATTCCCAGACTGTATCTCCTGAAGGTGATGTAATATCTGTAGACCTGCGGACACTGATCTTCCTCAGGACACAGCCTGGTAATCACTGTGAGAGACGGCATCATTGCGAACTTGGAAATCAGGGCCCCTTTTTTGGTCAGGTTGCCCATCTTGTTTTGTGCTAATAGACATACATCATCTTTATTTTTTGTTTTTATTTTTAAAATTTGAAGAAAGTTTATGTAGGTCAAATGGATGAAAGAATAGTTAGTGTTACAGAACAGAATGCAATTGAGTATCTTTAGTGGGGTAAAAGGCACTTTGCCCATGATAATTGCCAGATGTTTAGAGGTGCAAGAGGAGATGGCACCCCATTTTTTATGGCTACATTTCAGTGGCTTTCATGACAGAGATTATTTGTTTCCTGCCTTGGTTGCAGCCCAGCTGAAGTAAGAGGAGTCAAGGTCAGTGTGGGGGGTACTGAGATGGAGAAAACAGCAATATGGTTTATGATTTGAGAGGAAATGTTTTCTTAGCCACTCACATATCTTTCCATGGTTCTTCCTGAAACTCCATCACAAGAAATTAAATTATTTGAGTTAAGAAGTGGCTTTTAATAATCACTGCTGACAAGGGCATGATGAGACACCCGGATAAACTGCTGGTAGGATACTGATTTGCCCAACCTCTGGTGTGATTTGGGCGATCTCTATGATAGTCATTTCAGAAGTATATACCTCTTCTTGCCCAGCAGTTTCATCTCAGTCAATAAGGACGCAGTTGGGCAAGTGCACACCAGGCACAGGCGTGGTTCCCTTTTGCAGGCCCCTCGTGATAGAGATGACTGGTAATAGTCTAATTCCCAAAAACAAAAAGCAAAGATGAAGCCACGTGGCTTTTATGACCTAGTCTCTAAAATCACAACTCATCGCTTCACCTTATTTATTCATTAGAGGCGAGTTATTAAGTCCAGCCCACACTAGGAGGGAGGGGAGTTAAGCTTCACCTCTGAAGGGAGGAGTAAGAGAGAATTTGTGGGCATAGTTTAAAACAGCCACAAACACATGAAATTATGTTCAGTCTGAGCATGTTAGTGTGATTAGGATCTACCTGCTGGAAGCTGTCTGTCTTCTCAGTGGGTAACAGAGAGCAGCAGCAAAGGGTAGGGCATTTGACTTTCACACTAGGAGATACTTGGATAACACTTAAGGAACAGAAAGCTACTCAGAGAGGACTGGGTCGCTGGAGTCTGGAAGCTTGGTCCCACCACACATTGCTTGAGGACTCTGAGTAAGTCAGATGTCCCCTGGGCTTTCCTATCTGGTTATGCTGAGGATCTAATAAACCAGTGCAATTGAAAGCACTATATAAAACATGAAGCTGGCTGTTACTATCATTACCACTACTGTTACTGTGGGAAGAGAGTACCAGTGTGGGAGATGGAGAGGGGTGGGACATAGAAATAGAGGAGTAGAGAGAGGGATTTGAATACTATTGTAACCAGATCAGGATTTCCTAGGGTGGCTCTGAGGAGGGAGTGGAGAAGGCCTGCCTTGGCTGAACTCGCATGAGGCCATGCCATGATGATCACAGGGACTTCTGTGAAGGACCCCTGTCTTGGGTCTGCCAGAACTCTAAGGCCTGGTCCATGAAAAAGGCATCAGTCAGGGTGGAATGTCCCAAAAAGAAAGCAGCCCCCAATCTTCTTAGCTAGGCCATACACCCAACTCATTGTTTCAGGACTTACATGTTCATTCCTGGCTTTGTGCCAAGCCCTGTGCTAGAGGCTGGGGAGACTGTCCAATAGGCCATAGCGCCTTCTCTTTAGAATCCAAGTCCCGCAGGACAGGAAGACTGCAGCCGTTTTGAGTGAAAGGAGACTGAGCTTTGGCTGGTGGCCTCATTCCCTAAGCCTGGATTTGACCTTCAGGAAATGTTTTCTCAGATGGCCTTATTCTCTCAGAGGTCACATAGGTCTGAAAACTTTGTCTTTGGAAATTAAACTTTTTCCCCCTTTTGATATTTATAGGCTTCTTCAGTGTTGGGCAAAGATAAAGCCAGGCCATTGCATTCAGATGATTATAATTGCCACTCCTCCTTCCTTCCAAGTCTTTTTAAAAAATTTTTTTTCTTTTTTTTTTTTTGTAGATAGAGTCTCACTCTGTTGCCCAGGCTAGAGTGCAGTGGCACAATCATGGCTCACTGCAGCCTCAATCTCCCTAGGCTCAGATGATCTCCCCACCTCAGCCTCCCAAGTGACTGGGACCACAGGTGAGCCCCACCATGTCTGGCTAATTTTTGTATTTTTTTGTAGAGACGGGGCTTTGCCATGTTGCCCAGGCTGGTCTTGAACTCCTGGGCTCATGCAATCTGCCTGCTTCGGCCTCCCAAAGTGCTGAGATTACAGGCATGAGCTACTGTGCCTAGCCCCTTCCAAGTTTTAATGGCCAACACCATAGTTCCCGAAGGCCCTGAATTCTCTCTCAGAAGTGGCTGGGCCTGTAGGTAGTGCTGTGCAGAGCATTCCTGCCTGAAGTTCCACTTGCTGTTGACCAGGGCAGTGTGGAGAAAAGCCTGACACCACCTGGGGAGAAAGCCATGCGGCAATTGTGTCTCTTTTCATTTCTTGGTTATATTTCTAGCATGAAGGGGCTCTAAATATCCAGAAATAAATCTTTCTTCTACTAGCCCGGGCTCAACTATGAAAGATAAGTTACTTTTACTTAGCTGCTTGTGACCTCTGACTATATATTGCACAGTAAACCAAGTCAGTTCAGTGTCTTACTAGATCAGCTAATCTATAACAGATTTAAGTGGGAACGGTTGCTTCGGATAAAATGCAGTTGGAAAAAACCCAGAAAATAACAAGCGTTGATGAAGATGTGGGGAAATGGAAACTGTTGTTTGTTGCTAGTGCACATGTAATGTGGTGCAGCCCCTGTGGAAAACGGCATGACATTTTCTCAGAAAATTGAATTACCATATGATCCAGCAATTCCAACACTAGGTATACATCCCAAAGAACTGGAAGCAGGAACTGATCAGATGGATATTTATACACCAGTGTTTATAACAGCATTATTCACAATAGCCAAAAGGTGGAAACAACTCGAATGTCCATCAGTAGATGAATGGATAAACAAAATGTGGTCTATACATGCAGTGGAATATTATTCACCCCCAAAAGGAGGGGAATTCTGATACATGCTACGCCATGGACAAACTTTGAAAACATTATGCTATGTAAAATAAGCCAGTCACAAAAGCACACATATTCTATGATTCCACTTACATGAGGTCCTAGAATAGTCAAGTTCATAGAGGTAGAAAGTAGGATGGTGGTTGCCATGGGCTAGAGGGAGGAGAGAATAGAGGACTATTGTTCAATGGTAGAGATTTTCAGTTTGGGAAGATGAAAATGTTCTGGAGATGGATGGTGGTAATGGTTTCACAACAGTGTGAATGTACTTAATACTAATGAATTATATACTTAAAATTTACCATTTTAACCACGTTTGTGTAATTTACCACTGTAAAAATCTTTTTAAATGTAATTGATTCCTAAATTTATGCTGCCAGGCATATGATTTTGGGATACAGGATTGAACCAGACAGAAGGCCTGACTGCAAGGAGAACTAGATTGCTTTCTGCTGAGGAGAGATGAACAATACACACTTAACAAATGAGTAAGGCAATACAGGTACTGTAAGGACTTTGGGAAAGAAACTGGGTAATTAACATGGTACAGAACCATGCCTCACATATGTGGGATGGAGATGCTTTCGCTGGGTTGGCTAGGGAAAGATTCTGATGAATTGACATTTGGGCTGAGTCCTGATGAGCAGAAATGATTTGATATCATAAACTCTACTATGTATATAGATGTTTGGAATCCATTTTACTGGAAATCTCATTGAGATTTGAGATGCAGAAAAATTGCTACAAAATCCAGAACTTAGTACAAATTGTGCTTACAAAACCGTCTGTGTTGAGTACTCCTAATCGGTTGCTTGAGGATTGAGATGGGGACAAGCAAGGCATTAGTGTTTCAGAATGTTAAAATGGTTCTTACCCAAGGCCAAACGCTCCGACCTGGTCATGTTTTCATCTAGGTAAGGTATTAGCCTGTTCACATATTTCTCATGTAATATTTTTAGGAACTAGATCCAATAAAGTTTGCCCTGGGCCTTCTTGGAAAGACTTGTGCCTTTTAGAAAAGAACCGATTTACAAAAATCAACGTATGGCTGATAGATTTTTAACTTGTCATTTAGAAGATCAGTCTATTTCACCTTGGAAACTAAGGCTATTTAAAGCTGTGAGTGTAAAGTTTGAAGGATTTTTTTATAATTCACCTGAGATGGAAAGAAATATGCTGCTGGGACGATGAAGTGTGTGCACAGCTGATTCGTACAATGTGTTTACATTTCCCATTATGTATCTTAGAGACTCTCCTGTTGTTGCTCAGATTTTTCTTTTTAACTCAGTCTTGGGGTAGAAGATTAAAGTTCCCTGAAGAATATGGAAATGCAGTTGAATTCTTGGAAGTCTGTACCGTGCTGGCCTTGGTTTGTGATGAAGCTCACACACGATGTCTGTAAAACCCTGAAGTCCAGCCAGGTGCGGTAAAAGAGTATGGTGACTTCAGAGTTTAAGAGCAGGTCATTTTGCAATAACTTTTTATAAGAGTACATGGCCATCTTTGCCTTAGGATAGTGAAGTGGTATTTTCCAGGACAGAAGAACTGAAATCATCTGAATTTCTAGGTTGTAGATCCCACAGTCCTTGGGAATTTTGACTTACAAACTAGGAAATTATTTCACCCTCATAAAAATCTCCAACCCTCTCAGGTCTTTCCCACTCCCACTTGGGTTTGAATTGGAGTGTTTGCCCAGCCATGGTGATGATTAGGAGGTGTAGCAATATGGGCCCAGAAGGCGACTTTGGGATTCATCTCTCATCTCTCGTAGTGCATGAGAGAAGCCAGCTCACGGCTCTCTTAGAAAACATCCATTGTTCCTGAAACCTGCAGTAATTGGAACATGAGTGTAATACATACAGTAAACAGAATTCTGCCTATAAGCTCTTACCAAAAGCCTGCCAATGCCCAGCCTGCCAATGCCCAGCCCATCTTGAACTAAGGGGCTGTGATCCAACAGGAGGATATTGCCCACAGGTAGCTCCAAGTCTGCCTGAGGAGCTAAGATAGAAATGAAGTAATCAGAAAATACTAGCAAAAGTCAAATCAGGATATTTGGATTAACATCCTGAGGACATGGGATGTGTGAAAAGCTGTGCTGGGGAAAAGTCAGAAATGAGGAACTGGCTGGAGTGGGCAGGAGAGGCCAGGAGGGTCAGGGAAGTTCTTGGAGCTGGAACTTGGGTAAGGTCTTCAAGAAAGACTGTGACTACACTGGTCTGGGAGCTTGGCTAGGAAGACTTCTGAAGAACCCAGCCCCCAGACCTAAAGTAGGGGCTAGAAAGAAACAGTAACTCAAGGGTTAGTTATGTTTCAAAAATATTTACATTTCTGATATCCAAAGTGTTCTCTGTAGGGTTAATAGCTATTAGAAGGGAACTGGAGTTCAGTGGGCTCTGTGGCCAAATAAGTTTGGATAGTGCTTGAGTGAGCACTGGGAGTTTCTGGACTGCAAGACTACTCAGGCCTTTGTATGCTGATGTACAGTGACTTTCCCAGATGGGCATATATAGCATACAACTTCCTGCTTATTTGATTGTGGAATTATGTATTTTCCCCCCAGGAGGATCCTACGTGAATATAGTTTAGTTCCAAATAATATAATTGAGTTGAGGAAATGCTAGTCTAAATGATTTCACTTCAGTATGTGTTTTAGTGTGAATCACTATCAATAGTCATGTTTTCAGTGGTCTCAGTGCCCGAGGGAGTTGATTGGAAGGAAGTCAGAGGGACTTCATTAAATAAGTCAGTGAATGAGGAGTCCTCCAAGGGATCCCTGCCTGGCAAGAAATACCCTCAGGCCATCTTGGTTCAGAAGTTATTCCTCCATACATTAACAGGCACATAACACAGGCTTTAAAAAATACTAATTTTGTGAATATTATGGCTACTCCATAGACAGAGCATCCCCTTTTCTTCACTTGAGATACAGGGAAGGATTTTGTGTCAATGGTATGGCGTCACCATCCCCATGGGACAGGGTTGCAGCAGCTGGGGCTGTGAGGGAAGATGAGGCCGAAAGACCCAGCAAGATTAGGGTTGCAGGTAAGATACAGGACACCGTTAAATTTGAACTTCAGATCAACTCTGTATAATATTTTGGTATAACTATGTTCCAAATATTGCATGTCACATAGTTATAAAGAATTATTTTTTCTGGAATTGAAACTTAAACAGTCATCTTGTATTTTTATCTCCTGTCTGGTAACCCCATGTAAGATGTTCAGGGAAGCCTAGACACACAGACCAGAAAGTGATGTAGAATGTACAAGGCAAGGCAGTGAGGAATGATTCCAAGTTTTAGAGAGCCCAGGTCTTCCTTCTTGGAAATGGGTTAATACATCCTCAAACCCTCTTCCCACCTCATCACTTTCATCATATCCCCCTCAGTTTGGGAGCATTTGTATATGAGAGCTTGTAGCCTGGCAGTTTTTTTTTGTTTGTTTGTTTGTTTGTTTGTTTGTTTTTTTTGGCAGGGTCTCACTCTGTTGCCCAGGCTGGAGTGCAGTGGCATGATCCCTGCTCACTGCAACCTCCCATTGCTGAGTTCAAGCGATTCTCGTGCCTCACCCTTTGGAGTAGCTGGGATTACAGGCACGCACTACCACACCCAGGTAATTTTTGTATTTTTAGTAGAGACAGGGTTTTGCTATGTTGGCCAGGCTGGTCTCGAACTCTTGATCTCAAGTGATCTGCCCTCCTCGGCCTCCCAATATGCTGGGATTAAATCAAGTGCAAGATCCAAAATGTTACTAAAAAAGCTTTTCAGCTTTTTAGATTCTCTTAAAAATGCAAACAAACAGACAAAACAGTTTCTTAGAAAGAAGCCGGTTGCGTGCGAACCGAGAAGTCTTGAAACCAAAAGAACTCCAAGTTCCCTGCCTGTGCTGAACACTATGGGGGTGGCACGTGCCCATCCAGGGCAAATCACAGGGGGAGAAGATGAGGTTTCTTAACAGTACCACCTCTCACTTTTGGTATTTGTAATGGAGAACACAGACTTATATCACATGTGAAAATGAAACAATGGTTTAAAAAGTCATGTCTCTGTGCTGGCTCTGGATGAGATGAGCCTTTTGAGAAGGCAGAGGCGTGCTCGGTGGGTTGGGCTCTGGGCATTTCTTCCCCTGCCAAGAAGCGAAATGTCTTAGCTCCATGTGCGTTGATGATTACTAACTGGCCAGGGCTTACTGTAAGTGGGCTGTGCTCGGGGATCTCACCAGGAAGAAAAAGAATCAAACTAATCCCTTTCTGGAAACCGTCTCCCCCGGTTGCCTGGGCCACCTGTCCCAGATGCGCTCCTCTTTCCCAAGACTCTTGCTGTCTCCCCGCTGCCCCAGAAGCCTGCCTTTTCTCCAGCCCTGCATGGGACATTCTCCTGATGGCAGGGACCCATGAGAGGGGGGCTGGGTGAGCCTATGTGCTGTGAATGTGTTGGTGAGCCCTGGGGGAGGAGTCAGGGGAACCTGGGGAGCTGGGGGTCCACGTGTGAGGTCCCGGGCGTGGACCATGGAGAGCTGGTAGCCTTTGTTGACCATTGTACAGACAGCGACAGGGGCTCCACATCACTTCAGCAGGCACGGTGACACACAGGACTCACTGGATGCTACGGTGTTAATCACACCACTGGTGCTTGCTGTATCCTATGGCAACAGCAGCTCCTTGTTAATTCAGAGTAATGCTGGGGCAGGCCGTAGTCCAGGCCATCTCACACTGGCTAGGGCAAACCCTGGCTCAAGAGCATCCTTGACTTATGGCCAAGCCTCAGGAACCTCTTGGCTGGCTCTCCAACATAGCCCACGCTAACCCAGTTTTGGAATCTGGTAGTGGGAAAACAGGGAAGCTCCAAAAAAAAAGTAACTCAGAGGTCAAGGTGAACCCTGAATGAGTCCATTAGATTCCACAATCAATATCCAGCTTCTAAACATTATACATATTGATGAGCTGATTGCTAGGAGACTAGTGCTGAGAGAGCTGAAATCTATTTTGCTGAGGCCAAATTGGCTGTTGATGGGCCATAGTAGACTATGGCTTTAATAATCAGGTAAAAAACACCCTGCCATCTGGTAAAACACAGCTTAAGCACATTGGAGCCCTGTGAGCTTTCCTAAAAGCTGGGCAAAGCAGGGCTTTCACCGGGCTCTGTGTATCCTGGCCCTGCAAGTCCTTTCTAAGGGGCTGAGGGCTGGCCGGGGCCCTAGCTGGGGAACCTCTGATGCTGGGAGGGTGGATGCCAGGTGGTGGAACACTGCAACTGTGATCTACAAAGATAGGATGTTTACTGAAGGGTAAATGGAGACCGGCCCATGCTCTTTATAGTCCCTGAACACACGTGTTGACCTGAACTGCTTACTCAACTCTGTACTCAGTTACAAATTGGGTGAGATGTGGCTCCCACAGTGGGAATAATTTCCTTGAAGGTCTTTACTCCAAGAGGTTCCCTGGGAGGAAGGATGTGCTTGTGCGGGGTATGGTGTCTGCCCACATGAAGGGCCGGGGTGGGCAGGCTATCTTCAGCGGTGATGCGCTTTCAACCCTCCTCCCCTACCCACATGACCCGGGTATGGAGCGTGGGTTGGTATCATGATAGCATGCTGGAATCTAACATGAATTATCCTAACTTGGTAGACCCAGATGCAGCGGCTTTCCTGCTCCCCGCAACTCTGCCTGACACATTGCTGGAGCTAGGGAGGGAAAGCCGCTAGCTGATTGCTAAGACCTAGGTGAAGAATCTCAACCACCTGGCCTACTGGGCATCTTCTGGTCATTTGGATCACCGCTGGTGTGCTGGTGCTGAGTCCAGGAGGCTGCACTGCTCACAGGGCATAGGCAGCTCTGCTTGGGGCAAGACATTGCCAAGGTGCAGAGAACAGGTTTCTGGAGGCAGGAAGTCAAAGGCAATTGGGTTAATTAAACCCCTGTGGATCTTCAGCTGCAGAATTGCTGTGAGGTACTCTGAAGACTTAAAGTTGTACATTTACTAAAGCAAAAACGGAACACCCACAGTTAAACCAAGACAAGTCCTTTCTACCTGTGGTGCTATGCATGGCTCTAATTCAAGGGCAGGGAAGAGGGGGACGGGTTTCCAGTGTCTCCCCAAACACCTTTCCTCTGGTTTTGAGCATGGGCCTGTCTGATGGGATTCCAGGGCCGTCCTTTGATCTTACCTCTGCTGGGTTAGGTTGGGGGAAGCTATCTCTGCCTTGACAGGGTGATGCTCCCCTCTACTCATGTGCTCTGTGTGGGAGGCAGCAGGAACCAAGGTCTTGATCTGTTGCTGCTGGCCCACCCTCCATCAGGCGGCAGCTCTGGGCATCAATGTGCCGGCAGCTTCTGAGGTGCCTGCTGTATGTGCCTACCCTGCAGAGGCCTGGGGCCAGCACTGATGGGAACTTCTGTTTGATACTCAGAACATCTTCAGAGATGGGTCACACCCTGCGCTTGGCTGGGACAGTGTTTCATGGGCTTCTCCTGCCGCCCTTCTTTAAGGAGCTGCATTGTGAGTGTGGGCCCAGAGAACACAGTAGGAGAGAAATGCAGTGTCTCCCCATAATCCCCTGCAGGGACCAGGCTGGATGGGGCCCCAGTTGCTCCAAAATTAGGCGTCGGAGGTCTAAGTGGTATAGACGGAAGGAAGGCGGTCAGAGGGTACACGCTCCATGTTAAATTTCTGAGGAGCAAAGGTAAAATGCCAGGATTGCTGACATGATCAGGCCAGTGATGGAAAGAAAGCCCGAGAGAAGAGAAAAATGAAGCTTTAACTATCACAGAGCATCTGACTGAGAATAAAAAGATTTTAAGTGGACTGGCAGTTGGCAAAGGAAAAAATAAATCAGCCCCCTATTGAGTGACTTTCAGGAATGAGAGGCAGGCAAATTGGATATTGAGGAAATATCTGAATGCACTGGATTGTGTCTGGGTTCAAAAGCCAAGAACATCTGCGAGTCCTGCATTGCATTTGCTGAATAGCTGTTGGGGTAACACTCCTGTGAACAAAACCAAGACGAGTTTTGTCCCTGCCACAGAGGTAACAATGGACGAAGCACACTTCTGAGGGCGTCATCGCAGGCCCTGTTCATCTCTCCGGGCAGTGGCATAGCAGGCAGTGAGCGTGTGCCCAAGCCTGCTTCCCATGTCACGTGTGTCATTTTCCCAGTGCCAATCATCGTGGTCCGCATTCTATGGACTGTTCTGTCCAGGGAGAAGGAGCATGAGCCCACATCTGCCGTGGCCACCTCTCCAAGGCCAAGTGGAGCACAGCACCACTGCGCAGCTGTAGTACCTGAGGGCGTGACTGAGCCAATGGCCACCTCTGGGTCTCTGCTGCCTCCTTCTGAAGTGGGTGTCATAGCAGTCCCTACTTCACAGCCTCACCGTGCCCATCCTCTGAGCTAATAATACTTGCCGAGTGCTGAGAACAGTGCCTGGTATCTATGTTAAACAAAACGCCTTGTCCAGAATGATCTCCCATGCCCCTCCCAGTTTTCACCTTCTAGGATTCTGTCCGACTTCATCCTTTTCAAATCTCTGAAGTGGGGAGGGCGATTATCACCCCATTTTTGAGACGGGGGAAGCAGAAGACCTTTGAGGCATTTTCCAGAGTGTGAGTGGCTGGTTAATGGATGGGCAGGAATGGAAGTCAAGACTCCAGGCCCTTGATCATACCGCTGGCCAAGGGGAAGGAATTATATCTCAGTCATGTGGCCCCTCACTGTGCCTCTGTTTACCCTTTACCTCCCTCAGTTTCCCAGTCTCATCATTGGCCCTATGGATCTGCTTCTCAGGCACAGGTTGAAGGGAAAGAAACATGATAAAATAACTCCTAGGCACTGGGAAGAAGCAAGTGCTGAAGAGGCAGCTGCAGGCATTGCAGGCCAGGCAATACACAGCCAGAAACGGACCAGGAGCAAGGACCCTAGGGTTTAGAGACTTGAAGACCCAGTCTGCTCCCAAACGCTAAGTAAGTGTGACTGGAAGCGACTGCTCCACTCTCTCTCGCCCATTGGACAAAGGATTAGCCAATGGGAAAGATGCATTGTGTTAGGATGCAGATTCTGACTCAGTGGGTGACCATGTGGCTGTGGCTTCTGCATTTCAAACCAGCTCCTGGTCTTGCCGATGCTGCTGTTTGTGGACCTCATCTGAGGGGCAAGGGTCCTGAGGATGCACTGGTATAGCCTGGATATCTTTCCCATCAAAAGCCATGACTCATTGTGAATGAGTCCTGTGTTCTTCTCACACTCAGGTTTCTCAACACTAGCTGGATAGGAAAGACTGGAAGAGGCCGATAAGGTCCCACTGGGGCAATGTGGAGGATCTCTCCGGGAGAATGTTGCCTCAGTTTCCCTGTGTGAGAAGGATTATCCTCCAGGGTGGGCAAAACCACAGAGATGGGGGCAGACAGGCTGTACAGTGGGCAGATTCATACCCCTCTCCTTCCTCTGAGCCCCGCAGTCCTCTATTCTGGCAGCTTTCTACTTAGCACTCTGATTTCTATGTCTAATCGATTGGCCACTCTTTGCGCCACATAAAAATGCGTGACTGAGCCTTGACCTTGAAGTCAGCCAGTCATGGAGACTTCTTTCACCATCTGTTTTTGAACTTAGAAAAAGATTGGCAGAGAAAAACACCAAACAGTTTTGCTAAAATAACGTCATTAGTCATGCAACTTATTTGCATTAAATCCTGCATTTATTAGTAATAGTACCACTTCCTTCAATTCGCAGATTATATTGTCTCACAAAGCACTTTCATGGTCATTATTTTATTTGATATTCAAAATGCCATTATAAGATGAACGAAGATTATTGTCCCCAAGAAAGGAAGGCTCCAATTGGTTTATGAGTTTGCCAAGTATTACGAGGTGGTAGGCACCAGAAGGGGGATGTGGATGTTCATTTTCTCATTAGAGCTGATATTAACAATTCAACAGACTTGCCAGTACTGTGCATCATAATCTCCCCCATCCCAAACATTATGATTCCATTCCAAGGGAAGTTGTTAAGGGGTGGCCAGCCTATAGCTAAGCTAAGACTATTCCTGAAATGATATTGGTTGTATTGTTCCTAAAGGGCATAGTTGAGAATGCTCTGAAATTTAGAAAGTTGTTAAAATAGCAAATAAACAAAGCTAACAAAAATCAGCGAAAATAAAACCTTAGGGAACAAGCTAGCAAGTGTGTTCTAAATTATTCTTCCTCATCCCCTACCCCCATTCTGTGCTTAGTTTTCCTGGTGAGGCTACCGTTTCACAGTGAGGCATTTAGAAAAGCCTTCCAGGCAGGAGTCAGTGAGTCAGTGCTTCCTGGACTTGTTCCTAGAACATCCCTTCCAGGTCACCATACCTGTCTCTTTCCTTCAGGCAGGTATTCCAAGCCACTGCCCATGACAAGGTGGGGCAGACACGTGGCCAACAACTTAATTTTCCCCAAACCTTATTTAGGCTCTAGTTCCACATGCTGCTTGGGGTTGCCATGGAGACAGTCTACTGCCTTCTCCCTCAAATAGAACCGGAATCACACTTCTGCTTATGTGCAAGGTAGAAGTGACAGAGTGGCATTTCTGTAAATGGCCCTTTCCAGTAAACTCACCGCCCCCCCCCAGCCAAGTGCCCAGGAATGTGTGACCAGGATACCTCAACTCATGCTACAAGGTACTTAATGCAAAATAAGACACCTAATAACAATGACGTGTAGTTCCATTTGTAGTTAATGATTCTAAAAATGCCACTGCTAAATTGCTGTTAAGAAAAACATCCCATGTAACTGGAGCCTCACCTTAAGTGTCTCTGAAGGCCATTGTCACTGTGAACTGGTTGTTCTTGAGTCCCAGTGGCTGTGTGCAGAGTTCCAGACTAGGAGTAACTGGGAAATGGAAGGAGGAGGTGGTGAGGAATCTAAAGGGTGCTAAGACAGGAAGCCCACCCTGAAAACACTTGCCATCCAGTGGGGAGACATCCGTGTCCACAATCATGTTTTCTCTAGCCTAGTACTACTTTGGGGGTGTGAGTTGCACGATAGAAAGGATAACCTGGGAGCACCTTACATGGGAGTAGGCTAGGGTTCAAACCCTAACTTCTCTGGTTATTAGCTCAGGGCCTTTGGGTGAGGTTCTTGGTATCTCCAAGCCTTGGTTACTTCACACTTCCTAAACAAGTTTGTTATGATCATTAAATGAAGTGTTATCTGTTGGATAGCCCAGCTCAGTGTCTCACAGCAGGGGCTCAGTAAACACTAGATTCTTTCCTTAACTATTTCCTACCTATTGGAGGTAGGCGGGTCCATGGTGAACAGGGAGGAAAGATGGTTCCAAGGGTGGGAGAGAACCTAGCCAAGGTTAGGGGGCTAGAGCTGCAGGCCTGGCAGGGGGCGGTGAGCAGTCCAGGATGTGCTGGACAGAGTCCCACGCTGGTCCTGCTGTGCAGCAAACCGTACAACTTGAAGGCCTGGCAAGCAGAGCGTGCCGTGGCAAGTTTGCTGAGTGTCTTGGGTGTGTAGGAGGAGAATGGGAGACTGGGGAATGGAAAACAGGGCAAGAAGGGATGCTGATCACAAAGTGAAAAATGGGAACCACTACTCACGGGCTTTTTCAATGGAGAGGTGGACTGATTGCATTGAGCAGCTGCCATGTGCAGGCCTTTGTTTCAAACCCTAGCAAAGGCTTGAGCATTCTGCATTTACCCAGGAGATACTGACCACTGGCATTTTCAGCCTAAAGGGTTTTTCTTTACAAATTTCCAGGGGAAATGCTTATCAATCAACATTAGGAAGAGCTGGGTTTATTTTTAAGTTGTTTTTTCCCACTGACACCTGTCTAGCCCCACTGTTGCACAACCTTCCCTACCTTTCTTCTCAGGAAAGGGAATCACTGAGAATACAAACCAGGGCTAGACAGCATGTGCACTGCACTGGACGGGAGTGTTTCACCTGCTCAGAAATGCTGCATTATGCATGCAGAGCATTGCAGAGTCTCTTGAGGGTCCAAAAATCCCAGATGTGGCTTGAAGCAGCTGTGACTATTTCCAGGAGGCCATACCTCTGGGCTAAACATGGTCCCTTTCCCCTGAACCCTAGAGACCAGATGAGAAATTGCTTTGAAAGAATATTCTTTGTTAGTCCTGGATGTAGGCAGAGGGATGGGCTGATTGTATGACTCCTCAGTCTCTGTCAGTCCATTTTCTATGACTTTAGGAATGCCCCAGACCTGAAGATAACTGAGTTGGTCATGTTACCTGGCTTCAAGGAAGCTGGAGGGATTGCCCCACAACGGTCACAGGTGACAAAGGTGAGCTGGGCCTGCATTTAGTTCTATACTGCCACTTGCTAGCCTTGTTATTTTACCTTCTCTAGGCTTTCATTTTTTGATAAGGGCAGATAACTTATGATTTCCATACCTACCTGGTAGGATTGTTATGAGAATTAATGGCGATAGTGTGTGTCCTGGTCTCTGGTAAATCTTAACAGGTGCTGGTATGTCAGCCGCTGCTGCTTGTTGTGGTGGTGGTATTTTATTGTGTTGTTGTTGTCTTTATTTAGAATGAAAAGCTAGAAAAAAGTTTTCATTTTTTTCTAGCTTGGGAGAATGTTTCCCACGCATTCTGGTAGTGGAGTTTCAGGGTCTTTCTCTTTCCCCAGTTCTTCTAGTGTAGCAGTCATAGCTACGCCCCTCTCATAGAACTGGGGAGAGAAGAACAATACCAGGAACGATGGCAACCATTTGTTTTTCAAAGTACTTTGATAATCCCTGGAGTCTCTACAACACTCTGAAGATAGGCAGGGAAGGTGTTATCCCGTGACAGAGTTGAGATAAGGGGTCAATGTCCAGCCTGGAGCTAAATGGCTAATCAGTAATAGATAGAGGGCCCCAGGATCCACATCTCTGCAGCTGCAGGGCCTGGGCACTGCCCTGGTGGTGAGCTCCAGGTACAAGGAGGGTGAGAGAGGAAGAAAAGCACACGTTGCCATCATCCCGGGCCTGCTTAGCCTTCACTTGGTGGAGAAGGAGTGCTTTGCCTTGGGAGTGGGTGGGGGCTGGGGTTCTGCCACACACTGCAGGGCCTTGATTGGGGAAGGCTGAGGCTCACAGCTGGAGCCTTCATCAGAGGAGAAGGCTTCTGACAGCTCCTGGCAGTTGAAATAATTCAGGAGGCTGGAAGGAGCCAACCTGGGGACCATGAGAGACAGGTTCTGCAGGTGGCATGGAGTGGACTTAGGAACGCACCTTAGAAGCGCATCTCACCGAAAATCTGCACTGGAGCAGCCAGGTAGAACTTGGAGGCTTCTAACACAGTAGATTACAAAGGAAAAGCTTTTGAGAGAAGGGTCTGTCATTTGGAAATGACAAAATAGACTTAGTTCCAGGGTCTGGGGCCACATGTACATTTGCAGTCAGCTGCCTAGGAGCCTCCTGGGGACCACCATCCAACCCACGCCAGAGCCCAGAATGAAGTCCTGATGGAGTTCAAGCCCATACCTTATGGGGCCATTCTGAGGACACAGTGGTTCCATAGTGACATTATCAAAAATATCTGGAACTGGTGGTCAGGAGTCACTCAGTGAGGGAGCTAAACAAGTACCACCATCAAGTGTATCTTCTCTAAGCTCCAGACTTATGGAAAAGTAAGGTGGTGTCTTGACTACTTTGTGTGAGAAGGTGCTGTCAGAGAGCAGGAGATTCTCCTCAGAGTGTTTTGACTAGACAAGCTCTTTTCTTTTGAGACAGGGTCTCGCTTTGTTACCCAGGCTGGAGTGCAGTGGTGCAATCACATTTAACTGCAGCCTCAAACTCCCTGGGCTCAGATGATCCTCCCACCTCAGCCTTCTGAGTAGCTGGGACCACAGGCGAGCACCATCATGCCAGACTAATTTTTGTATCTTTTTTGTAGAGACAAGGTTTTGCCATGTTGTCCAGGCTGGTCTTGAACTCCTGGGCTCAAGCGATCCACCCATCTTGGCCTCCCAGAGTGCTTGGATTATAGGCGTGAGCCACCATGCCCAGCCAGCAAGAGCGCTTGGCTCCTGGTACAGACTCCCTGCTCAGTGGAGCTCTGGGTTCTGGTGTTCCTTGGATTAAATGACTCTTAGTTCCGGTATCTGGAAAAGGGGCCTCATGTACCTTTGAGAGCTGCTTCAAGTCTTGTCGCCTGGCCTGATCTCTCCAACCCTAGTTTTTGGGGCTTCTGGCTGAAAGACCTTCTTCAGCATTAGTAAACCAGTTTTTCTGTCTATCCATGCATATGTTCACTCACTCACTTGAACAAATAATAAATTGAGTGCATTCCAAGGCTGCTGGGAATATAACCTGCAGACATTGTCCCTGCCATCCAGGTGTCTAGTGTGTAGTCAGGGAGAGGAGCCAGTGTATAAACAGACACATTACAGCCCAACACAATGTGACCTCTCATCCACGATGATTCTAGGACTTCCCTTGTAAGGAATCCTGCCCAAACTGGAGTGTCTGTTCCTCAAGTCTTAGAAAAACAAGAATTTGTACCCTCCTTTCTTTTTATCCTCGATGCAGAATTTACTGAGATTTTATTTGTGGCCTACAAACTTAATGGAGCCTAGTACTTTTCTTCCTGGATTGAAACCGTTAACAATGTCAAGAGCTCTTAGCAGATACAGCTCTACATGTGTAGCAAAGTGTGATTCACATTCTAGTCTTCACATAACTTACTGATGACTTAAATTACGTGGAAGCATACAATATCATGCTAGGTGCTATGAAGGCATTAAGGAGTTTATAATTAGGAAGATAAATTCATATGTGAATTCAAAAAAATAACAATGCAAGCCAGGTGGAGGGTAAATGCTGGAGTGTCTAGAATAGCTAATAAGATGGGTGGACGATATGTCCAGTGACTGAATATGGAACACCAGAGGCAGGGATGAGCAAGCTCTGTTTGGACATGTGGACTTGGATGTGTCTCAACGATGTGTGGTCCAGAGGGCTGGTGGCTCCCTGGGTCTGGAGCTCAGGAGTGTTCTGTGCTGTAGATCTAGATTTAGGAATTGTGGCATGTAGGTAGCCATGGTGGTCCAGGAAGTGTGCGAGACTGATAACTATTTCTTTGCTCTTTGGTTTGGGAACCAGTCCCTACCTCCATGTTTTCTCTCACTCCACCAGGCTGATCGTCCCCCATCTGCTTCCTAGGTTCCTCTTCCTCTCCCTGGACCATGCATTTAGAGCTTCCTCAGCAGGTTCTTTCTACACATGTTAAAGTCAATGAACCATAATCTGATTAGAAATTTTAAAGAGTCCATAAAGTCTTTCATTGATGGCAAGTTAATCAAGTGTTGCTTTTATTGGTTTGGCATACATAGGAAGTAATGAATGCCATGTATAGCTATGTAGGAGCACTCAGCTGTTGGGGAGTGATCCATGCATACGTAATAGGGAACTCTTTCTTGGTTTTCCCACAAAACCCCACTTTCTCTTACTATCAACTGCTGAAAAAAAGTATCCTTTTGCTAGAACTTTCCATATTGTTTTGCTTGTTTGTTTGTTTGAGACAAGAGTCTCTGTCACCTAGGCTAGAGTGCAGTGGCATGACCTCAGCTCACTGCCACCTCCACCTTCTGGGTTCAAGCGAGCACCTCCAGCTAATCTTTGTATTTTTAGTATAGTTGGGGTTTCACCATGTTGGCCAGGCTGGTCTCGAACTCCTTACCTCAGGTGATCTGCCCACCTTGGCCTCCCAAAGTGCTGGGATTACAGGCGTGAGCCACTGTACCCAGACTCCATATTGTATTTTAGACTGACATTTTTGTTCTTTCCACCTGATGATTTTTTGCAAAATAATATAATGAAGGAGTAAGGCATGCTGTTCTTTCAGCCCAATGAGTCTCTATTTTTTTGTTTCATTTTTTAGTAATTAATAGATTTAAGTATTTAATGCATCTGTTCTTAGCTTCTAAGCACATCTTTAAGATCGATGGCATGAACTTCCAAGAACAAAGGGTTTAAATATTAATAGGATTGGGAATCAGCTGTTTTGTATGAGTATTTTAGAATTTCCCAAAGCTCCAGTGAACCCTAAAGAATTCAGCCTCCTTATCTTTAGAGATTTAGGTTATTTTGGGTCTTTCCAGGAGCAAGTTGTTTCTACCTGAGGAGTAGACAAAGGACAAATGAAAGGTCCTGAGGCCTCCTAGAGGCAGATGTAGATTTTCAAGTATCTCAAAGTTCTATCAAATTCGTATGATCTTTTTCTCATTTGCCTTTAGCTCAGCAGAGCGTGGTGCTGGTGGAGCTCAGTCGCGGCCTTGTTTTGGTGCTGGTTGATTCACATGTGCCCTTGGTCTCATGTACAGACATGACCTGACTAGAAGTCACTCAGTAACTGGCTGGACCAGGATGAGAGAAGCCAGTTCTTAGTTCCCAAGCATCCTCCTCTCCCACTGTCCCACAAGTGATACACACCTGCAGTCACAGGTGGATTTAAGGAACCTGAGAGAGAAATCGGGGTATCTCTTCCACTGAGATGAATTATGCAGCATCTACATCCCCTCAACACAGACTTGTAATCAGGGAGAAAAATTTGTCTGGGTAGGGAGCCTTGAAAATTGGTGGTAGAACTTGGAGAGTTTAGGATGGCTCTAGGGCTCAAGAGAGAGATGGTGGTATGAGGAAGGAACTCTAAGGACATTGAGAAGGGTGTGGTGTCTGATGGATTTCATGTTAGTCTTTTCTATCTCTACTTACTTTTCCTTTAAAATTTTCTAAAATGTAGTATCTTTATGACAGGAGAGAGAACTAGTTCTTCTATATTCTTCTATATGCACTGAGAAATTTTTTTTTTTTTTTTTTAGACAGGGTCTAGATCTATCATGCAGGCTGGAGTGTAGTGGTGTGAACACGGCTCACTGCAGTCCTGACCTCCTTATCTCAAGCAATCATCCCATCTCAGCTTCTCAAGTAGCTGGGACTAGAGGTGTGCACCACCACACCTGGCTAATTAAAAAAAAAATTTCATGTGTGGAGATGGGGGTCTCACTGTTGCCCAGGATGGTCTTTTAATTCCTGAGCTCAAGTGATCCTCCTGCTTTGATCTTTCAAAGTGCTGTGATTGTAGGTGTGAGCCATTGCACCCAATGAAATAAGCCATTTCTTATTTGGCAAAGTCTGCAGATCATCTTTTATTTGAGCAATTTTGACATCCTCTCAAATTGAGTATTTCTTTAGCCAATCGGGAATCTTGGGTGTTCTGATCTCTTAGATTACAGTACATTTAAAAGAGCATACAGTCTAAACACAATAAAGCCCGATTACAGAGTGTCTTGTTCATACATTTACATCCTACTGTGTCCGGAATTGGTGGGTTCTTGATCTCACTGACTTCAAGAATGAAGCCGTGGACCCTCACGCTGAGTGTTACAGCTCTTAAGGTGACGCGTCTGGAGTTTGTTCCTTCTGATGTTTGGATGTGTTCGGAGTTTCTTCTTTCTGGTGGGTTCGTGGTCTCACCGGCTCAGGAGTGAAACTGCAGACCTTCCCAGTGTTACAGCTCATAAAGGCAGTGTGGACCCAAAGAGTGAGCAGCAGCAGGATTTATTGCAAAGAGTGAAAGAACAAACCTTCCACAGTGTGGAAGGGGACTCCAGCAGGTTACCACTGCTGGCTCAGGCAGCCTGCTTTTATTCTCTTATCTGGCCCCACCCACATCCTGCTGATTGGTAGAGCCCAGTGGTCTGTTTTGACAGGGCGCTGATTGGTGCGTTTACAATCCCTGAGCTAGACACAAAAGTTTTCCACGTCCCCACCAGATTAGCTAGATACAGAGTGTCCACACAAAGGTTCTCCAAGTCGCCGCCAGAGTAGCTAGATACAGAGTGTCAATTGGTGCGTTCACAAACCCTGAGCTAGACATAGGGTGCTGATTGGTGTGTTTACAAACCTTGAGCTAGATACAGAGTGCCAATTGGTGTATTTACAATCCCTGAGCTAGACATTAAGGTTCTGCAAGGCCCCACCAGAGTAGCTAGATACAGAGTGTCAATTGGTGCATTCACAAACCCTGAGCTAGACACAGGGTGCTGATTGGTGTGTTTACAAACCTTGAGCTAGATACAGAGTGCCGATTGGTGTATTTACAATTCCTGAGCTAGACATAAAGGTTCTCCACGTCCCCACCAGATTCAGGAGCCCAGCTGGCTTCACCCAGTGGATCCCGCACTGGGGCTGCAGGTGGAGCTGCCTGCCAGTCCCGTGCCATGCGCCCGCACTCCTCAGCCCTT
The DNA here is from genome assembly GCF_000001405.40 of Homo sapiens. NCBI lineage: Eukaryota > Metazoa > Chordata > Mammalia > Primates > Hominidae > Homo > Homo sapiens. Next base: position 45,917,686 of record NC_000002.12, read on the forward strand.
GGGTGGTCGATGGGACTGGGCGCCGTGGAGCAGGGGGCGGCGCTCGTCGGGGAGGCTCCGGCCGCACGGGAGCTCACGGTCGGGGGTGGGAGGCTCAGGCATGGTGGGCTGCAGGTCCCGAGCCCTGCCCCGCGGGAAGGCAGCTAAGGCCCGGCGAGAAATCGAGCGCAGCGCCCGTGGGCCGGCACTGCTGGGGGACCCAGTACACCCTCCGCAGCCGCTGGCCCGGTGCTAAGCCCCTCATTGCCCAGGGCTGGCAGGGCCGGCGGCCGGCTGCTCCGAGTGCGGGGCCCGCCAAGCCCACGCCCACCCGGAACTCTAGCTGGCCCGCTAGCGCCGCGCGCAGCCCCGGTTCCCGCTGGCGCCTCTCCCTCCACACCTCCCTGCAACCTGAGGGAGCCGGCTCCGGCCTTGGCCAGCCCAGAAAGGGGCTCCCAGAGTGCAGTGGTGGGCTGAAGGGCTCCTCAAATGCCGCCAGAGTGGGAGCCCAGGCAGAGGAGGCACCGAGAGCGAGCGAGGGCTGTGAGGACTGCCAGCACGCTGTCACCTCTCGCTACTGCAGGTAAAATCTCATGTGCTGGCTGTGGAAGGGGCAGGTGGAGCCTTTCGTTCCCCAGCAAGGGTGGGGACTGTGTAATGTAGGCTTTAGCTTTCTCTTGTCTAGTCTGTGGCACAGCTTTAACTTTTTTTCCCAAAATTGTAACTCATTTATTTTTAGTTAAACTCTGGTCATTGTACCAAACAATTTTATCAACAATACATATTTAAGATTCAGCCTCTATTCAACTAGCATTTTGCAAGGACTGTGGAGGAGAACAGGGCCAGAACAGAAAAGGGTTCGGACAATAAATGCAATTGGAGGAGGAAAAAATAATAACCACATAAACCATTTTTCGGTTTCTATAGTTACTTTAAAACCCGATGATTCAAATTCAACCCAAATCTCTGAAGCTTTATGGTTGTATATAGTAAACCAATCTGTCCACCAGCTGGAAACTAAAGGCACATGTAGGAATGACTTTTCATGGGCCAGAGTCCTCTGCAGTGGGCCTGGGGCTGAGGCACCGCAGGGCTGAGGTTGGCGAGGGGGGGAATGGGAAGGGAGGGGAGAAGTGCAGGTCTTCAGAGCATATCCTACTAGTTTGTATTTTGCAGAAGCCCAAAGGACAGGCCGTATTATTGAATGTTGCAGAGGTTGGAGGGTCTCACAGCTCCTTTCACCATCTAAGCTGTGTTCATTCCCCTTTGCTGTCACACACCCCTCCTCTTCAGGGAGAGCTGGCATGATATGGCAGTGGCCAGGGTATGCCAGCTGGGATGGACAGCCACCTGGAGAGGGTGTCAGAACAGTTAGGCTGGAGGCCAGCCCACGTGGGCTGGATAAGCTGCATGTAAATCAAGGTTGTTATATGGAAACAGCTGGTTCCACTTGAATTTAATTGAAAACAAGACATCAGGGGTAGGGAGATGAGTAGGGGTTGTGGGGTAGACAGAGGGGAAAAGAGCTGATGAATTGGGCTCTTGGGCTGATGCCGTACGGACAACCTGTCAAGGGAAAGAACACAGCCAGTGAGTGAGGATCACTGTGGAGCTTGGAAACCAGGTGTGGGAAGGCTGGGCTGGGCCGTGGACTCTGCAGGCTTGGAGACGGACACCTGCTTCCTTTCCAAAACATGTGATCTCTAAATTACTTGGCTAGAGAAACCACAGGAAAGCCAGCGTAGGCAGTGGTATTTGCCTTCTGCCCTCTGGCCTCTCTTATTTGCTGCCTTTCCACTGAAGTGTGTTTATGCCTTGTCTTGGGGTTGAATTTGGGGAACTTCCTCCTGCACCCCTCTTCCAGTGTGAACTGGCCTCCAAGGGAGGGCCACGGCACATTCTGTGCTGTTTGGCTCACATTTAGAGAACACCAATAGGATCAGGGGCGGGGAAGGCCACCAGGAGACAAAGGCCTCTGAAGAGGACATCCCAACAGATCGTGGATCATTGTCATGAATTCCCCCCAACCTTTTCTTGGAAAATCTAGGCCTTCTTTGGCTCTAGGGCTGGGGCTAGAGAAAAACACAGGAAATAACCTACAGGCATGTACCATGGCATGTGTGGAGTCCCTTCTGCTGAGTGAAAGCAGAAGGAAATAAACATCAGAACCTCCCCAAAGGGGAAAATACATGTGCAGGACATTCTCATGGCTCAGGCGAACACTAGTGCCAGTGTTCACTAGGTGTGGAAAAGGGTGCGTGAGTGGGTGAAGGCAGACACTGGGACAGTGGGAGAGGAGGAGGCTTGAGACCTGAGAACTGGCTTCTTTCATCCTGGCCCTGCCAGTTACTGAGTAACTGCTACTCAGGCCATGTCTGTACATGTATTTGTGGCCCCAGCCGGTTCAGACACACCCATCACCCTAGATCTCCAGAACTAGTAGCCCCACTGATAGGAACAACTCTTCAATGTTTAGGCAGTCTGAATAATCTCTCAATCAAACTCCTGTTTGATAAGAGAAAAATGTATCTTAAGGTCTAATGGAGGAAAACAAAGTGACATCAGCTTGAGGATAAACTTTGGAGGATGATGGAGTGCACACTGAGGCCTCAGCTTGGGGCTTTCTAACTGCCCACTCAGTAACCCAATACAGGACTATAAAATGGTGCAGACGCTTTGGAAGACTCTCTGACAGTTCTTCAAACGATTAAACGTGGTTGCCATATAACCCAGCAGTTCCACTCCTAGGTATGATCCCAATAGGAATGAAAACACAGAGACCTGTGCATGCATATTCATAGCAGTGTTATTCATAATAGCCAAAAAGCAGAAGCAACCCAAATGCCGTCAACTGCTGAATGGATAAATAAAATGTGAAATATCCATGGTTGAGCCATAAAAAGGAATGAAGCACTGACATGGATGACCCTTGATGATATTAAGCTAAGTCACCAATGTCAGATTCAAAAGACCACATATTGTATGATTGCACTCATATGAAATGTCCAGAACAGGGAAATCCATGGAGACAGAAAGTAGACTTGTGGTTGCACAGGGCTGGGGGTGGGGAATTGGAGAACAGGGGGTGGTCGCTAAAGAATAAGGAGTTACTTTTTGAGGTGATGAAAATGTTCTAAAACTGATGGTTTAGTACATATCTCTGAATATACTAAAACAATTGAGTTGTACACTTTACATGGGTGAATTTATGGTGTGGGATTTATCTCAAAGCTGTTTTTAAAGAAAGTCAACCAAATAATTGTTGTCCTACCCCCATACACATGCCTGTTGCTCCCCCATTTTCATAAAGCAAGCAGGCTCTCAGCTCATCCCTACATCGGTGAGCTGAAGCCATCAGAAGAGAGAGTAGCTCCCTCTGAGGACTCAAGGAAGTCTGGAAATGTCCCCTGCCCTAAAATGTTTATGAAATATTTTCACAAAATCGAAATAAACTGCTTAGGCACTGGTCTTCAATGAACTGAAGGAGACTGAAGAATAAGGGCCACATAAAGGTATCAGGGAGGTAGTCTTTTACACAGCCAAGCCCCTCGTAGAATTCCTAAAGTTCTTGGGAAGAGGAGACTTGTCCAGAGAAAAAGGCGTGTGGAGTTGGAACTGCCAGAATTCCTATAGCCTTTGAGGGAGATGGTGGCCAAAGATGATAGGAAATATAAATTGTTGTAAAAAAAACACATACGTAGATATAGTTAGCAGAGCCCTCTTAAAAGATGGGAGAAAATAACAATAGTTTACCTTTCATGAGCACTTGCGTGCCAGCTACTCTTTCTTAAGTTTTGCATGTATTAGCTTATTTGTTCCTCACAATGACCCAACAAGTTATGTACTATTATTGGCCCCATTTTCTAGCTTAGAAAGCTCAGTTACAGAGTCACTGGGTCACATGCTCAAGGTCCTAGCTGGTAAGTGGTAGAGCTGGGTAAACTGACAGGGTGACCAGAGCTCCAAGTCACTCCTTTCTGGCTGTGAGTGGCTGCTTCTGGTTGCTCCAGTGTTCTGATCTACCATGAGTTTTCCATGTGCCATTATACAACAAAGGCAAGGGAGGCTGGGTTGTGGCCCTTCTGCGAGACCTTTGAGGGGAGGAGTGTCATTTTGCTATTTCTTCCTGGTGTGATGCCTGCTGTCATACAGAAAGGACTCAATACATGTTTACTGCTTTAGAATGAATTAAGTTGGATGGATAATAAATGGAGGCAGTCAACTGATTTCTATATTGTTTTTGATATTTGGTTTAGTAGTGGAGATAGGATTATATTATCAATATATATCACATGTTCCCTCATATAGGGAAAATGAACTAAGGCTCAAATGAGATTACAGGTGGGCAGGCACTCTGAGATCACAAAAACAAGCCCTTTCTGCATAGGGGAATTCTTCCTCTATGGGACTATTTTCTTAAGGGCATCACTTGGTGTGAATGTGGTTCCTAATGAGCTGATACTCCTCTAGGAGGTCAAGTTGAAAGATCAAGTTGAAAGATAGTATGAGAGTGTCTCTGTTGACATTGGTTTGAGGTTATCTCTGACACTGGGGGATTGCTGTAGCCTGAGCTTTGTAAAATTCCATTAAATGGTAGTTTTACAAATTGCCATTAGCTTTCCTATCATATGCAGTGCTTAATGGAAAAGAGCTGGACTAGAGGCCCCAAAACTCTTTATACTGGCTGAGCTGCTAACCCACCAAGTGTTGTCTCCAAAGTCAAGCCCCCTTATACCCTCAGGGGGCAAAACATCTAGAGTTGGGGGACACAGGAGTCAGAAGCAACTGCTTCAGAGTTTCCATGGAGGGGGTCAACTGCCCTCCCTGGAATTGTAACCTGTGCCTCATTTTGAATTCTTCCTTTAACTTTTGGATGACCCGCCACCTGCTCTCTTCCTACTATCTTCATTAAACCCTTCCCCCCAGGCTGTCTCCACCCCAAGCCCATGTGGGCCCAATCTCTGCCCAGCAGCAACTGCCTGGGGTGCCGTCAGCTCAAGCTGCACTTACCATGAGGCAAGAGCAGCTCTTTAATAGAGACGTGTGAGCTGATCCTCTGGCTCGTGTTGCTAAGCAGCTGGCTTTTGGTTGCCTGGAGATTATCATGGAGTTGAGACCACACAGTGCAAACGGGTGTATCTTCCAGTGCTGGGATGTGCTTAAACGCCTAAGAACCATCACACCTTTCTCTTGCAGCTCTGATTTTATGTTAAATCCCTGTAACTTGAGGGTACATCCTTCACATATTAGTCATTGGAAATAATAAATGCACAAAAGATCATGTTTCGATATCCCTGGCTTTACAGGGCTTGACGATTATTTCCTCAAGATATAAGAGGAGAGAAAATACCACACACCTTCTGTAGAGCCAAATAAAGGAAAGAAACAGATACTGAACCCTTGTGCTTATAACAGAGGACAGGAAGACAGCACTTCTGAATTTTCCTTGGCGTGACTGTGTATCTGCATGGGGAGAAATAGAGGAGTAGGCCTTGCTGAGTGGAGAGCATTTCAGAAAGTTCTGATAGGAAGGACTATGGCACTAAAAGTCTTCTAGAAAATACAGAAATTGTAAGTCCCTGGGTCCCTGGTATTGTGACACATATACCTCTTCTTGAGTTTTGACAGCTTTCAGATAGGAGATGGGAGTGTGGAGTATGTAACCAGGCATTCTGCTAACAAGCGTTTGTGTGCCCAGAGCAGTGGCCATGTGGAGAAGCCATCAGCCAACTGCCTGAGGCTCACAGGGTAGGGTCTGAATTTCTTCCTACAAGGAAGAAATGCCAAGTGCGGTCAATAGTATGTATGACTTTGGCCTGAAATTGCCATTTGGAGACCAGCTTTGGAGGTAGAGCAGAGTCCAGGGACATCTCTAGTTTCTGTCAACCAGCCAGGTGTGTTTATCACCTCAGCTGTGCCCTCAGCCCTGTCTTAGGTGCTGCGGTGGATATAGAAGTCTAAGACACAAAGACACCCGTGAAGCAATGTGTGCAGGTTTGTGATTAAGTGCTGACTTGTGCAGCACAGACTTTGTGGTATAGGAGGGCAGAGCAGGGAACCATCCCTCAAGTTCAGGGGGTTGGGAAGGCTCCCTGGGGAGGGGGCTGGGATCACCTTGGAGGGTGGCTTTCTAGGAGCAGAGGGAAGGAGGGAGGAAACTCGAGCCAGGGAGAGCATGGAAAGCAAAGGTGAGGTGGTTGGAGTGATCTTGCCTTGTAATAGGAATGTGGAGAAACCACACTGGCCAGAGTGGAATGTTCTTGGGCGCAGCAGGAAGAAAGGTTGTTATTGGAAGTTTTGAGGAGAGAGGTGTACATTAATCGACATTTAACATGAGTTTGTTGTGTCCCTGGGCTCCTTGGAGATATTGAGAGGTGGAGAGGAGAAAAGAGCACTCCCTCCACAGGCCTTGATTTGCAGTCAACAAATGGACCCAACCCCTTTTCCCATCTTCTCCTGTGCCTTAAACCGTCAGGGACTTTCATGGGAACCTTTCCTTATGGGTGGGGAATGAGCAATGGAATTGGCTGTTCGTTCCTGTCCTGGCCATTTAGTTGCTGAGTAATTTGTTTTTTGATCTTTATAAGAATGGGAAAGAGACGTATTTTTGTTTGGGGAGAGGTATAACAAATATGTCCACTGCCAGGGAAATAAATCCTTGCGCCAATTTTGAGGCTTTCTTTACTGGGTAGACCAGTTGTTTTTGAATAGGAAAATGAAGGATGGAGGCAGAGGAGATGTTAAGGAAACAATGATTGTTGGGATGGGTGGAAAGGAAGCATTCTTCACTGTATGTTTGTGTTCTATGGAGGCAGGATAACAGAGAGGCTGGGAGTGCGGGCTCCCATGCCAGACTGAATCCAGACTCTGCCACTTCCTAGCAGTGGACCTTTAGGCTGGTTGTTTAACTCACCAGGAAAAATGACAGGACTCACTTCCCTACCCCATCAGGTTTTGTGATGGTTGAAAGGGGGTTACCACACATAAACATATGAAAAAGCACTTGGCAAATAATCTTCTTTCAGTAAGTGTTAGAGATGCTGCTGTTACATTACTGGCCTACACAGTGCTGAGAAAAAATATGTCTTTTCGTCTATACTTAGTGGCAGCAAAGAGTTGCATGGAAATTAATTCATGGGAGAAGTGAGGCTGAATGCAGGACTTGGATTGAGGGCAGAAACAATGGAAGGCATAGGTCAGTTACCAAAGCCAGGCCTGGGCTTGCAGGAAACAGCAGAGCTCTGAGTTCCTTGGTGCTCATCAGTGAGCAGGGACATGGACAGCTCTGAGTGCAGGGGACCAGCCTGCAGACATCAAGGGCTGCACAGCCAGAGTTCTTAATAGGTTCAGTGAGGGGAAACTGAGGTACCCTGGGCTGGGCAGGGTGTTTTAAAGGTATCCACTGTGGACATGGGTAGGCTTGCTAAGGTCTTAAAGTAGAAACAGAACTATCTGAAGCTTGATACTGGGCAGCCAGGACATGAGAACTGTTCTTGAGGATGTCCAGTTTCTCATTTCCAAGACTCGTACTAAGGGAGAGGGTGTTCCCCTTTCCTTTCCTAAAGGCCCTGTGGACAAGCATATTATCCTGATAACTCATTTCCCCTTTTCTCTCTAAGCATGCTGTATTTTTTATTTATTTATTTATTTTTGAGACAGTTTGCTCTTGTCACCCAGGATGGATTGCGATGGCATGATCTTGGCTCCCTGCAAACTCCACCTCCCAGATTCAAGCGATTCTCCTGCCTCAGCCTCCCGAGTAGCTGGGATTACAGGCACCACCACCACGCCCAGCTAACTTTTGTATCTTTAGTGGAGATGGGGTTTCACCATGTTGGCCAGGGTGGTCTCGAACTCCTGACCTCAGGTGATCCACCCGCCTCGGCCTCCCAAAGTGCTAGGATTACAGGCGTGAACCACCGCGCCCGGCCAAGCATGCTGCATTTTAATCATCAATTAGCATCAGTAAACATTTACTGTGTACCTAGGATACATCCATCCGAGTAGTGAACCCAAGGGAGAATTCTAGAGCATAAGCTCGGGGAGCTCACAAGCTGGCCAAGGATCACCTAGACTGAGCTGACTTCTATTAGGACTCTTCTAAGACCTGTGATGTTGATGACAGAAGGCTGCTTTCAATCATCGTGGGCTGGGCAAACTCTGGCAGGCTTCCAGCAACAGTGGGACTTGAGCTAGGACTCAAAGGTTTTGCATAAGCAGATAAAATATTGGGGTAGTCATTCCTGGCCCAGGCCAGGGATAACCTGAGGGTGCGATTCGGTGGGGGAGGCAAGGCTAACTTCAGTGGGTAGAATCAGGTTGGGAGAATTCAGTGGGGCTGAATATTCGAAGCCTCAGTGCCACCCACTTTGGCTTGGGAATTTCTAGAATATTGTGCCAGTTTTTTTCTACATCCCAGGAAATGGGGGACTTGCATCTCACAGACTTGTGAAGTATAAATAACTCAAATGTTGAGAAATGACAAAGTTGGCAAGCATGAATTTTCGGCCTGCTGCTCAGCGGCTGACTGCTGAGGCCTGCAATGATATGCAAGGGAACTTGGCTGGCTAATTTTGAATTTTCCTTTCTCCAGGGCCATGGCAAGAGGAATATGGGCAGAGGGGGGAATCAGTGCTTTGTTTCAGGGCAACTGCCATACATAACCACTGTCTTCAAATAAAAGCCTTTCACAAGTAGGTTTCCATTACACAGCAAGTCGAGGAGGAGCTGGTGAAATCAGTGAGTTAGGTGAGTCCCCCCCATCCTCAGGATCTTTTGTTATGGTGGTGGTGGTAATGGCGGTGATAGTGGTGATAAAGAGGAGGGGATGTTGCCCTTAACGTAGTACTGGCATATTACATAGCTCTTCCATACAGGTCATCTTATTTGATCCTAAAGCAAAACTGTGAGGTAGGCAGAGTATTCTCTCCAGTTGAAAGTCGGAGGCTGAGAAGGATTTGTAAGCCAGTGCTTTCTTTTTTTGTTTTGGTCATTACTAAATTACTGTGTTTCTTATTAACGAACATTTTGTGACATGGACAGCCGTGGCTAGAAGCATTCAGACAGAGGGGCTCCTGTGGGCCAGAGGCACCAAAAACGATTTCTGGAAATAGAATTTGAGCTTAGAGGTTTGGGCTGAAAAGTAGGACACAGGATAGTAGAAGTATAGAATGTGTGGTGTGTGCATGTGTGAGTGTGCACAAGACACAGGATGGTGAGAAGTATAGAATGTGTATATGAACATGTGTGAGTGTGGATAGGACACAGAATGGTGAGAAGTATAGAACCTGTATATGTGCATGTGTGAGCGTGCATGGGACACAGGATGGTGAGCACTATAGAATGTGTATACATGAACGTGTGAGTGTGCATGGGACACAGGATGGTGAGAATTATAGAATGTGCATATGTGCACATGTGAGCGTGCATGGGACAAGGATGGTGAGAAGTATAGAATGTGTATATGTGCATGCATGAGTGTGCACGGGACACAGGATGGTAAGAAGTATAGAATGTGTATAGTCCATGTGTGAGTGTGCATGGGGGGGGTGTTGTCAGAGAAGAGGGAGGTGAAATTGTAAAGATATAATTTGTGAATTAACAAATGTAGTTGGATTTTTGTGGTATTGGAACCTAGAGAAGGGAAGGAGACGAGTATTCATTGACATGCCTCAATGTGCCAGGCTCTGTGCTAAGCACTTTTATGTATATCATCTAATTTAATCATTGCAATCTTCCTATGAAGCAGGTATTATCTCCATTTTTGCAGCTGATAACTGATGTATAAACAGAAGAGGTACCTCCCTCCAGGTCTCATAGTAAAGCCACAGGCATCCAGGTCTGCCTGAGTCCAAGGGCCATAACTGCCTACCGTGCCCCAGGACCAAACCTCTGGGCCAGTCTGTACTGCTGATCCAGAGATTATGCAGCCTGGCATATTATTTGATTCTGCAGCCCAGGCTAAGGAGCATTAGAGAAAGGGAGGATTTCATCTCCAGAACTGTAAATCAGCAGGAAGTAAAATCTCTCGCATAGAGGCTGATACTCTCTCCTGCAGTGGATTTGAATATTTGTTTTCCCATTAAATAGATAAACACATAATTGCTAGCAGCTGATGTGTGCTGAGAAAAAAAAATACATCTTTATTTTTCCTTAGCTCTAGAAGAACTTTTCCACAGTGATTTCAAATAGTCTTTGAGATACCCAAGGCTTCGTGTAGATGTATGCCTTCCTAAGTGACTGTAGCCTTCACTCACGGAGGCAGGAGAGGGTGGGGGGGCCTGGGTGGTACTGGAGGACCCCAATGTACATAGACTTATCTTTGATGAGCCCAGGGCCGAGGAAGAGTATCTGGCTATTGTTTGTTCTTTTGGGCTCTAAGATAGTACCCCTAGCACTAAACTCCTTGACTTCAAGGATTCCCTTTCACCTCCCTCCAAGCTTTCCTAGGCTGTAGTTCTGTAAGAAACTGCTTCTAGTTGTTCTGTGTTGTGATCTATGGGAAGAGGTGGCTGAGTCCCAGTGACCTCTACAAATTTTGCTTGTGGTGTGTGACCATGGGTATAGTTCAGACTCAAAGCTATAATGCTTTACATTTGAATATAACTTTATACTTCTTTTTGAGATAGAATCTCCCTCTGTTCCCCAGGCTGGAGTGCAGTGGTGCCATCTCAACTCACTGCAACCTCCGCCTCGCGGGTTGAAGCAATTCTCATGCCTCAGCTTCCCGAGTAGCTGGGATTACAGGCACACACCACCATGCCCAGCTAATTTTTTGTATTTTTAGTAGAGATGGGGTTTCGTCATGTTGCCCAGACTGGTCTCCAACTTCTGAGCTCAGGCAATTCTGCCCGCCTCGGCTTCCCAAAGTGCTAGGATTACAGGCGTGAGCCACTGTGCCCGGCCCATAACTTTACACTTCTCTGGACGTACTGTTTCATTTTAGTCCTTCCACAACAATGTGTATAGAAGTAATGGTAGATATTTTTAACAGAAGGATGCCGAAGCGTCTTTGCTAGAATGGCAAGAATCGAGACAGAGATGAGGCTGGGACAAGCCTTCCTCAGTCCTTCTTCATGCTTTTTCCTGCCCCCCACTAATAGTGTGGATGGACTTTTTTTTTCCTAGAAAGGTCCGCAGCTCATGCATATAATGCATGCACATAATCCATGCACAACCAGAATTAGACTATTCTGCAGCTGATGGAGCACCTGGAGCCTTTTGTACCCCGAGGCTGGGAGTCTGGGGGCCCCTCTGTCAGCGCTGAGGTCCACCTGTCTGAGTTGTGCTTATTGTAGGCGGGAGCAGCCTTTTCCTATTAGCTGTGCCACAGTTCAATTTGGAATTGTGCGTTCTTTCTTCTTTCCCCTTTTAGAAGGGATGGATTTAGCCTTGGCATGCCAAATACAAACCCTCACTTCATCTCGAGAGCTCTCTTCCCATCCACCCCTCCTCTGGCAGGCTATTTACAGACTTGTCATGATCTGCTCGTCATCCTACCACGCGGGTCAATCTACCAGTGAAATGAAAGGAAAGAAAGGCCCCAAGCCAATGGATTTGGGCAGATGAGCCTTATATAACACGTGCTAAAAATATGCAGCTAATTGGAATGGAAAAGGGAAAAATGAGTTGTGCTTTAGTCTTAATCTGAGACACCAAAGAGCGATAGCGGAGCCGTTCCTCCCGGCGGAAGATGCCCATATATAAATAATTTTACTCTTGTGCGTACTCTCCATTTTGTGGCTTTTTAACCGTGTTTAATTCCCATTTATCCCCCCACGGGACTGAGTTCAGGCAGCAGAAACCGAGACTAAGGGAGCATGAAAGAAAAGATGCAGGAAACTGTTGCCCCTTCAGGGTAGAAGGAGGCAGTGTCTAGGTGGGTGGCTGGGTGTTAAGATGCTAATTAAGCTCCCACTCTTGATTTCTTCCAAAGCTAAAAACTTAGAGAACTCATATTATCAAAGGTTCTTATTGCCCTGGAAATTGGTTACCATTGGGAATTTTTGTAAGCATTGCAGGGATACTGTCTTCTTCCTGTTCCATCCCCATCTTCCCCCCACCCCCAGGACCTCATATAATTATCTCTAATCCTTCTCTTGCATCTTTCATGTGTTTCTCGTGTCTTCTTCCTGTACCTATGATATGCTCAATCCTCCCTTTTAGTGCCATATTGTGGGTGATTCATGTTTAGTGCCTGCATTTCCTGTAGAACATGAGCACCTCGAGGGCAGGGCCTTGCCCTAACCCACTGTCAAATTTCTCTAATGCCCAGCATAGTGCCTGGGCCAAGATGGCACCAAATATATGCTTATTGAGTAAATGAATCATTCAATGAATCAATGAATGGACAAACCAAAGGTCGTATATCATGGTTTTTGAAAAATATAGTGTGAGAAATGAACCCTGCTCTTATTATTCAAGTCTGATGTTGGTTTCCTTTGGCAGTCAGATGACGCCTCCATCCAGCTCAGTCACCTGATTACTGTTCTGTGCGACACCCCACAAATGAGGACATGAGAATTCTAAAGATAGCAGAAGAAGATGTCACAGACTGAATTAGAAATAGAGGAAGGCTAACTTTGGTGTTTGGAAAGCGCATGGATTAGAGTATCACAGGTTGATAAGTGATTAAGAGATGGCCTGGTACTACCTACCAGTTTAAAAATGAAGAAGGCCTAGGGAGTTCAGAAAACTTGACCAAAATTATATGATTAGCTAGTGGCAGATCCAAGAAAGTGCCTGGTGGCTCATGTTGGATGCTTAATAAATCTTACAAACATAAGGCATGTCTCCAGAATCTGGCCCTCTCCAGTCACCACTGTGCCTCCCACTGGTGGGGGAGGAAGCATTGCACATACACAGGCAACTCCAAGGAGGGCTGTGGGTGTCCACCTTCCAATTGGAATGCCTGTCCTTTGTCTGTGGAGGGCATGGCAGCTGCAGTTACTCATCATGAACTCTGCTGCCTCATGACTGGGAACAGAGCACCATCGCTTGCATGATTTATTGCACCTAGAATCCACTTAATGCCTCTGTTGTTTGTTTGACATTGCAGCCATACATTTGAGTCAGACTAAAGGGATTCCAGGTGTCAGATCAGGAAGGCTTGATGTGCAGTCCCCCTAAGAGTTGGCTTTAGGAAGTTTCGAGGAGATAAGAAGCTTGATGTGCAGTCCCCCTAAGAGTTGGCTTTAGGAAGGTTCGAGGAGATAAAAGCAGTCAGATTCTTCCTTGCTCAGGGTCAGATTGTATGCCGGGTTTAGGAGAAGGCAACTTACCCTAATGGCGTGCTGCTGTTGGGCACATAATTGTGTCCCTGATCCTTCATTTCCTCCTGTAATTTATTTCATCCTTATACCAACTCTGTAAGGTCACTACTGTCCCCATTTTCAGGTTGCAAAGCAGAGGCCAACAACATTACATGACTTGCCCAGGATCCATCATGCTTCAAAGTCTAAGCTCTTTGTTTAAGATTGCCTCTGGATTGATATTTTAGTATTTCTGTTAAGTCCTTGCACTCTGATAACACATTTAATTTATTGTTATGTAATTCTAGTATTATGGTGTATTGCTATTAAGCAAATGGTTTTGTGATTTATGACATGCCTGGCTTTGTGCTCAATGCTGTGATTTATGCTAGAGAAACCATCCCAGAGTTCCTGCTTTCAGGGAGCTTATAGTTAAGGTGAACATTCCTCAGACATTTAAATAACAAAACAAGGCTCCATGTGATTAGATGCCAGAATGAATGACATAGGTGGTAAATGCTCTAACAACACTTTCTGGTGTCATCAGTTCATTGACCTAAATTTTCCCCACTCCCTAAACAACCTCCTGATGGTAAATTACTCTAGTTGGAGCCACATGCATTCTTTTGCTTCACCGTTCCATTGGGGCTTAACTTCCCACCACTGCTGGTGTTCCAAATGTTCTATAATTGAATACTTTGTATGCAATGCTGCGTATGACTGATTCTGCCAACTTTTTCATTAAAGTAACATAGACACACAGAAAAATGCATGGCTAGTGAGTATACAGGTGACTGAATTTTTTTTTTTGAGAGAGAGTCTTGCTCTGCCACCCAGGCTGGAGTGCAGTGGCGCGATTTCGGCTCACTGCAGCCTTCGCCTCCCGGGTTGCAGCGATTCTCGTGCCTCAGCCTCCTCAATAGCTGGGACTACAGGCACCTGCTGCCACACTCAGCTAATTTTTGTATTTTTAATAGAGACAGGGTCTTACCATGAGACTGGCCAGGCCAGTCTCAAACTCCTGACCTCTGACCTCAGGTGACCCACCCGCCTCAGCCTCCCCAAGTGCTGGGATTACAGGCGTGAGCCACCACACCCGGCCACATACTGAATTTTTAAGATGCTGGGTGACCAGCATCCAGATGGAGAAAGAGAACATGGCCAGCCCCCTCCATCCTCTCTTCTGCTCACTACCCCTCACCCAACTTCTTGACTCTCAAGAACGTGGAATAGTTTTACTTGGTTTTGAACTCTACATGGATTTATACAGTGTATACTGTTGTGTCTGGTTTTTCATTCAACATTAGGTTTCTGAGATTCATCCATGTTTTTGCATGTAGTTTATTCATTTTCATTGCTGTAGACTAGTCCATTGTGGGAATATATCCGTTCTATAACTGATGGACATGCACTTGTTTCCAGTTTAGGGGTAGTATGAATAGTGCAGCTATGAACATTTTAGTTCATGTCTTCTGGTGAACAAATGTACACGCTGGCATTGAGTGCATACCTAGGAGTAGCATTGCTGAGTCATGGGTTGCAGCTGCTCAGCCTCAGTAGATACTGTCGGTGTTCCAGAATGACTGTACAAATTTACACACCCACCAACAGTCTGAGAGTTCCAGTTGCTTCACAACCCTGCCAAAACTTGGGATTATTCATCTCTTTTCCATATTTAGCTGTTCTGGTGGGTATGTTTTATTGTATCTTTTTTTGTGGTAAAATATACAAAACATTAAATTTACCATTTTAAGTGTATTGTTCAGTGGGATTTAGTGTGTTTATGTTACTGGACAACCATGACCACTATCCATCTCCAAAACCTTTTTCGTCTTTCCAAGTTGAAATTCCGTACCCACGAAACACTAACTCTCTACTCCCCCCAGCCCCGGGCAATCGTCATGCTACTTTGTCTCCATGAATTTTGACTACTCTGCATACTTCATATAAGTGGAATTGGGCAGTATTTCTTTTTATGACTGGCTTATTTCACCTAGCTCAATGTCTTCAAGGCTCATCCCATGTTGTAGCAAGTGTTAGAATTTCTTCTTAAGTCTGAATAGTATTCCATTATATCTATAATATATACCACATTCTGTTTATCCACCATTCTTTGATTTTATTCTGATTTTAATTTGCATTTCCCTGATGTCTTTGCATTGCTCTTGAGTGCCTTTTTATATGTGCATCATCTATTTGGGTATCCTCTCTTAGAAGTGCCTACACAAGTCTTTTGCCCATTTTTCTATTGGGTTGTCTGCTTTAAAAAAGATGATTTTTAGAAGGTCTTCATAGATATTGGATATGAGTCTCTGTTGAGTATATGAATTGCAAGTACCTTCTTGTCTGTGGCTTACCTTGTAGTTCCTTAAGAGGATCTTTTGATGAACAGAAGTCCCTGAGGAATGTATCAATTTATCAGTTATTTTCTTTATGGTTTGACCTTTTCGTATTCCATTCAAGAACAGGCTGCCTACCTGAATGTCTTAAGGATGTTCACCTATGACTTCTTCCAAAAGTTTTGTTTTACCTTTCACCTCATATGCCTGCTTTTTTTTTTTTTTTTTTTTTTTTTTTGAGACTGAGTCTCGCTCTGCCGCCCAGGCTGGAGTGCAGTGGCGCGATCTCGGCTCACTGCAAGCTCCACCTCCCGGGTTCACGCCATTCTCCTGCCTCAGCCTCCCGAGTAGCTGGGACTACAGGTGCCCACCACCAGGCACAGTTAATTTTTTTTTGTGTTTTTAGTGGAGACGGGGTTTCACCATATTAGCCAGGATGGTCTCGATCTCCTGACCTCGTGATCCGCCCGCCTCGGCCTCCCAAGGTGCTGGGATTACAGGCGTGAGCCACCGCACCCAGCATGCCTGCCTTTTTAACTGGGAGTGGTTATTTTGACCCTAGGGGAACTAGGCTGCTTATAGCACAATCATAAGATTTGGGCAGCACTGTAGTAAAATCATGTTAACTTGGTAACAGGGTCGGGGGACTAGTGGAAGCAAACATAAGTGCAGGTACTCCTGGCTTCAGGCATCATGTTTTTCTAAAGAGTTGCATGTGAATTTTATCCAGTGAATTTGTCCATATTATAAACACTGAGTCTGTGACTTTTCAGAGATTTCCACCAAAGTTCCAGAGGTAGTCTCCTAACTGACCTCTGCTGTCACCGACTTGCCAAATTAACTCTGTCTCCCATTCTCTCTGACACACGCTCAGGGCACACTTGAAAGCTCACAGCCATAGTGGAGCAGCTTATGCCGTACTCCCACTGTACACTTCTGTCCCCACCAGTAGTTGTGTGTTTATCAAAAGCCACTTGTATTTGTTCTTATTGTAATAAATAATTGTAATGAAATCTTATTTAAACTGAGATGAGTGTGAAAAAAAGTTTCTATTAAGACTAAGTTGAATGTGACGGAAAAAGCCAAAGATAAATTTCCTATAAAATTACTGTTGGCCAGGCATGGTCACTCATGCCTGTAATCCCAGCACTTTGGGAGGCTGAGGCGAGCAGGTCACTTGAGGTCAGGAGTTTGAGACCAGCCTGGTCAACATAGTAAAACCCCATCTCTACTAAAAATACAAAAATTAGCCAGACGTGGTGGCACATGCCTGTAATTCCAGCTACTTGGGAGGCTGAGGCGGGAAAATCACTTGAAGCCACAAGGCGGAGGCTGCAGTGAGCCGAGATCACACCACTGCAATCCAGCCTGGGTGATAAAGCGAGACTCTGCCTCAAAAAAAAAAAAAATTACTGCTAAATTGTGTGAGAAAAATAATAAAGCTCTAAAAAGATTCCAAATTCACATTACTTCACAAGTATCTTTAATTTTTGCTCCACTAGAAAGAAACCACAATTGGGCTGGGCATGGTGGCTCACACTTATAATCTGAATACTTTGGGAGGTTGAGGCAGTAGGATTGCTTGAGCCCAGGAGTCAAGACCAGCGTGGGCAACATGGAGAGACCATGTCTCTACAAAAAAAAAAAAAAAATTTAAATTAGCCAGGCATGGTGGCATGTGCCTGTAGTCCCAGCTACTTGTGAGGCTGAGGCAGGAGCATTGCTTGATCGTGGGAGGTTGAGGCTGCAGTGAGCCATGATCATACTACTGCACTCCAGCCTGGGCAGCAAAGCGAGACACTCACTCTCTCTCTCACACACACACACACACACACACACATAGAAAATGGAAATGGAAATCATAGATAATGTTTGTCTGTAAGAGATGATGAGGGGGACCATACCTTAAAGAAATTGGCCTTCTGTTATTGGCAAGTGAGTACATATATTTGTTTTTCAATATTTTCAGTTTGAATATTGTTAGTTAAAATACTTAAAGTACATACATCTTTTCTTTGCATGATTCTCTGCTTTACTGACTTTTTATTAAACAAACATTCTGCCATTCACCAAAGATAAGTGGGGCAGAAGAAAATAAACCCCCTCCTCTCAGAGCCGGCCTCAAGCTAAGAACTTTTGAAGTACTGTTTTAGCTAAAAAATATTAATACTTTAAAATTTGCATACTATACCATGTTTATAAACAAAAGTGTTTTTCTTTTCCAAGGTCTTCATATAAAATTGCAGCTTAGGGTTGGGCACGGTGGCTCACGCCTATAATCCCAGCACTTTGGGAGGCCAAGGCAGGTGGATCACTTGAGGCCAGGAGTTCCAGACTAGCCTGTCCATCATGGTGAAACCCCATCTCTACTAAAAATACAAAAATCAGCTGGGCATTGTGACGTGCCGGTAATCCCAGCTATTCAGGATGCTGAGGCAGAAGAATTGCTTGAACCCAGGAGGCAGAGGTTGCAGTGAGCCAAGATCATGCCACCGCACTCCAGCCCACACGACAAAGTGAGACTGTCTCAAAAAAAAAAAAAAAAATCGCAGCTTAGCTGAATTCTTGATAGAAGGTGGTGACTTAGATGCCTTCTCTTCTGGTTTGTCTGCTGTGTCTGTGTGCACCTGGACCCATTGTGCTCTGGAAAGCAGGCACACTGGAGTCCTGGAGTGCAGGCTGGCTGGCGCCTTGCAGTGCCTGGTGATGGCTGGGGTTTGGTCCCTGGTCTGTCCCCTGGGGTTCCCATGTCTATTGGTGAGGCAGCAGTGTGTGCTCGTAGGAGACCCTCTGTCAAGAGGCTCTGTTAGGAGCCAGCCTGCTGCCCTGCCTTTGAGGCTGATCCTTCACCCTAGGAGGGCAGGCACTGAGGGCCAGCACTCTGGTCACGCCAAGGATGCTATGGCGACCCACTGAAGAATGAGCTATTACCCTGCCCACCCCTGCCTGCTGTGCCCCCAAGCACCCCTTGGGGGTTACTCACTTGCCTTCCTGGTATCAGGTTAAGAGGTTATTAGACCTTCCATTTATTCACTCAATTCTTTTCCCTGCTCTCCTGAGTAATAGCTCAGGAACCCGTGCCCCAGCCATGCTGGGAACATGCTTAGAAAGTAAGGGGAAACCTTTGGGCCAGCACCCACGTGGTTTTGAATCACTCAAGGACAATCTGCCTAAGTCACTGGCTTGGTGGCCGTGGGCCAAGCAAGGAGTCATCCAGTAGCGCCTCTGCCCTCACTGTCCTCCTCCTCCAGGTTTCTTTACCGAGAGGAAGCCAGCGGGAGGCCCGACATCCAAAACATTGACTAGTGTGCCCCCGTGTGGCTCTGGTGGAAGGGTTTGGAAAATGCAGCCAGGTTTTCCTAACCTTACCCACCAAGGCCGGAGGATGCCCTAAGGACAGCCTGCAGCCCCTGCAGCCCTCTTTTTGCGTAATCTTTGATTTTTCTTGTTATTATTTCTTAACAGTTAAGCGCCTTAAGGCCTCATTTAACTTGAGTTAAAGAAGTGTGATTTTGGAGGACCCAAAGATTTTCCACTGGTGTAGGGAATGTCTCCTCCCGGCTCTGAGAGACTTCCTCCAATCCACAACCTACCGCAGGTATGTGTTCTTATTAAAAGGGGCAGGGACAAAAGCTCTGCCTGTCCCTCTTGTACTTTCAGGCTATAATCAATCAGCAGGCACACCTGTTCAGACTGTGACATTGAATTTCCAGGATCAGAACCAGAGCCTGGTACAGACACAAGCCTTCCAGTACTTGTATTTTAAGTTCCATAGATGCTTGGACCTTTTGTGGGCTCCTGGGACAGTGATCATGAAAGAAGAGTGCTCCCAGGGGATGAGCAAGATGATCCCCTTTGGCTGGGAAGAAAAGATTCCATGTCCATCTGGTTTTTATTACTCCTCTAAAAATGTTCCCTTTATAGTTTTATAATTGTACTTAAATAAAAATAATTGCACTTAAATAAAAAAAAATTGGGGAGATTATAGCAGAAGCTGTTGGTGTCCCGGCCATAGCTGTGTCCCTTGGTCTGCCACAGAGGTCACTCCCAGAATACACTTAGGACTCCCTGTGTCTCCTTCTGAGGGTGACCTGAGCCACGATGTTATGGGATGGAGGCTAACACCTGGTAGGCCCCACATTTTTGACAATTTGGTTTTAAGAAAACTCATAGGTATGGCCACACGTGGTGGCTCACGCCTGTAATCCCAGCACTTTGGGAGGCTCAGGCGCGCGGATCACGAGGTCAGGAGATGAAGACCATCCTGGCTAATACGGTGAAACCCCATCTCCACTAAAAATACAAAAAAAAATTAGCCAGGCCTGGTGGCGGGCACCTGTAGTCCCAGCTACTCGGGAGGCTGAGGCAGGAAAATGGTGTGAACCCAGGAGGTGGAGCTTGTAGTGAGCCGAGATCATACCACTGCACTCCAGCCTGGGTGACAAAGTGAGACTCCGTCTCAAAGAAAAAAAAAAAGAAAGAAAACTTGTAGGTATATATCATCGTTCCAACAAAAGCTGCCATTATCGAACGCCTACTGTGTACCTGGTACTTGATAATGATTACATTCTGTCACTCCAACTCTGGAAGGTAGATATTATCCTCCCCCACCCCACTTTTCTTTAAAGAGGTGAGGAAACTGAGGCTCAGCAATGACTGTGGGGATCTGGGAGCAGACTGCAGGTCTTGCTGGACCCAAGGCCCATTCGCCCTCCTTGCTGCCATGCTGGCTTCTCTACAGTGAGAGTAGCCTTTACGTTACGCACCACTAATGTCACTCAGAGGGTCCCGACCCTTCCCCTTCGGCCTCTTCTTGTTCTCCTCCCTCTGTTCCTCTTGGATTCTCAGGAGCCAGTGTTAGCCCAGAAATGAAGAATTAAAGACTGTTCACACCCACATAGAACCATCTGCTCTCTTAGCCTCAGGGCAGGGCTGATGGGGGTGGTATTTAGTCTCTTGGAGGTGGTATTTAGCCCCTTGGAGAGGTGGTGCAAATATAGAAGCTGGTGTAGATGGCTTGGCTGGAGGGGGGCTATCTGGCAATTCAATGCATCTTGTGAGTTTTGGAGAACTAGGGTGACTATATCATTTATCCTCCAAGAAAGGACACAGTTGAGAATGATAAGTGACACTATACATAATTACTCTAAGAAAACAGGCAAAATCTAGGACTATCCTTAGTGACTTGGAACCTACATCCTCCCTACCCACTCTATAGATATCCCTGCATTTTCCACCTTGTGTCTGTGATTGACCTGTTGTGTCCCTTTCAACATTTCAGCGCCCACCCCTCAAACCCCCATCAAGCCTTGCAGCAGCTATTTATTCAGTTAGCAAACTTTTCCTGGCCTCCAATTTGCATTCTTTCCTAACTTATGGGTCCCTTCTCTTTTGCCTAGATGCTGCCTTTCCCTGGCTGTTTGACCATAAACTCATGGTATCATGCCTTATTCAGCAACTCTTAGAACAAAGTAAACAAATGTGCAAGTTTGCTTAAATTGAGAAAGCTTATATTTACAAAGTCGTGCCAGTTTTCTTTCTCACTCATCTACAGTTCTCTCAAACATTGGCCCTATTCCTGATGTATTAGATTGCAAACCCCTGAGGGCAGAGGCTGGGTGTTCTCACCCAGTTACACATGGTGGGCACCTCATTCGTAACTCTTTCTAGCACATTCAGCGCTCTGCCCTCTGGAGTCTTGCGGCTGAGTCAACACTCAGGAATCCAGCGCAGTAGGCTAATTCCACGCTGGCTCTGACCTCATCCAACCCTGCTGTCCCAGTGAAATCCAGCCCACAGCACCCTGCCAGGGTGGAGGAGGTGCCGGGCTATAAATCTCCCCGTTGTTTCTTCTCCCGGAAAATATAAAACCAAAACCAAACATTATACATTATGCCCTCACTCACAGAGTCACTTGGAGGCTTCAATAAGACAAGGGATATGGGTGTGTTTCGGGAAAGAAATTTGATACAAGTGCCAAGTGCTGTTATTGAAGACCTTAGGCATTTATTTTGGTAGCACCCCAATAGTGACAAGAGATGGGCTTGTCTAAAGCCAGCACTGCCACCTTCCCCTGTGTTCACCACTTCATTCCCTGATGTCTTACTGTCAGGCAGTTGGGCCTTGGAGCTGCCCTTCCTTCCGCATGTTGCTCTTTCATCATTTCATACCGTATTCTCCTGTAGAGTAGCATCTGGGCACCTTCCTTTGTCGAGGTTACTAAGACTTTCAAAGAGACATTTCAACCCCAAGTCACTAAGAGAAAATGTAATGCAGCAAGTGATTCCAATGGCAGTTAGTTAATGCACTTTTTTTTTTTTGAGAAGGCGTCTCACTCTATCGCTAGGCTGGAGTGCAGTGGCGCAATCTCAGCTCACTGCAACCTCCGCCTCCTGGGTTCAAGTGATTCTCCTGCCTCAGCCTCCTAAGTAGCTGGGACTACAGGTGCGTGCCACCAGGCCCAGCTAATTTTCGTATTTTTAGTAGAGACGAGGTTTTATCATGTTGACCAGGATGGTCTTGATCTCTTGACCTCATGATCTGCCTGCCTTGGCCTCCCAAAGTGCTGGGATTACAGGCGTGAGCCACCATGCCTGGCCCGCTAATGCACTTTTAAGGCATGCTTGCTGTAAATTGTTTTGGGAGTCTGCCGTCATTTCTGAGATGTGGGTGTAACCCAGCCCCTCACCATACTGGGCTGGCAGTGAATTGCCAGCAAGTGCATTCAGAAATATGAACATTCTCCCCTGCTTCCAGTACAGCCTCAGAGAGTCTCCTTGCTTAGTTGACCTGATGTTTTAGAACTTGTCTCTGCGTCTTCCTGCCTTCTTCTTTTTTGCGCTCACTTACTGGTTCCTGAAATTGGCATCAGCAATGCAAATTGGAAGCTTCCCTCAGACCTCTTTTCCAGTTCATCACCTGACATTTGCTTCAGGTAATCTGGCACCAGTCCTCAGCAAGATGTGTGTCTAGGAGTCTGGTGAGAGGCCAGATTAGGGGTAGCTGTGGCTTCAAGGAGTGGCCTGCAAAGTGGAATTTGGACACAGTGCCCAGAGTAGGCAAGATGAGCTACTGGGATTTGGGAAACAGACCTTCCATCTGTATTCATTTTCTTACCTATGAAGCAAGAACATGATTTAGCTTTAATATTTGATGTATGGATGGCCAGAGTATGTGTTTATAATTTATATGAAAACATTTCAAAATGTTGTTGCTGGTATATGCAGTCAAAAATATTTGGAGACGTCTGGCTTAGTAGGCCCAAGTCAGTCAAAGAAATGGAAGAAGCAGAGAACACGTTAATTGGAGCAAGAAGAAGATGATGACTTGTATCCAGGGCCAGGTACATTCACTGGTCCACACATACACTCTGTTCACACAGCGCACACTCTTGCGCTCACAAGTGTTCACTCTCACGTACCGCATGCATGTCACACATGCTTTCACTCCCACACATGCTTTCAAACACATACATATACCTTTTGCTTAATAACTTACAAGAATTAAAAAGTTGATAGGCACCTGGCCGGGCGTGGTGGCTCATGCCTGTAATCCTAGCACTTTGGGAAGCCAAAGCAGGCAGATCACTTGAGGTCAGGAGTTCAAAACCAGCCTGGCCAACATGGTGAAACCCCATCTCTATTAAAAATACAAAAAAAAAAAATTAGCCAGGCATGGTGACAGGTGCCTGTAATCCCAGCTACTTGGGAGGCTGAGGCAGGAGACTCGCTTGAGCCTGGGAGGTGGAGATTGCAGTGAGCCAAGATCATGCCACTGCACTCCAGCCTGGGTGACAGAGTGAGACTTCATCCTAAAAAAAAAAAAAAAAAAAAAAGATGATAGGCACCTATTCCCTACTGAACAAATGACTTATATACTAACCGAAAGAGGGCCACATGCTCCTGGGAACTGAAAGCAATACAGTAGCCTAGTTAATCCCTTGAAGAAGCACTCATGTGGCCACTTGCTCATGGATTTAACCCATTCTAGTGGCTGAGATCAGACCCAGACCTCAAGAAGCCAGCATGTGGTGCATGTGCAGTGACCAGAGCTTAGTGATCTGGGCATTTTCTGCATGTTCAACAAATATTGGATGGACATCATTGGTATATTCATCTATAGATTAGGTGATCTGAGGGCAGGTGAGAGGAAAAGACGTGGCCTCCAGCCTTAAGAAACTTATTACTCTTTGGAATGGGAGATCATACAGACCTACATCAAACCAGGCACGGACGGATGTTTATAAAGCGTTAGACTCTGCAGCTCAGAGAAAGCAGGGCCGTGAAGGGGTGGGCTTTGAGGAAGACACAGAACTTCAACGGAACCTTGAAGAATGGGCAGTTGAATTAACAAAGGGGAGGGGAGATTCAGTCAGCACAATTCCATCTGTTGAGGGACTGAGGACCTGCTGAGCTAAAGATGCTTTTTGTAAATTGAGTGGTGCCTGGGTCACTGAGCAATTCAAGCATGCACTGGAAGAGCCTGGGAGGGACTTGAAGTTAGGGCCTAGATAACCTCTACGGTCCACTGGAGTCCCAGAGTGGTCTGATTACATGACAGCCTTCCCTGGCTAGTTCTGTCTAGGAGGTCATAGATTCATTAATTATGGGGGAGGGGGAGGTTCTTTATTGGGATAAAATACACTAGCTGGAGGAGAGTTTTACCTCTTCTACCCTGATTAAAACAGGAGAATCAAGCAAGAGGCTGCTGCAGGTAGCTGAAGTTTTTTTCTGAGTTGGCTCCATCTTTCAAAGAGCTGTCAAAGCACATGCTTAGAAACCAAACCTAATTGCTGTTATGAATTTGTTAGTTTGAAGTACGGCACCTCTGGCATGGTCCATGGAATGTGAGCACTCTTGCTTAGAGATGTATGGGAGCCAGGCTTTGAAACATTTACGTCTCATGTTGATCTGAGGCAGTTGCTATAAGACATTGATTCTAATTCTACCTGTTACATGTTGACAGGCTGAATCGTTGTGCTAGTTAAGGTCCAAAAACACCAATTAGAGAAGCGTTTCTGGCCAAAGACAATGCTTATCTGGGTGCACCCTGAAATGCCTCAAAGTTTACATGTGGGTTAGGAGAATGACATCATGTGGCTGATGACTTCCAAATTGTGCAAGTGAGAAAAAAATCATATAGGCAGTATGTTCCTCCCTGAAATCCATTGAGAGGATATAAAAGAGCAAGTCTCTTGTAAATGTTATTATAATTAATGTTGTCATATTATGTGTGACATGTCATATATGAGGAACGTGCAGCCGTTGTGATGTGAAAGGTCCCTGTGGCTCTCATGAGGGGAACAGCAGGGGATGGCGTAGGGTGTGCACTCAGTAAATTACTGTTGGTCTAATGACGAGGTCCCCGCAGGAAGGATTAGAACACGAATGGAATACAAATTCCTCTCTTTCCTGTGCTTTGTTGTGTAAGCACGCTTTGTTTTATGATTCTGCGATTAACTCTTGGAAAAAGTCACTTAATCTTCTTGAGATTCAGTTTTTTTCAACAATAAAATGAATTATAATGCATTATGTTTATTATAGTACACATGTAACTAAATGAGTATATATATCAAAATTTTCTGTAAACTTCATTTTTAATTAAACATCAGTGGAAATATGCTTACAGTAAAACATTTAACAGTAACAGTGCTTTAAAAGTATAAAAGAAAAGTTGTCCCCCCAACCTCTTATTCTCCACTCCCCAGAAGTTAGCTGCTGCTGTTCTTAATATACTTTAGAAGTGTTGCACAAATACATGTGATCATAATTCCCATTTATTTCACATAATATTTCTACTTTTATGGCATTTTGTAAATTGATGAATCATTTTAGCCAAAGAGGATGATTGTATCTCGGCGCTAGGATTCAGCTGTGAAGATTCAGGAGGCTTTAAGAGCTCATTTTAGGTAATTTTCTGCTTTTGAATATTGTAGAAAAGAAATTCCTTTGTTAAAGGACACAATTAAATATACTCCAAAGCAGACTAACATTCATTTATTCCTTTATTTAAAAAATGATTTCGCAGTCATCATGTGCAAAGCAGTTACCCAGTCTATGAAAGTTTAGAACCATAGCGTCTAAGCCAGCACATAGGAGTTGCACGTGGGTCCTATAGCTCAGAGTACATCTGCCAAAAGAGGGATAGGGCAGAGGGCCACGGAACTCACTGTGAGCCCCTCTAGCCGGGGCTTAGGAAGGTCTGCCAGGGGGCGCTAACATTTGGACTTGATCTTGCAGGTTAGTTGTAATTTAGTTTTACAAGATTAACTATTTTTCTCCCACAAAGACTCAAAATGGTTGAGGTTACACATGCCAGAAACATGCCAGAATTCCTTCTTTCCAGAGCCTTTTTTTTTCTGTCTTAAATGTTTTCCAGTTCCACTGTCTCAGAGGCCTTTGAGGAGGACACAGAATATAAAGTTCTCACCAGACGCCAGGATATAACAAATGTCAGCTAAGTTACACGTCTTAGCAGAAACCAAGCCTCCTCTCCTGCTTTCTGGGTCCCCTTTGTCAGGAGAGTTCCCAGTTTGCAGAATGCACCAGACAGCAGCAGGGGAGGCTGTGTCTGTGTTAAGTAAACAAAGGTGAATTTGGAGTGACCGCGCAGTGAAACTGCCCAGTCTAGATCATCAACGCAGGATTGTTTAAGTTGTTCAAGCTAGAAAAGGCACAGAGTGTTTGGTCCACTCACGTGGTTTTACAGTTTTGGAAACTGAGGCATTGAGCTGTGATGTGATTCGTTCAAAGGCAGATAGATGGTGGGGGCGATGGCTGAGTCAGATGTGGAAAGAATATAGGTATTATGAATCTATTCCAGGACTCAACCATGTTGGCAACCCTGCAGGGCCATTCTATGCATATTCTTGACTAGATTCATTGATCCCAAAGCCTTTTAGGCCCGAATCACTTCGTTGGTGACTCATTTCTTCCCTCCATTCTGCTTTGACTGCTGTCCATTTGCTCCATTCGGACTTTTTGATGCTCCTTTTGTTCCCCATATTGTGGGGTGCCTCAGGGTTCCAGGGCTGTAGGAAAAGCCTCAGCGTCTCTCCAGCAGCAGGCATTCCTTATGCATGAGCTCTACAGGAAATGCTGTTGAGCCAGTATAGTATCTAAGGCACAGCTCAGACTGGAGTGATGGCTATGCTGGTATACAGTTTTCAAAACTTATTGACTCGTAAACTTAAGATCTGTACGTTTTACTTTATGTAAATTCGTCCTCAATTTATTTTTATGTATTTAGTTTTTTGAGACAGGGTCTTGCTCTGTCGCCCAGGCTGGAGTACAGTGATGTGATCTCAGCTCACTGCAACCGCAGCCTCCCAGGCTCGAATGATACTCCCGCCTCAGTCTCCCAAGTAGCCGGGACTACAGGTGCGTGCCACCATACCCGGCTAATTTTTTTTTTTTTTTTTTTTTTTTTTTGTAGAGACAGGATTTTGCCATGTTGCCTAGGCTAGTCTCGAAGTCCTGGGCTCAAGCGATCCATCCACCTTGGCCTCCCAAAGTGCTGGGATTACAGGCATGAGCCACTGTGCTGGGCAATCCTCAATTTAAAAACAAAAACACAAAAACCTCAAGTGACTTCACTTATAAATCTTTGGACATTTAGGTTGGCGGATTCCCTTTGAAACCATTTTGCAAATGGATACAGAGGTGGCCCTAGGTAGAGTGGGGACACCTGTTTTTGTGCCCTCAGCCTTCCCTATCCCTGCCCTTTTCCTTTCCAGTAATGCTTCTTCCACTTCTTGTTCCTCTTTCAACTTCCCCCCTTCCTGAGCCTTCCATTGCCAAAACTTTCTCGCATTAGGCAGGGAAACGATGGCCACACCAATGCATTAAGAGTAAGATGTGTTCTGTGAGGATTTCAGTTTCAGAGGAACACCTGGGGAAGGCTGCTGTGTGAGTCCATTCTTGCCTTGCTATAAAGGAATTATTGAGGCCGGGTAATTTATAAAGAAAAGAGGTTTAATTGGCTCACAGTTCTGCAGGCTGTACAAGCATGGCACCAACATCTGCTTGGCTTCTGGTGAGGGCCTCAGGAAGCTTACGATCATGGCAGACGGTGAAGGGGAAGCCAGCATGTCACATGGCGAGAGCTGAAGCAAGAGCGGGGAGGTGTCATACTCTGTCAAACAACTGGATCTCATGTGAACTCAGAGTAAGAACTCTTGTTATCAGGACAGCCCCAAGCCATTCATGAGGGATCCGCCCTGTGACTCAAACACCTCCCACCAGGTCCCACCTCCAACATTGGGGATTACACTTCAACATCAGATTTGGAGAGGACAAACGTCGAAACTATATCAGCCAGGCTACACCACAACCACAGCCGTCACTGGTTGAGCACATGCTATGTACCAGGCACCATACTAAGTGCTTTCCATGAGCTATCACGTTCAACCCTCACAGTCCCCTGCAAGGCAGGTACTCTTATTACCCCTTCCTCAGAGAAGTTTTAAAGAGATGCTGCATAACTGTGCTCCACTGGTGGGGGGCCAGATTAGAACACAGGCATCTGGCAAAGCCAGGGCTGTCTGTCTTTATACAACCCCTTGACAGAAAAGAATGACTTGTTAATGGTGGAATGTCCTGTACTGATGGGGGAAGACCATTTGAAGGACTTCTCTATCTCCTTAAAAGACACCACATGAATGGCCACTTATCCCTATGTGTGAAGCCATGGTTGAATGGTAGTGATGATAAACCAAAAAATGGGGTGGATTCAGTGCAGTGCTCTGCATGTACAAGTTGTTTTGTGTTCATTAATGACTAGGGCTACTGTTAATAGCTCTGGACAGGATTGGTTATGAATGTGGCACATGCCCTCCCAGGGCGTAGGATGTTGGCCAGATACCAACCAAGGTGGCCAGAGTTTGCAGAACCACTTTGTAAAGGAATGAGGAGGAGCCCTGCATCCCTTAAATCCCTGCCCACAACTGGGTTCTGAGACCACAGGACTCTTGATAAGATTGTGGTGGTTTGTGAGTTATGCCCGGTCATCTATGACTAACAGTGCAGTGAGGCCATTTGGCCTATTTGCTTTTCCATTTTTTTTCTGGCTCTCTTCACTTGAATCTACTTTCCATTTAAAATTTATGATACGGTTTATAAATGACCCAAGTCAGAACCTTGGGATGTGCTGGCTCAGCTCTTCCCAGGGCTTACAGGGGAAGCAGGTACAATGGAAACATCTGTCTATTTGATGGGAGAGAATGCAAAGGCCTAGAAAACAGAACTGTCTAATCCCAAAGACATCAGCCTTCCAGCTCTTGTTCAAACAAGGTCAACGATGGTGAGAATCCCCCTGCCAGCTCATTGCCTCTAATCTTGGTGAAATCCATGCTGGTGCTCTGGGAAATAGCCAGTTATAGGAAGTTTTTGGTGGAGTTCCATGGAGGAGGAGGTGAATTAAAAGCCAGAGGAACCAGGTTGTGATAAAGGTACCAATATGACATGCTGGGTTAATAGCTCCCCTGCCTGCCCCATGGGATTTTGGTGGAAAGAAAGTATCAATAAACATGGGTGTGACCATGTTCTGGAACAGTTCAGGATGCTGCACCAGTGCAAGCCTTAGCTATCACTCCGCCTTAGAGGGGTCAACTCCTATTAACTGTGCATATGTAAAGTCTCCTTGGGTGGGCTTGCCACAGCCAGGAGCTCCAAGAACTGCTGACTGATGTCAGCAAACCCAGTAGACCTAGACTCTATGAGATATTCAGCTTCTCATCTTTCAGCACCCTCTAAAGGAATTCACATCAGAATAGGCTAGACAGAAAACTCTCTCAACCTCTCTCCATCACCTGGTGTGTTTATTGTTATTGCAAAACAGTACCACCTAAAGTGTGGTATATCTGTGCAATCGAATGTTATTCAGAAATAAAAAAGAAATGAAGTCTGAGACATGCTACAATATGGATGAACCTTAATCACTATGCTGAGTGAAAGATGCCAGTTGCAAAAGACCACATATTGTATGATTCTATTTGTGATATGTCCAAAATAGGAACATCCATAGAGATAAAGTAAATTAGTGATTGCCAGGAGCCAGGGGGTGGGGGAGAGAGGCAGGCGTGAATGAGGGATGCCTGGTAAAGGGTGTGGAACTTCTGTTTGCGGGGGATGAAAATGTTCTAAAATTGACTGTAGGGATGATTACATGACAGAATATATACAAAACCAGTGATGGTATACTTTCAACAGGTGAATTGTATAGTATGTGAATTATATCTCAAACTGTTACTTAAGACAAATTATGCAAACTAAAATAACAATATTAAAATAAAATAATACTAAAATAACCTAATAACAATACTAACACAGCTATTTGAACTTTTGCATATCATCATCTGATCTTTGGCAGCTTGGAGACATCTTTTTGTGTGGTTACAGTCACAGTGTGCTGTTTTCAGTTGTCTATAGTCCTTATAATTCTGTCAGTTTGATATTTTGCTTAATTATTTTCCAATTGATAGGCACTTAGGCTTCCAGACTTCTTGTGGTGATGGTTGTTACTACAAACAGCATTTCTGTAGAATTAAAACGTTTCTTTAGGATTTTCTTTGAAGTGGGACTATCGAGTCAAAATTTCTTGCTCTAAAGTGTATATTTCTTTTATAACCTATTGTACTTAATAAAGTTTGGAGTTGTAAAAATGACGAGAAACAGGAG